>NC_000018.10:75140239-75441594 GCF_000001405.40 Homo sapiens
TCTGTTTCTCCCTCTCTCTCTCTCTCTCTCTCACACACACACACACACACACACACACACACATTCTTGCACTGGCAATGTCCTCTGCTTGATTTGTCCTCCCCTCCCAGCCGCAAGCCTCCTGCACATGATAAAATCCTCCTCATTCTTCACCTTCAAGTCTCCGCTCAAATGTCTTCCCCTCTGGGAAATCTTCTCTAACCTTTCCAGACAGAGGGAAAAGCTGTCTCCTTTGGGCCCAGTGGTGCCTCGTTCATGGCCTGTTATTGCACTCGTGGGAGGCTCAGAGGGTCTCTGCCACCTGCACTGGGCTGAGACCCTCAGGATCAGGACTTGGCTGGAGCCCAGTCCATAACAGGCATTGGGTGCAAGCTTGGTGAATAACGTGCTCAGTAAAGACATTTTCCAGGCTACTTAAGTCACAGACACCTATGGAAACTAAGCTATTACCACAACCAAGCACAAAATATCACATCTACGTCCTCCGATGCTGCTTTGGTAGAAATCTTTGGTTTGGAGTCAGACACTTTGGTGCCAAGACAGGTTTTTATAAGTTAGGAGGACAGGGAGCAAGTCATTTCAGCTCTGAATCTTGGTTTGTCTTTCTGTAAAGTGGGAGTATTATCTACCACATGGTAGTGGTTAGACAAAATACAGAAGAAGTACCTGGCACTAAATAGTGCTCAATGCACTCCACTTAGCATTATTACTGTTGTTATTATTTACTGGGCCATTTTTGTGATGGACAGAATAACGTTCCCCCAAAGATGTCCACATCTTAGTCCCCAGAGTCTGTGAATCTGTTCCTTACACAGCAAAAAGGACTTTGCAGTTGGGATGAAGGACCTTGAAATGGAGAGGTGGTCTTGGTGGACTGGATGTAATCACAGGGATCCTTATACGAAGGAGGCAGGAGATCTAAGCAAGAAGGAGAAGTGACCATGGAGGCAGAGAGAGAGATTGGAGGTGCTGCGCCATGGCTTTGAATATGGAGGAAGGAGCCATGGACCAGGGGATGCAGGTGGCATCTAGAAGCTGGAAGAGGCAAGGGGATGTGTTCTCACTGGGAGAAGGAACATAGCCCCGCAAACCCATTCTAGACTTCTGACCCCCAGAAGGGTAGGAGAAGAAATCTGTGCTGCTTTAAGCCACTACATTTGTGGTCATTGGTCACAGTAGTGTAGCCATCTCAGACAGTTCTCTGGACTAGAACGCTGGATGGATTCCTACGGCCCACGGGATGAATTCCAATCTCCTTATTGGAGTATTAGGGACTAAACTCACTTTCCAAAAGCCTCACATTCCCCTAAAGAGCTGGCACTATCTTCCCAGTTGCTACCAGAAGGCTCAGTCTGACAAGTTGCTTGACAGTGGGAAAAGACATCTGAAATTGAGACTCCCCGGAAGTCGTAGGTCAAACCCCTTCCCCGCCCACAATGTTCATTTCAGCCAGTGGTCAGTGGTCCTTCCTCAGTGCTCCAGGCCACCTGCCTTGCACCTAGGCACTGCTGTGAGCCTCCCTCCTGGAGCTTCCTCATCCTCTAAGATCCTCCAAGACCCGCTTCAGTCCTCCGCTCCATGCTGGCCCTCCCGGACCTCCTCACCGGCACCAGCCTTCCTGCTGCAGGCTCTCCTGGCTGCCATCGCGGGACACAGCTGCGGCAGCGCTGACAGCAAAGGCGGCACATGCAGGTTCCTGCAGGGCTTGTGTCTCACCTCTTCCCTTGGATCACAGGCCCCGGGAACACCGGCCTTGCCTCTGCATGCCCCCGTGGCTCCCAGCAGAGCCTGCCACGCATGCAGAGTCACTGGAACATATGACTTGGTCTTCAAATGCATGATAGGTAGCTGGAAGGATGTAGGTCTCAGTCCAAGGAAGTAGAGCTGGGGCACAAAGAGAAAACCACTCAACCAAGTCTCCCCTGACGCCTACACTTCCTTAGGGACAAGAAGGAAAGAAGCAAAAGCGGCGAGTTCACAGGTGGAGGTGACAGCCCACCCGGGTGACTCTTCCCGCAGACTGGGCTTGGAGAGGGTTGGGAGATGTTCGAATTTTTACCTCTCACATTTCTAGAAGTTCACCATGTGAACTTTCCACACACTGATTGCTTCCGTGATATTAATTTTCAAAATAAAATCTTTCTTTAAAATGACAAAGTAAGAAGCAGGACTTAGGAGACCCATCAGCAACGACCCGTTAAAAAAAAATCGCTTTCATTCCAAGGCTCATATACCCGCAGTCACTCAATTTCTTCCCACACAGAAGAAAATGGGTTAACAAGCTAACAGCCACGCTATAAACGATTTAAATTAATGATTGATTCCTTTAAAGACAGCGCGGGATCTATCACTGGCATGATAAGCCTCACCGTGTCCTCTATCTGCATATAGCCGTGTAACACAGCAATATCTGGCAGTAAATATGAAAAAAAATCTATTTTTTCTAGTTTCCAGCATATCTCCTGAGTCTGAGATATGCCTCGCTTGTTTTTCAAATATTGATGCAAGTAATTCAGCTCCCTTTTCAGGGAGGCCTGTGGACGGGTTACCTGTTGGAGTGTTGATGCTAATCTCCTTTCTGAAACACAACCCTTCCGAAAAAGGCAGCAGCCCCCCTCGGCGGCGTCGGGCTGGGTTTGGGTGAGTGCAATGATAATTACCACTGATTAGTACCACAACAATTGCAATTTTAATAAAAACACCTCCTCCCCAACAGATGATTTTGCGAGCTCCTCTTCTGTTCCTTCTGGCTGTGGAACGCTGCCTCCCTTCTCAGTGTGGGCCCCACGGGTGCAGTTGCTCCTGCAGGGAGATGGCTGTTGCTTCTCCTAGCCATTTTGGCTGAATCAGTAGCACAGCTTTAATTTTTTTTTCTTTCTTTCCCTTTTTAAAACATTTTTTTCCAAAGCCTTATGTTTATTAGGGAAACAAGCACATTTTGTTCATCGATATGGGGTTTAAAAATACAATCTCAGTTGCATTGTCCAAAGCTCCTTCTCTTACTTGCCCCCTTTATGGAGGGCCAGTGTCAGGTAGATGAGCTACCTGAAGCCTCCTGGGGAGGAAGGAAGAACATAGAAAATGGGTTGGATCAATTCCTCTACTTCCTATGTGGAATGACTTGCACTTTGGGTAAGTTTTTTATGTACTTTTTTTGTTTTTTTTAAAGCAGGCCAACGGTTTACTCTCTGGTCCTGGCAATGACCAAGAAATTGGGATCCAACAAGTGTCTGAAGGGGACTTTCTCATGGGCAGAGCCTGAACTGTGATGAGCACAGATGCATTGTGGGAGAATCATGGAAGCTTTCTGGGTATCAGCATCAGGTAGGTAGGAATGGTGCTGCTGGAACCTGGAGAGAAGCCACAGCTAGCTGAGCTGGCTGTTGGGGGTTTAACTCTCAGCCTCAGCCATTCTGGAACATAGCAGGGCTAACAGCCAATGACATGGCTAGATTTGAGGGTTATGTCAACACCTACATCCCTGAATATTCTAGGGCTTGCATTCTATCATCAGAAGTTATTGATCTTCAGTACATAAAGTGGAGGGAATATATTAAGCCTTCTCCATTACACACTTTCTAGTATAAACTTTTTGGTGTAAACAGATTGAATGAATGTAATATTGACATAACATTACAACAGGAAGGAGCCCTCCCCACACTCTGCTTCCCAATTTCTCCCAGCCACCCTTGCTCCTCCACCCAGGGTGGGCTGGCTTCTGATGTCCTGTAAGAAGCCACTCATGTAACACCTCCTCTGAGAACTCCCCACTCCAACCCACTCCCAGGATCCAGTGCCTCTTGCTATCACAACAGGAGTCACTCTGATATGACTGTGTGCTTGGAGTGCGGGCTTCCCCACTAGGCCAGAGCTCTGTAAAGACAGCAGTGGGGCCTTACATCCTCATTTATTCTACAAACATTTACCATCTGTCTTATGTTTATCCGATTAGCACCATGCCTGGTACTTGGTGAATACTCAGCTAGTATTTGCAGAATTAATGAATGAGACAAGAAGAGAATTATGGAATTTTAAAACTACCAGAGGTCGCACAAATGATCAATCCAAACCTAACACAGTGTTGGCAATTTAAAGATGAGTAAACAGTGACCCAGAGAAACCAAATGACTGAACCATGTAACATGAAGCCCCTACATGGGGGTGTGTGTTCATGTGCACCAGCTGTATGTGTCTTTGATATCATGTAGGCATTTGGTGTTTTTATTATATATGGTATGTTTAAAAAGCTATATTCTATTTGGTGTTGCTAATATATAAATATATAATTGACTTTTACACACTTATTTTGTATCCAGTAACCTTGCTACATTCTCTTTGTATTTTTAGAGTTTATCTACAGATTCGTTTAGATTTTCTACATATACACTCAAGATGCCTATGAGTAATGATAGTTTTATGTCTTTATTTGCAATTCTTATACTTTGTGTTTTTTCTTGTCTTATTGCCTTGGCTAGGATCCCAATCAAATGTTGAGTAGAAGTGCTGGTTTTGGGCAATCTTGTCCCATTTCTTATCTCTGGGGAAAAGCTTTCAATATTTGATCATAAAGTATGATGTTTCTGGTAGGATTTTTATAGATACTCTTTAACAGATTAATAATGTTATGTTCCTTGTTTGCTAAGAATTTTTGTGATAAATGAGTGTATTAGTCCGTTTTCATGCTGCTGATAAAGGCATACCTGAGACTGGGCAATTTATGAAAGAAAGAGGTTTAATTGGACTTACAGTTCCACATGGCTGGAGTGGTCTCAGAATCATGGTGGGAGGTGAAAGGCTCTTTTTACACGGTGGCAGCAAGAGAAAAGGAGGAAGAAGCAAAAGTGGAAACCTCTGTAAACTCATCAGATGTCATGAGACTTATTCACCACCATGAGAATAGCATGGGAAAGAACAGTCCCCATGATTCAATCACCCCCCACCCTGGGTTCCTCCTACAATATGTGGGAATTCTGGGAGATACCATTCAAGTTGAGATTTTGGGGGGACACAGCCAAATCATATCAATGGGTGTGGAATTTTATTGAATAGCTTTACAGTTATAGCTTTATTAAATAAAATAATTATTTCCCTGTTATTAATGTGGTGAATTATATTGGTTAATTTTAATGTTAAATTATCCTTATATTCCTGGAACAAACTCAATTTGAATGTGATGTTTTCTTCTTTTAATATGCTATGAGATTTGAATTGCTAATTTTCATTTGAGATACTTTTCATTTATGTTTATGGGACATTATTGTGTAAATTTTCTTTTTTTATAATGTCCTTAATTGGGTTTTGACATCAAGGTTATTCTGTCCTCATAAAATGAGTTGGGCAATGCCCACTCTTACATTTTGGATAGCATCATTTTTTTGTCTTACTATTCTCTAAATGTTTGTAAATTTTTCACCAGTGATGGCTTCTGCACCCAGAGATTTCTTAATGGGGATATTTTAAATTTTAAAAAATTAAACTACAAAATATCATTTTTAACTTAGATTCAGGGGGTACATGTGCAGGTTTGTTACCTGGGCATATTGTATGATGCTGAGGTTTGGGGTATGACTGATCCCATCACCCAGGTACTGAGCATAGTGCACAATAATCAGTTTTTCAACTCTTAGCCCTCCCCGCTAGTAGTCCCCAGTTTCTATTATTGCCATCTTGATGTCCATGAGTACTCAATGTTTAGCTCCCACTTACAAGTGAGAATATGTGGTATTTGGTTTTCTGGTTCTTCATTAATTCGCTTAGGACAATTAATTTGCTTAGGGAAGTATGGCCATTTTAACTATATTGATTCTCCCAATCCAGGAACATGTAATATTTTTCCATTTGTTTGTGTCATCTATGATTTCTTTCTCTGTGTTTTGTAGTTCTCCTTGTAGATATTTTTCACCTCTTTGGTTAGATGTATTTCTAAGTATTTTATTGCTTTGTGTGGCTATTGTAAATGGGATTGCATTCTTGATTGTCCTGAGCAAATTAATGATTGTCTTAGCTACATCCATTTTGCTGCAAAGGACATGATTTTGTTATTTTTATGGTTGTGTAGTATTCCATGTGTCTATGTGCCATATTTTCTTTATCCAATCCACTGTTGATGGGCACCAAGTTTGATTCCATGTCTTTGTTATTGTGAATAGTGCTGTGATGAACATGAAAGTATATGTGTCTTTTAGGTAAGATGATTTTTTTTGGATATATACCTGGTAATGGGATTGCTGGGTTGAATAGCAGTTCTAAATTCTTCAAGAAATCTCCAAACTGCTTTCCACAGTGGCTGAACTAATTTACAATTCCACAAATAGTACACAAGCATTCCCCCTCTTCTGTAGTCTTGCCAGCATCTGTTGCTTTTTACTTTTTAATAACAATCATTCTGACTGATGTGAGATAATATCTCATTGTGGTTTTGATTTGCATTTCTCTGATGATTTTTGACATTGAACATTTTTTCTTGTTTGTTGACTGCTTGTATGTCTTCTTTTGAGGAGTGTCTGTTCATGTCTTTTGCCCATTTTTTAATGGGGCTATTTGTTTTTTGCTTGTTCAATTATTTAAGTTCCTTATAGATTCTGGATATTAAACCTTTGTCGAATGCATAATTTGCTAATATTTTCTCCCATTCTGTAGGTTGCCTGTTTACTCTGTTGATAGTATCTTTTGCTGTTAAGAAGCTCTTTAGTTTAATTAGGTCCCACTTGTCAATTTTTGTTTTTGTTGCAATTGATTTTGAGGACTTAGTCAGAAATTCTTTCCCAAGGCAGATGTTCAGAATTTCCTAGGTTGTCTTCTAGGATTCTTGTAGTTCGAAGTCTTGCATTTGAATCTTTAATCCATCTTGACTTAATTTTTGTTATGGTGAAAAGTAGAGGTCCAGTTTTATTCTTCTGCATATGGCTAGTCAGCTAACCCAGCACCACTTATTGAATTGGGAATTCTTTCCCCAATGCTTATTTTTGTCAACTTTGTCAAAGATCAGATGGCTATAGGTATGTGGCTTTATTTCCGGGTTATTTATTCTGTTCCATTGGTCCATATGTCTGTTTTTGTACCAGTACCATGCTGTTTTGGTTACTGTAGCTTTATAGTATAGTTTGGAGTCAGGTAATGTGATGCCTCTGCTTTGTTTTTTTGCTTAGGATTGCTTTGGCTATTCTGCTTTTTGTTTGTTTCATATGAATTTTAGAATAGTTTTTTTCTAGTTCTGTGAAAAATAATGTTGGTGTTGAAAGGGGCACCATTGAATCTGTAGATTGCTTTAGGAAGTATGGCCATTTTAACTATATTGATTCTCCCAATCCATGAATATGTAATATTTTTTCATTTGTTTGTGTCAACTATGATTTCTTTCTCTGTGTTTTGTAGTTCTCCTTGTAGTTATCTTTCACCTCTTTGATTAGATGTATTTCTAAGTATTTTATTGTTTTGTGTGGCTATTGTAAATGGGATTGCATTCTTGATTTGGCTCTCACTTGAATGTTATTGGTGTATAGAAATGCTGCTGATTTTTGTATATTGATTTTATATTCTAAAACTTTACTGAAGTCATTTCTGGATGTAGAATCAGATTGTCTGTGAAGAGAGATCGTTTGACTTTGCTTCTTCTTTGGATGCCTTTTATTACTTTCTCTTGCCTGATTGCTCTGGTTAGCACTTTCAGTACTATGTTGAATAGGAGTAGTGAGAGTGGACATTCTTGTCTTGTTCCAGTTCTCAAGGGGAAATCTCCCAGTTTGTGTCTGTTCAGTATGATGTTGGCTATGGCTTTGGCATAGATGGTTCTCATTATTTTGAGATATGTTCCTTTGATGCCTAATTTCTTGAGGGTTTTATCATGAAGGGATGTTGGATTTTACTGAAAGCCTTTTCTATGTCTATTGAGATGATCATATGGTTCTTGTTTTTAATTCTGTTTATGTGGTGAATTACATTTATTGATTTGCATATGCTCAACCAACCTTGATCCTAGGAATGAAACCTACTTAATCATGATGAATTAACATTATGGTTTGCTAGTATTTTGTTGAGGATTTTTGCATTTATGTTCATCAGGGATATTGGCCTGTGGTTTTTTTTTTCTTCATCGTGTCTTTGCCAGGTTTGGTATCAGGAAGATGCTAGTTCCTCCTCCTCAGATTTTTGGAATACATTCAGCAGTATTGGTACTAACTCTTCTTTGTATGTCTGGTATAATTGGGCTCTGAATCCACCTGGTTTGAAGTTTCTTTTTGGTTGGTAGGCATTCTTAAATTAATGATTCAATTTTGGAACTTGATATTGGTCTGTTCAGGGTTTCAATTTCTTCCTGATTCAATCTTGGGAGATTGTGTGTTTCCAGGAATTTATCATTTTCCTCTAGATTTTCTAGTTTGTGTGCATAGAGGTGATCATAACAGACTCTGAAGATCTTTTGTATTTTTGTGAGATTGGTTGTAATGTCACCTGCGTCATTTCTGATTGTGCTAATTTGGATTTTCTCCCTTTTATTTTTTGTTAATCTAGCTAGTGGTCTATAGATCTTGTTTATCCATTCAAAGAACCAACTTTTGGTTTTGTTAATTCTTTTTATGAGTTTTTGGGTCTCAATTTTGTTCAGTTCCACTCTGATTTTAGTTATTTTTTTTCCTCTGCTAGCTTTGGGGTTAGTTTGTTCTTGTTTTTTCTAGTTCCTCTAGGTATTTTGGGATATTTCTTGCTTTTTGAGGTGCGTATTTAGTGCTATAAATTTTACTCTTAACACATCTTTTACTGCATTATGGATATTTTGGTATGCTATGTTTCTGTTTTCATTTCTTTAGAAGAATTTTTTGATTCCTGCCTTGATTTTATTGTTTACCCAAAAGTCATTCAGGAGCAAATTGCCTAATTTCCAGGTAACTGTGTGGTTTTAGAAGGTTTTCTTGGTGTTAATTTCTATTTTTATTCCACCGAGGTCCAAGAGTATGGTTGGTATGATTTCAACTTTTTTGAATGTATTGAGACTTGCTTTATGCTTAAGAATGTAATTGACCTTGGATTATGTTCTGTGTGCAGATGAGAAGAATGCATATTCTGTGGTAAATGGGTGGAGTATTCTATTGATGTCTATTAGGTCTAATTGGTCAAGTGTTGAAGTTAAGTCCAGAATGCTGTCTAATGCTGTCAGCGGGGTGTTGAAGTCCCCCACTATTATTATGTGGCTGTCTAGGTCTTTTTGTAGGTCTAGAAGTGCTTGTTCAACTTTAAAAATCAATATAAGACTTTTCGAGTTTATATTACTTCTTTTGTAAGTTTGATTAAGTTACTCCTTTCTAGGAAATTTTTCATTTGGTCTAAACTTTGAAATTATTTGGCATCATTATGTAATATTTTCTTTTAACTTTTAATAGGTATAGAATCAGAATCTATAGCATTATCTCTTTTTTCATCACTGATATTGGTAATTTGTGCCTTCTTTATTTATTTTTATTTTTTTAATTTTAATTTTAATTTTTTTGAGATGGAGTCTCTCTCTGTCACCCAGGCTGGAGTGCAGTGACGCAATCTCGGCTCACTGCAAGCTCCACCTCCCGGGTTCACACCATTCTCCTGCCTCAGCCTCGCGAGTAGCTGGGACTACAGGCGCCCGCCACCACGCTCGGCTAATTTTTTTGTATTTTTTTAGTAGAGACGGGGTTTCACCGTGTTAGCCAGGATGGTCTTGATCTCCTGACCTCGTGATCCGCCCGCCTTGGCCTCCTAAAGTGCTGGGATTACAGGCGTGAGCCACCGCGCCCGGCCTCTTTATTTTTTAGTCAGTCTTGCCACATATTTATCAATTTTACTAGTCTTCTCAAGTAATTAATTTCTGACTTTGTTAATTCTGTCTACTATAGGTTTATTTTCCATTTCATTGATTCTGCTCCCATCCTTATTATTTCCTCCATTCTGCTTTAGTTGGGTTTAGTTTGTTGCTTTTTTAAAATAACTTCTTGAGATTGACATTTGCATCATAGATTTTTCAGCTTTCTTCTTTTTAAATATATGCACTTAAGGCTATAAATTTAGCTGTAGCTGCACAGAGACTCACATATTTTGGTAAGTTATATTTTTATTATAATTCATTTCAAAATATTTTCAAATTTCAAAATATTTTTATTATTTCATTTTCTTTATAGCTTGTTGGTTCTTTTAATAATCACCCTAACTATGATAATCTTTGAATAATATAAATTAGTGCTTTTGTCACTTGCAAGGCAATGCTAGGGTTTTGGAACATTTAAACTACCTTTTCCTACTCCAGACTTTTGTTTTGGTGAGAATAAGCCCAATAAGATCATGCATTATATTACAAAATTTGGACCACACATGACATTATCATTATTAACTTGTTTAGCCAATATTGAAATATATGTATGTTAAATATACATCCACATTTCCTTCATTCATTTCTGTACTATTTTTAGTATGTCTGGTATCATTATTTTTCCGCCAGAGGAATGTTTTATATTTTTTTAGTGTGATTCTAAAAGTTGATAAATTCTCTCTGCTTTCATTTATTTATTTATTTTTATTTTATTGGAAATATTTTTATTGTGTTTCTATTTTTTGAACATTATTTTTGCTGGGTATAGAATTCTATAGGTTGGCAGTTGAGTTTTTTCAGCATTTAAAAAATATTCCTTCATTGTTGAGAAAGCAACCATCAGTAACAGCATTTCATCTTTGAACATAATGCATGTTTTAAATCTATCTGCTTTAAATTTTCTCTTCATCTCTGGTTTTCAACAGTTTTAGCATGATGTATCTAAGTGCGGTTGGCTTCATAGTTATCCTGCTTACATTTCATAGTGCTTCTTGAATATGGAGCTTTATGTCTTTTATAATTTTTGGAAAATTGTTAGCCATTATCTCTTAATATTGCTTATGCCCCCTTCTGTCTTTCCTTCCTTTATGAGAGTCCAATTATGTATACATTAGACTTTTCACTATGTCTGCTATGCCTTATAATCTCTTTTCCAAAATTTTTACTATTGCTTTAGGTGATTCAGCCTGGATTTTATCTATTTATTTATCTTCTAGTTTACTAATCTTCTTTTCTTGCCAAATTCAATCTTCTGTTAAGTCCGTCAACTCATTTAATTTTTGCTGGACACAGTGACTCATGCCTATAATCTCAACACTTTGGGATGCCTGAGGCAGGAAGCTCACTTGAGCCCAAGAGTTCAAGACTGGCCTAGGCAAGAGGGCAAACCGTGTCTCTAAAAAAAAAAAAAATTTAAATCTTTGCTTTCTACAGTTTTAATTTAATTCTTTGATGTAGATTCTGATTTATTTTTGGGTGAAATTCTCCACATTGTCATCTATTTTCTTGAATATATTAATTATTAATATTAAATTTATTTCAAAGTGCGTATCTGACAACTACAATAACTAGGTCAGGTCATCTCATCTGTTTGTCTATTTCTATTGTCTCTTTTTCTCTTGATCTCATTTCTTGGTATGCTAACTGGTTTTTTATTAAATGCCAGATACGGTTTATAAACCACTATAGATTGTTCCACTCTATCCTCTGGTTGTCAGTTAGTGTGGGCAATGCCATCTTAATCCAATCAATAATCATGCTATTTCTAGCTGGGGGTCACAGTTTTTATAAATCTTTATCTAACTTTTTTCACCACTGTTCTATGAGTGTAGCTTTCCAAAAGTTCCAAACGGGAGCTTGTGTATTTAACAGGGTCTCTCTTTCTTGGTAGGTCCGGAAATCTAGCTGCCGTTAC
Source organism: Homo sapiens (assembly GCF_000001405.40). Lineage (NCBI taxonomy): Eukaryota > Metazoa > Chordata > Mammalia > Primates > Hominidae > Homo > Homo sapiens. The sequence goes on from NC_000018.10 coordinate 75,151,987, forward strand.
TTGGCCAAAGATTATGGTTTATGTTTCGGTCAGTTTCCATTTACTTTCTTAGCTTCTTGTCCTGCACAGCTTGAAAATTTGGCAAGTTTCTCCAGTGGAAATCAATGAATGTTGAACTCACTTCTCTGTATCTTCTTTCCTTCCTGAGATATAACTTTTGTCTCTCTAGCCCTGTGAAATTACCAGAAGCTCTGATGGCTTCTCCATCTCTTAGCAGCAGTTCCTTGCCCAGGTTCTCAGATATTGTTTTATATGAAGAATCCACAATTACCCTGGGGGAAAGTGTAGCTCATAAAACATCAGCTCACTTCTCTGAACTTTCCTTCTCTTAGGATTTGGCCCCCACATTCTGGTCTCCTCAGTAGCCCACTAGTGCCTTTCAAAGAAATAACCATATCTAGAGGTCCCTTTCTCTCTCTAAATACACACACGCACACACACGTATGTATATATTTATCCATCTATACCTATCGTTTATCTCTCTGTTATATCTATCATCTGCCAATCATCAATCTCTTGATCTATTATTCATCATCTATAATCTATCATCAATTGTAGGTATTTCTATATACCTAAATTCTCTGATTGTTCTTGGCAAGAGCACTGATTTGCCCAACCTAGAACTCTTCACCCAGTTGTTGCAGGAATCCCCTACCTCTTACTCCCATCAGATGGTCACCTGAATCTTAGGTATTGGCTGGAGACAAAGAAATACCACGGTATATAGGTGAAACAGTATTTCCTGAAGTGCTTTCCAGAGTATGGTAATTATCAAAGCTACTACTCAAACAGACAGAAATATGTTTACATAGTGTGGGAAAGTTGTATACAATACTCTGCTCTTGATAACTTATCACCCACAATTGCACATAAAGAATTCTGAGGATTCTTGCAGTAAAGAACTCTGGTAAACATTTTAATCTTATATTTCCCAACCTTATTTGATCATAGAACCCTTCTTTCTCAGAGGGCTTAATACCATCCAAAGCCTACTTTGAGAAATCTGATGAACGTTATAGCTACCCCTGAAATCCCAAGGAAGCTTGGATGGCTGAAGCCTCTTACTAATAATTGCAGGCCCCAGGAACTCAGGACTAGCTTGAGGGAGACAGAGCCATTGATGAGCAACCTGGGTCAGCCCAGAGGTCAGCATGGAAGAAAAGGCCTGAGGTGAAAGGTCAAAAAGTACAACTCTGCTTAAGGCCAGAAGTTTGAAGGTTACCATGGTCCTTTCACAAGTTGCATGGTGGAGTGAGATATCGTACTCACGACTTTGCTGAGTGCAGGCTGCTCTTGTACAGTGCTCTAGAGGTACCTTTGAGTGGCCTTCCCTCATTTGTTCTGAGATAAACAGGTAAAGCATTTAGACTGGCACCAAACATTTAATAAGTAATCAAGGAATGTTAAATGCCATTTTGGTTTCAAAATATTCTTGATGCTTTCCTATCCCACGAAAATCACCTTTCTTCCATAATCTCCACTATCTAGAGTGATAACCTAATGCCATGTTTGATACCTTTCACTCTGCCAACCCTAAATTGAAATGAGTGTTTTACAGAACCCTTGTCAACATGCTTCCCTGTGGGCTTCTTGGATTAATTCCTTTCCTTTGGATCTCCTTGAACCAAATATTATTATTATAGAAAAGGATGTAGGCTGGAGATTTACTATTACATTAGAAAATGGTAATTGATTAGCTTTTCTGTGAAGCACATGAGCATGATTTCATTCACTAGTCCCTAGCAAATCAAAAGTAGATATCTAGTGGAAGAACAGACCAGTGCTGAAGAAGAAAGAATGCACCCATGAACACTAAAGAAAATGGAACTTTTAGAAAAGCATGTGTAAGTTTTGGAATAATGAGCCATACTCCCCTTCTGCATGGCTCCCAGGACAGCTCACATTGTAAGGAGCTGCAAGAGCAGAAAGCATCTCTCCCTCCTGTTGCACGTGGGGCCAGGCGTCCATGCACCCGTTTATCCACAGCTACTGATGGATCACCTATGACATCTGGGCACTGTTGTAGGTACTGGGGCCGCACAGAGCCCCCTCCCTGGTGTCCCTGCTCTCCTCTGGGGAGATAAGCAATACACAAGAGAATCACCATGGGCACTTTCAGATGGCGAAGTTTTAGATGGTGATGGAGTGCAAAGATGGGAAGGTAGAGAAGGGAGGATGAATATGGACGGGCAGGGGGTGTGGTTTCGGGGCAGTGCCAAAGAGGCCTCTGCAAGGGCAGGAGCTTGCCCTGTGAGCCTGTGGCTTCTGGGGCAGCATGTCACAGCAAAGAGAAGGGCAAGCACAGAGCCTCAGGGGCCCTGCAGAGCAGTGTGAGTTCATGGTGCCCACCTCTTCCCAGGTCCATGTTAAGTGAGGCCAACTTGAGATCTGAAAATCAGCATGATGGGTGTATTTACACCAGGGAAATTGGAGAACACCACAGCAAGCCCTCCCGCTACCCCCATCCCCCACTCATCCCGGGATCAGTGTGGGGAGAGGATAGTGTGCATGGGGACAGAGAAGAGACAAGGTCAGAGAGGTGATCAGGAGGCCAATCGGTGGGGGACACTGAAGGCCATTGTGGCTGGCAGAATGATGGCCCCCGATCCCCAGGACCTGTGAACATGTCACCCTCCACAGCAGTAGGGACTGTGCATGCATCGTCGGGCTAAGGATCTTGAGACTATCTTGGACTATCTGAGGGGTCTAATGTCATCACAAGGGCCCTTGTAAGTGGAAGAGAGAGGCAGGAATGTCAGCGAAGATGTGACCATGGAAGTGGAGCCTGCAGTGGTGTGGGGCCATGAGCCAAGGACTGCAGGTGGCCCTGGGAGCCTGGAACGTGCAAAGAAACAGCTTCTCCCTGACAGGCGGCAGAAGAAACACGATACTGCCAAGACCTTGATTTTAGCCCCGTGAGACCTGAGTGGGATTTCCGACCTCCAGAACGGTTTGATAATGAATTTGCACTAGTGAACCCTCCGAGCTTGTGGAAATTTGTCACAGCAGTCATAGGAAACATCACCGTGAGACTGTGGGCCTTTTCTGGAGACAGGCGGGAAGGCCGCGGAGGGGTTTGGGAGAGGACTGACGCAGTCTGACTTGTAGTTTAACGGGTTCTGGCTGCTGTGCACGGGTGAGAGTGAGGGAGGCCAGCGAGGAAGAGGAGGAGAGAACAGATGTGTGCATGTCGGGGTGCAGCGGCCAGGCAGGCCTGCGGGAGGCCTAGCCCGGGGCAGCAGCACTGGCAGGAGAGAGAAGCGGTGAGATTCTGGATGCGTTTTGAAGGCAGAGCCACTAGAACTGCTCACAGATTGGCTGTGGGCGTGCAAAGAAGAGCGCAGTCAAGGACGACGCCAAGACTGTGGACCTGAGCCAGGATGGAGTGGCCTTCACCGAGAAGGGAAGGCAGACACCCTCGGGTTTGAGAGGTGAAGGAGGAGGGGTAAGGTTTGAGGGTCTGTTTACATCCAAATGTTGGAAAAGGTCTGGAGGCCAGAAAGGAAGCACTGTCGACAGGGGAGAAAGTGCCGGCCCAGAGAAATGGCAACCTTGACCCCTCGTGCAGAAAGGAAGGGAGCCGGTGCCTCTTGCTTTAATACATGGAGACTGAGGCCCAGGATTTGAGTGAATGACCATGGTCCCAGGGCTGGTTGTGCTGGGGTTGGGGGTGCTTTGCCCTAGTCAGCGCTCCACCAAATGGACTCCCCCAGATTCTCAGGTTCCTGCTGCCATGTGAGCTCAGCACTGGTGGAAGGGCCATGAACAAAGACGATGATAAATAACTGTGTACCATGTCCGCGAGGGGGTCTCGCATGGCGCCCCAGGGGTCAGTGCAGTCTGGCTTTATTTAACGTCTTCGTTAATTATCTGGAGGAGAGGATAAAACTTGTTAATTGAATTCACAGATTGTGCAAAATTAGGAGGTGTTGAGAAGACCAGTGAGGACAGAGAAATCGTTTGAAGAGCCCAAAATATGGACAAGAAATAAAATGAGGCTCGGCTTGGAAAACGGCAGGAGGATGTAACCAGAGGATATTAATCCAAAACATTGGAATTCAATGGGCAGTAACAGCCAGGAAAGTAGAAATGCTAAAAAAAGCCTATGGGTAATGTTGGACAACAAATTAATTATAATTCTACTGTGCAACTCTGCAGCCAAATGGTCCAGTGTCAGTTTGCCCCATACTTACAGGCCTCATTAGCCTGAGATGGGAACTCATAATCCTTCTCCGTCTCTGCACACACACACGTACGCATACACACTCGTCCACACACACACACGTCCGCGAGCACACACACGTCTGCACACACACACGAACGCACACACATGTCTGCACACACATGTACGTGCACACACACGTACGCACACACACATGTACGCACACATACACATGTACGCACACCCATCAACCCTCCACATCTGAAATGTTTTTGTTCCCGGAATGGCTCAAGAGTAGAGAGTGATAGAGCAGCCAACAGGCCCTCCACCTCGCTGCCCAAAGCCTTCCTTTCTTTAGGGAGGAAATGTGTGGGCAGGGTCCCGGTCAGGAGTGAATGTAGGGAGGATGGAGCTGGGGGAGGGGATGCAGAGGCTTCGCAGATGTGCAGGTTCGGGAGGGGCAGTGCCAGGGCAGCAGGTACCGGCCTGTGCCTCTCCGTCCCGCTTGGTTGTCATCATGAAGACAATAACAACAGCGGCTAATATTTTGGGGATGAGCATGGTATTAAGTCCTTGATATAAAATATCAAGTCCAGTTTTGGCAGCCGGCTGAGGTAGTAGGATTATCCTCAATCCCCGTTACAGGAAGCAACGCTGAGGTGCAGCCCAGTATGGTAATTAGTCCAAGATGGCAGTGCTAGAGACTTGGCAGTGCCGTGGCTGAAACTCCAGGGCCAGTGCTCACCACCACCATGTCACGCAGTGTCCCACCACTCCACACAGTGTCCCACAGGGTGCAATGAGGGACCGGGTGTTTCCTTCCTATTCCATCACATGTAACTACCCAACATGAAGTCATGACCATGTGGCAACCTCAGCTGTAGGTGACGGGGATCCAGCCAGCTCCAATCAGAGCACCCATCTGGGGCTCAGGGTCTCAGCGGGGGTCCCCATACTTTCTGGTCTGTGTGACCCAATGTTAAAAATCAAGAAGTCCCCCAATGAATGTATATTGATTTGTTAATAATATACATATACCCCAGTACTAATTTATTATATATGTCATATAACTTACCTCAAAATAAATATGATAAATACATAGAAGTGGCATTTCTACTGTTTCCCCGCTAGGCTGTGTTGCGGCAGACAGGCAGCCCATATGGAGCCCTGGTTTAGGGACGGGCTCTGACACCAACAAGCAAGTGCAAGTGGACTGGCCTGATAATGCCCCCGCATTTATGTCCACCCAGAAACCCAAGTGCAACATGATTTAGAAATAGAGTCTTTGTAGATGTAATCAGTTAGGATGAGGTCATACTGGAGGAGGGTGGGCCCCGACTCCAATGACGGGTGTCCTTGCAAGAGGAAGAGCAGACACAGAGACACGCATAGAAAAAAGAAGTCCACGTGAAGATGGAGGGGAAGACGGGGGCCGTGCTGCTGCAAGCCAAGGAATGCCAGAGATTGCCGGGAGCCCCCAGGAGCTGGAGGGGCATGGAACGTTCTCCCCGAAGCCCTCGGAGTAAGCGTGGTCCCGCCTGCACCTCCATCCAGCCTCCAAAACTATGAGAGAATGGATTCCTGTTGTTTTAAGCCACTGGATTTTTGGCACTTTGTGATGGCACCTGTAGGAAACCGACAGGGTTCCAGAAGAGCAGGGGCCGCACCTGACAGAGCTCAAGACTCAGGGCTGTGCCACTTTCCCTGGGATGCCCTGCGGAGTTCTAGAATGTTGGTACTGTAAGGAACCATCCCTCCCCCTTCTCATACCCAATAGGAAACTGAAGCCCAGAGAAGCTCAGAGCCCACCCAGCACCACTGGTGGACTCATGCAGAGCCCAGCCTTCCCCCACGGCCCAGGCTCCCTCACTGCACAGCGCGGCAAACTTTCCCATGAGCTCCAAATCCGCGTGGCCAGCCTCACCTGGTGTCCCCATTCTAAAATGCGACTCCCTGTGGCACCCACACCCTCGCCTGTCCGCCAAGCCTGCCTTCCCCGCTGCATGCCCTGCCTCCACCAGTCTCCCAAGGCTGACCTCCATCCCCTTTTCTCAACAAGCAACCCGATCGTCTTGATTCTTTCACCTGGATGTCTCAAATTGGCCTCTCTTTATTACCCCAGCTCCCACTGCTCTGAGTTGGGCTTCCCCATCTCCTGCTATAGAATAGTCACAACCTCCTCCTACCCCAGTCTCTGTCCCAGTCTTGCCCCCACACCCCAGCTCACAATCCATTTTCACATCACATTTTTCTAAAATGCAAATCTATTCAAGTTCCGGATTAAACTCCTCTAAAAGCTCAGCTCCCTATCACCTTTTAAGTTCATTCAGCTGAGCTCTTTGGGATAAAGGGCGTTAAGACACAGCTGGGCCTGAAGGTTGCGGCCCGCAGGTGGAGGGACAGACAGATCGGCTGTGCAAATGACAGACGCAAGGAAGGCATGGACGTCTGCGGGCTCCTGCCCCGTCCCATGAGGCCTCTGAAGACTTCCAGGAGCAGTGGCACCTGGGCTGAGCCCAGTGTCCTGAGTGGCAATGCAGGTGGCACGCCCCTGAGGCTGCTGGGGGTGAGGAGAGTGTGGGCGCTTGGTGCTGGCTTGGATGAACGGGCAAAACCGTGGTGTCACTAAGTGGGAGGAGAAAACCCAAGCCCAGTTCCTTGTGTTGTTCAATTCACTCGCTACTCTCAGGTTATCTCCAGCCTTCATCTCCAGCACAGCCCGCCTGTTCCGCTCCCAGCCTTACAGTGTGCACCCACTGCCCACACAGACATGGTTGCAGTCACCTCCTCCAGGAGGCTGCCCTCTACCACCGCTCTTGGCCCCCCCAAGGGTCAACTGCTCCCGCTCTGGCTCTACCCCATCACTCTGCTCCCACCTGGGCTGAGAGCCCATGCCCCCTCCTATGGCAGCCGCCTGCCTGTGCACTTGGCCCTTTCTCTGAGTGTGGGCAGCAGGTCTCATTCATCCAGAATTCGCAGGCCTACGCGTGCCCTGAGGGGCCTTCCCATGCCTTGTGTCGCATGGTCCTGCACAGTCATGGTCTATGTGCAGCGGGCTAAGTCTCCCTGAAACTCGGTCCATGGGGGACTGGCACTTCCCATGCAGATGGAGCTGTGAGTTGAAGGCCCTGGGGCAGACCCTGGATGAGGCTGGGCCTGAGGCGGCAGAAGAAGGAGGGTGGTCCAGGAGGGGCCTGGGCTTTGCTCCCAGAGCACTAGGCAGTGTGGGGAGTGGTGTGGCTGGACCCGCCCTGTAGTCCGCCTCCCCTTTCTGGAGGACAAGCTGCCAGGACAGAGCCGGGGGTGCAGATCACGCTGGGCTTCATTTCACAGTCTCAGCGTGCTCCCGACGGCGTGGGGAGATCCTGGCAGCCCTGCCAGGGGATGGGAAAAGCTCTGAGAAGAACAGTCTTGATTGTGGACTTTTTTTTTTTCACAGTTTCAGCAATTTTAGGTGACACTTGCCTGGGGCTATTGGGTGTTGACTTCATTTGTGTATTCTTCCTTGTCTATTGTTGATTGCAGCTGATACCCTCAATGGATCTAGATTCCAGCCCCTCACCAGTAGGGAAAGGCGAATAGTCTCCAAATTCCTTGGAACTATTTCTCACAAAGATTAGGAAGCCTTGCCGGAGAGACTGCAGCGGCTTAGAAGAAGCAAGAATACATTTGATTGAGGAATACCAGCATTCGAGACAGAACAAAAGGACGAAAGTGGCGAACAGATGGGTGGGTGTCCTGTGAAGGCTCATGATCTATGTGAGCAGAGCAGGCTGCGCCCTCCCTTTTTTTTTGTTTTTGATGCATCAGGGTCTGATGTGATATGATATGACAGAACATGTCAAAAATTTAGGGGAAAATAAAACCCTGGTTTTTTTTGAAACATCAAACTATTGCTATCAATAGGAACAGCAACTGTTCAAAAATTTGTTTCAGAACTGCCAAGAAGTGAACGTTCGTGGAAAAAAAAAAGTATTTTTCCCTGCTGTTTGCAAGGTGGACACAAATGCAGACGGTAGGAGGTTGACAACTTGACACATGTCTGATAAATCCAAAGCATACAAAGTCAACAACTCGCTGCTCAAGAAAGCATTCTCGAAATAAAGAGTGCTGCGCAGAGAAAGAAGAACCATTAAAAAATAGATTTTCCGAATTCAGTAAGTAGTTTAGCCCTCGGAGCGCCAGTCTTCAAAACAAGGAAGCTTTTTCTTTCTCCCTTTAAAAGAGAGAGAGAGAGACGGAGAGGAGGCGATGCTGGGCTTGGAGCGGAGGGGGCCTGCTGCATTTGAAATGAACCAGGTGAAGCAGTGCCGCATCCAGCCAGCAGATGTGCGAGGCTCGGAGGGCTGGTGACAGGGGTCAGGGTTCGAGCCTTCCAGATCCCGGCTGTTCGGCAGCTCAAGGCAGGAGTGGGTTGAATTTGATGAGTTGGTCCAGTTACAGGGAATTCACAGATCACAGTCAATGCCAGGAAGATTTGGCCACCAACAGCCTGTCTGCGGCTGGCCAGGGGGACGGCATTTGGGAAGCTCTGTCTGCTGCCTGAACACTTGAACACGGACAGAGAAAAAGGCACAGACACTCAGGGTGAGGGCTGCAGGCACCCGACTGAGTGCTGGAGAAAGGAAAAGAAAGAATGAATCATGTTCTTAATATCAAAATAATTAAGAATTTTGTTTTAACCATTTTTTCCCCAGACTGCTAATGCTCTTTTCTTTTTCCCATCATGATGAGTATGATGAGGAAGAAGATTGTAAATAAATGTGAAATGAATGGCAATTCTCATGCAAGTCTCACGTAAACAAAAGTATCAGCATTAAAGTTATGAATCCTAATTTGTGCCATGGAGCTAAAATCTGTATGCTTCTGAATTAGGGAAATATAGACATACAGCACTGAGAAGCGTCTCTGTGCGGTTCAGAAAACTGACACAGTCTCTCCAATTTATGGGAAAATTGACATAATTTTGCAAAAATGCAAAACCATTTGCGAACTGGGTTTTGCATAATGGGATTAATTTGGTTGACTGTCATATCCACTATGCTGCAAAATGCAAGGTAATCACAACATCATTCTGGGTTTTTTTTTTTTTTAAGGGAAGAAAGAGAAAGGAAGAAAGAAAGGAAAAGCATTTCCCCCTATTCTGACTATCTTTTCATTAAGGGAAAATACCCAGTCTTCTAGGTGGCACTGAGGTACCTCTAGAAAACAATGCTAGACAAAATTCTGCAATGGTTGCCTTCGTGAACTGAACTGAATTGGCCTAGCTCCAGTGAGAAAAATTAACAGCTTTCATAGAGCATGAACAATTGCTGCCAGAAAAAGTCCGTACTTTCTGCTTTGGGGTGTGTGTGCGTGTGTGTGCATTTGTGCAGAATTATACTGCACAACAGAGCTAGGGCTGTATTATATACAATTTGTTACCACACTCAATGATTTAACCTCATTATTATGAACCCTCTTTCTATCAATAAATAAGAGCTGATTATTCTGAGAAGAAGGCACAATATGTGAATTTGTGAAACAGCGAGGCTATGCCGTGGCGACAGTGACCCCAGCGTCTCAGTGGCTTCACACAGCACTGTTCTTTCTTCTTCGTGCTACGTGTCCAGCATCAGCAGGAAGGCTCTGTCAACTGCTGTCCCTCAGGGTCCATCCGGGCACAGGCTTCCTGGGATGCCCAGACAGGAAAGGGGACACGCAGTGAGCACACCAGGTCCGAAGGCTCCACTTGGAAGAAGCACTTTCACTTTCACCCACATCTCCCTGGCCAAAGCAAGTCGCATGGCCACACCTACCTTCAGAGGGCGCAGGGAGGACTAGAAGACAAGTGAGCCCATGTAGTTGCTGCCACAGTCAGCATGCTGGGAATTTTTCTATCTCTTTCCGTTACTCTAAAGATTGATGATGAAATAGACCCTTCTTTTTGTCTTCTCCAGATAGAGGGACAGGTGTGATTGGAGAGAGTTCTTCCTTCACTATGAGGCATTCAAGGCAGGGTGGCATTTTTCAACTCAACCCAACAACAACGGAGAGCCTGCCCCAGGCCTGCTAAAGAGGCTAATGTGGCAAGGAAGACATAGAAGACCATGTCTTCCTCATCTCAAGGGAATGATGGAAGAATGTTGGTAGGAGTAATGGGTGGATGAAAATACCTTCTATGCAAAGCCGAGCGTGGCCAGTGCTGCTATTCAGAAACACGAGAGTCCAGGCAGGCTTCCCATGAGAGGCGTTGACACTGAGCCTTGAAAGATTCCTGCTGGTGGGAAGGTGGGGAGGGGAACAGCAAGACCAAGGCATGTGGGAATAGTCAGTCGTCCAGTTTTCAAAGAGCTTCTGAGTTTCCTTGCAGAGAGCTGGCACTCTATGATGGGTGTCCTGGCAGTTAGAGGTGGGGAATGTACACTTGGTTTAGCAGCTCTGGACAAGAATGGCTCCACCTGTCTCCTTAGCATCATTCTAGATCCATAAGGTCATGCCTGGGCTGCTTACGCCAGTGACTCATTCTAAATCCGACAGTGCATTCTAGAGGCAGGAAGATCTGGGCTCAAGTCCCAGTTCTGCAATGTACTGACCATGTCACCTTGGGTGTGTTGCTTGGCCCCTGCAGGCCTGCCTTCTCATCTGAGTGGGTCTAATCATACCGACTTCATAGGGCTGTTTAGACTGAGGGTTAAAGATCATGTCTGTGAAGAATCTTGCATATAACAACAAAAAATAAAAACAATAATAAAAATTAAAAACAAAAACCTCACAACCAGACAAAGGAAGGAATTACTTTAGCATTAAGAAGAATATTCATTATAATACTTTCTCAATAAAAAGCTCTTGTTAATAGAATTGCATTGTTATTAGCTTTGTCTTAAGGACAATGACTGCTCATTAATTACATGAACACCCACTGGGGGCCTGCTCAGCTGACAGGGATTCCCCCAGCGCCCTTGTCTGTCCTTTGCTTGTGCCCTTCTGCTGTGGTCATTATCCAAGGGTGGCTTGGTCAACAGGGCTCTTTCTCCTAGGAGTGTGACACTTGGCCAGAGTCGCAGTGGAGCAGCATCACTTTGCTGACGTGTCCTATGGGATGTTCACGAGCAAGTATGCAGAGGCACCCTGAGCTGCTCTGTGGCCAGGGTGCAGGTGTTTGGCTGGTCCCTGAATTCTACAAACCAATGTAGTGCCCTCTCAAATCCCACTTTATGGTTCAGACAGCAGCAGGTCTCCTGTGCTGACCTCCAAGTTACACTTGGTCAACAAAACAGGCCTCTAAAATAAAGAAGACTCTTCTTGTTCTTAAACGGAATTCTCAAGTAAGAAAGTAAGAATGATTGATGATCAACTTGTGTTTTTTTCTTTCATGTAAACAATTGTCATGAGGTCAGTGAATCCCACGGAGCAGGTTGCAATAGAGGTGATGGTGATAAGGGAGCCGGAAGAGAATGGGCTTTGAAGGGTCCACAGGATGTGAGGTACAGACTGCACCCAGATTTGCACAGGACGTCTGGTGTGGGATGCAACGACCCCGAAGGTTTGTTTCTTGCTGCTGCAACTGGGTAGACTGACTCGGGCACTGCTCTTAGGTGAAATCCTCCCCCAGGGGTAGGGCTGAGCTCAGGTCAAGGTTAAGGCTGCTGACCAGGCAATTCTAAAGAGGGAAAGAGGAGAGGCTTGTCTCTCCTGCCCCCATTTCAGGCCTACCCTCTTTTCCTAGGGGCGAGGGGAGGACCATGGGAAGAGACGGGAGGAGCTGACTCTCATTGAGGGTGCGCCTTGTGCCAAGAGCTGCAGTAAGCTCTGTGCATCTGCTTCTGATGTCATGGACAATGGTCTTCATGCAGCCCCTGTTGTCCAGCTGGGAGAGTGGAGGCTGAGAGGCACGTACCCCTTGCTAGGGTCACCAACTAGGAAGGGCTGGACCCTGGATTCAAGGCCAAGCCTTTGGGACTTCAGGACTCTCAGTCTAACTGAACACCAAGCAAAATGTTACTCCAGGGGTAAAGGAACACCTGCACTGAACACCAGGCAAAGTGCGTCATTGTTTCTTTTCCAAGCAATGAAGACAGGAGGGAGACAGAGGAGAGGGAGGCACTCCCCCCAAAACCCTCACCCCAAACAATGAGGGACTCAGCCCCTCAGAGCACCTGTTCTTTCAAAGAGTTGGCTGCACACATTCTGGTAAAGCTTCGTGCTGTTTCTGGAGCGCAGAGGGACATGGCTTTATTCATCTGCTCTGTGCAGGGTGTCGCTATCCCGAGGTTAAGAAGCCTGGCATAGACCACTGATGCGGTTTATTGACGGAGCCCCAAAGCCTGAACTCTGTCTAGACAAGGCTGACGGTTAAATTCCTGCTGGTCATGAAAGGTCAAACTCAAATATAGAACAAATGGTGTGCAGCTCCTGAGAGCAGGGTCTGCAGGTGTCAGTGTTAACTGATTGTAACTCCTACACCAGGCAGGTGAATGCTTCATCCACAGACCACACCAAGGCATGGGGACAGGTGAGCACCCAACCCCATGATCTGTGGAGGGGCAACTGTGGTTGGCAGCATCAGCAGATGGCCTGAGTGCCCAGAGTGCTCACCAGGATCCTCGGTCAAAGGAGGTGCGCTCTCAGGAGGGGACTTTAAACCACAAAGGTTAGACAAATAATCAGAGGGTGTGGCTGGAAGCCATTCTGGGTGGCCCTTGTGGGTGAGAGTGTCTCACTTGCCCTGACTTCCCAGCAACCCTAGGGGAGAGTTCCAGTCTCCATTCCATGGAAAGGCTTCTTGTCACATCATTGTCCCAGGAAAACTGCCCATGACATCATTCTCTGAGCTCTACCCCAGGCACCTCATAGAAGATTCACGTCAATGATCTCCAGTGAGGTGCAATTCGCTTGAGCTAAAGTGCCCTGTACAATCTAGGGTGATCTGCAGAAGCCAGGGTACCCTGTAGGAGCTGGGGTACCCTGTATGAACTGCTGGGTATCCTGCATGCACCTGGTACCCTGTATGAGCTGGGATATCCTTTATGAGCTGAGGTATCCTGTATGAGCTGGGTATCCTGTATGAACTGGGTATCCTGTATGAGCTGGGTGTCCTTTATGAACTGGGGTATCCTGTAAGAGCTGGGTATCCTTTATGAACTGGAGTATCCTGTAAGAGCTGGGTATCCTTTATGAACTGGGGTATCCTGTATGAGCTTGCTATCCTTTATGAACTGGGGTATCCTGTATGAGCTGGGTATTCTGTATGAGCTGGGATATCCTTTATGAGCTGGGGTATCCTGTATGAGCTGGGTATCCTTTATGAGCTGAGCTATCCTGTATGAACTGGGGTATCCTGTATGAGCTGGGTATTCTGTATGAGCTGGGATATCCTTTATGAGCTGGGGTATCCTGTATGAGCTGAGTATCCTTTATGAGCTGAGCTATCCTGTATGAACTGGGGTATCCTGTAAGAGCTGGGTATCCTTTATGAACTGGGGTATCCTGTATGAGCTGGGTATTCTGTATAAGCTGTGATATCCCTTATAAACTAGGGTATCCTGTATGAACTGGGGTATCCTGTATGAGCTGGGTATCCTTTATGAACTGGGGTATCCTGTATGAGCTGGGGTATCCTGTATGAGCTGGGTATCCTTTATGAACTGGGGTATCCTGTATGAGCTGGGGTATCCTGCATGAGCTGGATATCGGTTATGAGCTGAGCTATTTTGTATGAACTGGGGTATCCTGTATGAGCTGGGGTATCCTTTATGAACTGGGGTATCCTGTATGAGCTAGGGTATGCTGCATGGGCCTGGTATCCTGTATGAGCTGGGGTACGCTGTGAGACCTGGGTACCCTGTAAGATCTGGGGTGCCCTCTGCAAGCTAGGGTAACAAATGGACCCGTGTGTGTTCTGAGGACTGTAGAGGTTTATCCCTCTCAGGTAAAAATCCACAGGAATATTCCAGCCCCACAAGTGGCTCTGCTCCAACGAAGTCATTCAAGAAGCAGGCTCTGTCCAAGTTGTGAGATCCTTTTTCTGTCTTTCCCTATGGCAATGTCTATCTCTGCATGGCCAGAAGTTTTCATCAAGAAAGCAGGGAGAGGGTGTGGATGAGACACATCCATAGGTTAAGAGCTAGGTGTGGCGGTGCATCGGGCTTCCTCTCCCGTTCCACTGAGGAGTGCGTAGTCACCGACCACTCCCAGCTGTGGAAAGCAGGCACCGCAGTCCAGATTTGTGATTGGGAAGAAGGCAGGGCAGATCTGATGGATCTCTAGCAGTTTCCCCTCAGTAACCATCTCTCTAGTGCCTAAGAAATGGTGCCTGATGGTTCATTCATTGTAGCATTATTTTTAATACTAGATTTATTTTAAATTCAGACTGTGTTATATGTTATAATACCTTTATTTTATACTGGAAGCAAGCGTCAATGTAGGAGAGTCTTGAAACCCAGCACCAGATAGTGGTTGCTAATCCCAGTCTTCCATACAAGGATCCCGGGTTCTGTGAAGAAATGCTTAATTCTGGGACTGGGAGGGGAGTAAACAAGATGAGCCTGGAGCAGAAAGCAAGGAAGTGTCCAAACCAAGCCAAACCAAAACACCCAGGATGCCGCCATAATGGGGACATTTTAAAGGGACATAGGAGGCAATGGAAAGAACCCCCAGTGGCTAAAGCTAGAGCAATTTGAGCAACAAAGTAAGATAGCATTGGAAAATAACTCAAAGTATAGAGCCAGCCTATTCTGATAGAAATGACTGAGGAAATAAATAATTGGAGGGAGAGTGACAAGTTTTCTGTGCAGACTTCCAAATAACTTATGTAGATCCCCTGCCCTTGAAGAGGGGAAGCACAGCTCCCCACTTTGGCCACGTGGGCTGCTCATAATGACTTCTTCCAAAAGGTATGGAAAGGGGTAAGGCAGTTTTACAGTGGAGAAACCTGGCAGACACTGCTTCAGCCAGGTCATCACGTTTAACCATGCTCGGTTACGTTGACCCGATGCACCCTTGATGGGATGGGATGAAAGCGCTCGACCTCCATCACAGGTGCAGTCTCCACTCAACCCACTATGAGAAAAACATCAAACTCCAATTCTTCAGTGTTCCTGCCGGTCCTCCTCAGAACAGCCAAGGTCAAGGTCATTCAACACAGGAAAGTCTGAGAATCCATCACCACCAAGAGGAGTCTAAGGAGAACTGAGGATTGAGGGCCATGGGGTGTCCCGGCTGGGGTCCGGGGTAGAGACGGATTTTAGGTAAAGACTAGAGAACCCCGAATAAAGCGTGGGCTTCAGTGAAGCACTCCTGTGAGTCAGTACTGCTCTGTGAACTGGGGCGGATGCACAGAGGAACACGATCTAATAATGGGAAAAGAGGAGATGGGGTGTGGGCTATGTAGGAACTCTGTGCTATCTTTACAATTTTTCTACAAGTTCATTATTTTAAAATTAAAAATTTAGGAAGAAAAACAACAACAAAAACATTCCCAGGGGATTCCATTGTCCAGTGGGCATTAGAATGTTGTTGTTGTTGTAATTTGTTTATTGTCACGTTAGCCATTATTTATTATTATGTCACATATGTGAGACCACAAGGGCTGCTCCCCGCATACCGGTGGCCCCCCCAGTTAGCTGCCTTGGGGAGGGGAGGAAGACCACCAGAGCCCAGGGTGGGGGCGAGGCGGCTCCCGGAGGCTCCCCTGCCCCTCCCAGTCCTCACCTCCTCCTCCCTGAGTGGCCTGGTGGGATGGAAGGTGTCTGTGGCCGGCTGCCCAGAACACCAAGAAGGGCCCTCTTCCTCCTTGAACTTGAGCCAGCCCCTGGCGTCTTTCTCGGGGCCAGAGCTTTGCCTCTAAATGGTCTTTGTTTGCAGACGATCTGCTGTGCAGATCATGAACCGTCGCCGCAGTGCCAGACAGACTCTTCATCCGGACCGGCCGTCCCACTGGGTCCCCTCAGGAAAGCGCAGAAGCCGGGGACCCCAAACCGCGTCCAGCTCCTCCCACCCGCCCTTCTCGGAGCCGCGCACTTGGTAACTTGCGTGTGAAGAACTCACGGCCGTGTTGCCAGGAAACTGCGGGGAGCAGCCTTTGTGGTCTCACATATGCGTAACATAATAATAAATAACGGTTAACGTGATAATAAATAAACAAATAACAATAATTATAACGTGCCCCAAGCCTGTTGTTTCTCCAAAATTAATTTATGATGAATTACGACTCGAATTCCTCGGAACATACCAGTGGGAAGAGGAGAGGGGGCTATTTTATTTGCCACTGGGCTCAGAGTAGGGTTAAGAACTGTCTTTCCCTGAGCCAGACCTTGTCCCAGGTCCCTGGTAACCCAGGGAAGGTCGCCAGAGAGGAATTCTCTCTTTCCCTCTGCTTCTCACATCTCCTCCTCTGCCTAGGACAGTGAAGTTTTTTAGATACTTTACTTGCATTTCTAATTCAGTTATTCTTCTGAAATTTATTCAAAGGATTTATGCTTATGAAATTATAATATAATGCTGCCTATATGCCAATGAGCTGGAGGCAAAGAAAATAATTTTCTTCAATTTACAGTTATGAGGCTGGAGGAAAATGATGCCTTCTTATCACCTCTTTCTCTTTGTATGTCTCGGTATTTTTTTAAGTCTTCAGAAGGCAGGAGCTGATGATGAATTCTTAAGCAGATCACACTGATAATTGTATTTCAGAGCTGTCAGCGCTGGGAAGACTGGCCAGCGACTGTCTCCATGCACTTGAGCTATTTGTGTCGCTGCCTTCCTTCTCAGGAACTCAGCCCTCAATAAAGCCAACTCGCTGGGGATATTGTTAAATCGTCTGAGAGGATTATTAGATCGAAGGGAAATTTATGGATGACACTTTGTAACAATTAATCAGGAACTGTTGATGAAGTTTAAGTTGGTTCTTTATTCCTGGACCAAAAAAATATATATATACGTATATAGATGTGTGTGTATATATATATATACACACACACATATATAAAATCATAATAATATTCAGCCCTTGTTCCAATTGTCAAATGGCTCATTTTGTCACTCTGTTTGATTAATGAACCTTTTGGAGTCCCCCAAAAGTCCTAGTAATACAAATAAAGAGAATCATAAATATTGAATAAGCTCACAGCACAGTTAACCTTGACTACATTTTGGGACATACTTGGAGAAACTTTGCTATACGGAAAATAAATTGCTGTGGGGATTAAAAAAATATGCACACCCATACCAAATTGGAGATTTTGGAGAATGTCACCTCTCTGACCTTGTCACTCTTAATAATCTGTTGTGATTAATTAGTTTAGTTAGCTTTACAATCAGGTCAGCAGAGCGCCGGCATGCTGGCGTGTTTTACCGATGGGTCCCTGCCCAGCCCAGAAAGGGATGCGGGCTGGGGTGAGGGAGGGTCTGGAGCTAATGGGGCTGGTGTTCTAACCTCACAAGGTACTAAACGAGGGTGATGGGTGAGGACGATTTCAGGTCGTAATTTACGGAGCAGGGCCCTGGGTGGGGGCAGGGAGCCTTCATTGTGTGTTGGTTCTTGTGTTGAGTGCACTCACCCTTCTCAGGCAAAGATCCCCCCTCACCAGCTTGGAGCTTTTGCTGACACCCCTTCAAAGTTCTGATTCCAGATCTGACCAGTTATTTGACCCAGAAAACAGATTCTAACTAGGCTGTAATGACTTGCAATTTTTGAATGTAGCATCTAGTCCAGGGGTTAAGATTCCAGGGTAAGAGAGAAGTGGATTTGAGTTCTCCTCTGCCGTATCAGAGCCGTGTGGCCCTGGGCGGTTGGCTTTGACTTTCCGAGTCTCGGTTTCCTTATCTGTAAAATGGAGTTTCTACATCCTAGGATTTTTACAAGGATGAAGTGAAACAATTCAAAGAAACAGCTTGGCCAAATGTCCAGCATGCAATACTCTGCAGTGGGTAGGACTGTGTCGTCCTGCAATAGAAGTTGAAGTCCTAACCCCTGAGACCTGTGAAGGTGACCACTAGGGTACGCCTTAAGCCAATGACTGGTGTCCTTATATAAGAATCTGGACACAGTCACGGGGAAGACAGCCACACAAAGCCAGAGGCAGAGATCGGAAGATGCAGCTGCAGGCCAAGGACGGCCAGAATTCACGGAGCCGAAGCGCCGGAGAAGCCAGGAAGGATCTTCCCACAGAGCCTTCGGAGGGGCGGGGCCCTGCCGACACCTGGGTTTTGGATTTCTAGTCTCTAGGACTGTGAGAATACATTTCCGCCGCTTCCAGCCATGTTTTCCGTCATTTGTGAAGGCAGCCTTTGGAAACTGATACGTGCTGTAGGGTCACTGTGATCTGGTTTGCAGGGAACAAGTAAGGTGGGGCTGAGGACTTGGCCTGATGTGCCTGGCACTCGGTTTCTTGCTCCCCCTGAATAGTCCTGATCATGCCAGCTGCCGCCCCACGCAGGCTGAGCGCCGCGAAGGCCGGGATGCCGCTTCTCGCGTATGGGTGAGGAGCCGTGGTTCGTTCAGTTCAGCAGAGCGCCATCGCCGCCCCTGAAGTCCAGCTCTTAGGATCAGCGCTCAGAACCCCAGACTCTGTGACGTCGTTGTAGATGCAAAGTTGTCTCTGGTACAGGCCAAAGTGATTCATTTCATGGTATTGATTTATGTTGCCTTTTCTAAAAGTACAGTTATTTCTAAATAAAGACAACATTTAAAAGTTAAGAAGTAAATTACAATAACGTTACTTAAATTATCAGCTTAAAAATAAGGAACCTCACATTACATAGCAAATATATCCTCGGAAAGTTGCAAGCGAGTGCATTTTTTGTACGTAATGTCTTATTTTCCTGTTGACTTATAATGAGAAATTCAAAAAATCTATTTCCTCCCAAAGAACAATATTGGCCCCATTACACTAAAAATTACACTGGATCCTGCCATTTCCTTTGTCATTGTGGAACCAACATGTTCCAGCCGTGACGTAATCCTTCCAATTCCTGGCTCCCGCTCTCCTCCAAGACTTTCCCGCAGGTCATTGCAGATCGCCACCTTCTGCCAAAGGTTTTCACCGACTCTCTGGTCCGACGAGGAACGCTGCTGAGCCTGACTCTAGCAGGTGAGAGGCAGGATGTGGGGTCCAGCTCAGTCAGAATTCCTTCTGTGGACAAAGTCTGTTCACGTTGTGAGGGCTAAGAAAATGATATCCCACAATGAAGGCCTCAGAAGCAAAAATGTTTCTCACCTGCTCCTGCCCTCCTGTCCCTGGCCGCTCAGTCTCCCCTGAGGCTGGCCATAGACATCAGAATCTCTCTTCCCCAGTGCAGGTGGAAGAAGCCAGAGCCCTGTTTCCCCAAAGCCAGGCACAAAGCCGAAAAATACTCCTCTAACTTGCCCCCTGCCTTTCTGTGTAAAAACTGGCCCTAAAGAAATTATCTGACTTCCGTTGTTGGATTGTGGGTCCTGAGACCCCCATTCCAGAGAGGGTCTGCCCCCCTCCCCTGGAGATGGGAGTGCTGCAGAGAGGCTGAGAGGCACCTGAGCAGATGGGCCTTGCTGGGTTCCCCTCTCTGTCTATCGGCTGAGACCAGGCCCTTTTTGTCCAGTCAGTTTCTACATGGTGTCCACACTTTGTTGAACCTAAGCATAAAAACAGATCGTTTTTTCTGCATCTTCATGCCAAAGGCTCCCATATCACATAAAATATGTCTGAATACATGTGTATGTCTTTTCTCCTGTGACTCTGCCTGTTGCCAGTTGCTTTTCAGGGAACCTTCCTAGGGCAAAGGGAGATTTTCCCTTGGCCCCTACAAAGTGCAGGACCTTCAGCTCAGGCAACTGAGGTTTAGCATTGCCGCTGGTCTCCCTGGCAAGATGATTTAGGGGAAGGAGACTAAGAGACAGTGGTATGATGGTCCCCTCATCTTCGGGGGATACGTTCCAAGACCCCCATAGGATGCCTGAAACTGCAGATAGTACTGAACACTAAATACGTGATGTATTTTCCTATCCATGCACATCTATGACAAAGTTTAATTTATAAATTAGGCACAGTAAGCAATGACATAATAGAATTAAGCAATTATAGCAACTCACTGTAATAAGAGTTACGTGAGTGTGGTCTCTCGCTCTTAAAATATCTTATTGTTTTCAGAGCACGGTTGACGGCAGGTAACTGAATCCATGGAAAGTGAACCTGCAGATAAGGGGAGCTTACTTTGTTATCGAACGTGGTATCAAGAAGCAGGGGGTGTTTCAAGGAGGGTGAGGCCAACAGTCCAGTGCAGCCTCGACGTCAGGGAAGATGAGACTGTGGAGAACAGCTAGGCTCGGGCCCAGTACCGTGAGGGCTTTGCCATGGAGTCAGGGGTGCGGAAGCCCATGCAGCAGGCTGGGAGAGAGTAGGAGGAAGGAAGCGGGACTCTCAGCTCAGATGACTTTTCCAGGAACCTAACTGAAGGGGCAGGGAAGATGCAGGTTGGGGCCAGAGTCACAAGTGTTGTACTTGTCAGGGAATGGATCTGCAGCCCCCACCGGCTCCAGGACTATGGGGAGCTCAGAGCTTCGTCCCAGCCCCCACTGGCTGCAGACTACAGGAGCTCAGAGCTTTGTCCCAGCTGCTGTTGCATGCCCTGCACCCAGCACCATGCCTGGCACACAGTGATCATTAATATTTGCTCAGATGAGTGACTCGATGAACAGGAGTGCCACATTTGTGTTAAGAGGGAGAAGACGGTCCATAGATGAACAGAGAAACTTCCTAAGGACAGGGAGATGAGACCCCAGGTGGGTGGAGGGTCATTCCTGCATGTGAGGACTGCACAGCCTTCTCACCCAGGTCAAGGGAGAAAAAAAGTCTGAGGCAGGTACAGATGTATGCCAGAGTGGAGCACTGGCGTTGAGGTCACCCCTTCCAGACGGTCCCTGTCGGATTCTGGGCGAAGGAGAAGGGAAGGCTTTTTACTGCCAGTGGGGAGACCATGGAGGGCAGAGGAGCTGTGGTTGGGAGCAGGCGAACCTGGAATCCACAGGAAGCGGGGGGATGGAGTGTTGGAGGGTGAGCCACAGAGGGTGAGCTGTGCGCTCTTAGTAAGCAACAAACCAGGGTCAAAGGACAGGGAGGAACTGAAACTCTTAGAGCTGCGAGTCTTGTGCACGGATATAATGGGAGAGATAATAGCACAAAGGGGGAGCTGGAGAGCTGGTCTCAACCTGGATGCTGGTGTGTGAACCACTGACTTCAGTTTCAAATGTCTCATATGGAGATGATTATTTACGTACCCTACAATGCTGAGATGTTTTACACACCTGAAGCCATGGGTTTGTTTGGAAGAGCAACCTAAAAATGTAATTGAGCACACTGGCTTCTCACTTGGCAATTTTCTGAATAAAACAAAAACAAAACATCCCAAACAAGGAATGCACACCTGTTTTGTAAAATGCTCAAATTCAGGTCTCTGTCCACCTGCATTAGGATAAGGATAGACTAGATAATCCCAGTATTTCACTGGCTTCACACAACAGAAGGTTTTTTCTCCCACACTGGAAGTAAGAGATGGGTATTAGCAATCAGTGCCTTACTCATGGCCACTCTGGGAGTTGGGGTTCTCACATCTTGGGACTCCGAGCTCTTTGAGGGGCTGGGAGTGCTCTGCATTGAGTCAGGGTATAGGGAAAGAGAGGGTGCTCACAGCATGGGGTGGGGGGCTTCACAGCCTGGCCTAGAAGTGGATCACAGCACTGAGGCTGAAAAGCAATGGACCCAAACTCAGCTGTGGCCGCTGCTCACTGCAAAGGGGGCTGGGAACGTGGCCCAGCTGTGTCCTCAGCAAGAGGAAGTGGGTTTTCTGAGCTGCCTGGGCAGCAGCCTCCCAGAGACCCTCCAGGCTGAGGAATAAGTGAAGTAACAGGTGCTGTTGAAATCAGAGCCTTTTAGCTGACTTCTTGAATTTATGGATTGACCCAGCAAAAACCTTTGACAAAACATCGTGAACTGCTCAAATGTAAGGAGCTAAAGTGCACGTTAATAGGCCCCAAACAAAAGTGATCGATAATGATAATTAAATAAAGAGATGCTAAATTTATTTAACACCGAAGCTATAGGGGTAGCCAGCACACACACAGTTCTTTAGAGCCTAGATCTGTGGTTTGTAACTTTTCCATCCAGAACACACTTCCTACCCATTTATGGTCACCAATTATGAATGCACATTAAACACACTTTGCCCTTTTAGTTTTGCTAAATCATGGGGATTTTCAGTGTTTGCGTCTTCCCAGTAATGCAGGTGACAGTCTGTCTCTTCTCTCTCAGGTGTTTCTTCCTTTCTTCTTGAGATGAGTGAATTTCCACGTGTTGGATGCCCCTAAGTGGGAGGTCACATTGCTAACGTGTTATCACAAAATGTCCCTTAGCACTTGGTTAGGGCCTTAGATGCTGTCAAAGGAGGTTGGGGATTTTCAGATTTAGCCCCAAATAAAGTGCAAAGGTCCTCTGGATATTCTTAAACATACAGGGGAGGGAAGGCCTCTTCGGTTTAATCTGACAATGCTCAGGGTCCCTGCATAGCCCCCCCATGGAATTGGCAGCCCCCTGGGGAGAAGTTGCTGGAAAAAAGCCCCTCCCCAAGGAAGGGATTGCCCCCCACCTGCTTACTGACACCACGTGAGACTTTAAAAGGACGTGAGGCCACGATGAACGCATTTATTGAAGTAGAAATGGCTAAATGACAATCCTTTTATAGAAACACGCATGATTATTACAGAAAATTCAGAATATACAGAAAAGCATATCAGGAAAACATGGAAGACATAAAATGGTGATCTATTTCTGCTGCTGCTCTTGAGAGATAACCATCGTTAGCATTTTAGCCGATTTCCTCCCAGGCTTTTTTCAATGCAACTATGCTTAACCCAAGTCAGTGTCATCCTGAACACACTGCATTATAACCTGACTTTTCTCATTCAACAATGCATCGGGAAAAATTTTTAATGATAGATTTCTAGAAATGGCATGCGTGTGTTGAAGGCTACATGTGTTTTAAAGGTGTTTGTCACCTATCGCCAAACTACCCTACAGAAAAGCTGTTTCCACTCATACCCGCCCAGCCAGAGAAACAACTTTAATGAACTCAATGACTCCATCAAATTGGCCGGTCTTGGGTCAGAATATTCAGCAGACAAATTGTGTGTGATGAGAGTGTGAAGGTGTGTGTGAGGCTTTTACACTCCTCTTAATAAATCAAATTACAGAATCTCAGGGCGGGCAGGCAGAATGCTTGAAGAGCAATCTAGTCTTCAGATAATTCAGAATTCCATGACAGATCCTGAAAATGTGATTGAGGAAGAGAACATTTTCCTAGGTCAATAAGACAATGGCAGTGTATTTTTTTTATATTATTCTTCAATATTATTGGGGGGAGTGCAGGTTGGGGAAAGAAAGTGAAGGAAAGGCGAACAAACACATGTTGAAAATTTTGTGTCCACCAGTTGAGAGCATGGATGAATGCCTCATTACATGTGGGTGAATCCAGGGGCAGAACTGGAAGGGGTGTTGAAGCCATTGAAGGGGTATTGAAGTCATTTCTCAGATAAGGAAAGTGAGGCCAGAGAGGTGAAAAAGCTCACCCACTGTCACCTGTCTTGCTAACAGTCAGTTCCCAAATAGGCGTTCTCCCTCCTTCCTTCCCCTGTAACCAGTACCTGCCTGTATGTGCATGAGGACAAATGGTGTGACACTTTTATTAGGTCAACACAATATTTTTCTAGAGGATTTAATTATTTTTACTGAGTTGAACAATTTTTTTTTCTTTTTTGTTTTCTGAGATGGAGTCTCATTCTGTTGCCCAGGCTGGAGTGCAGTGGCGTCATCTCGGCTCACTGCAACCTCCGCCTTCCAGGTTCAAGCAACTCTCCTGCCTCAGCCTCCCGAGTAGCTGGGATTACAGGTGCGCACCACCATGCCCGGCTAATGTTTGTATTTTTAGTGGAGACAGGGTTTCACCATGTTGGCCAGCTGGTCACGAACTCCTGGCCTCAGGTGATCTGCCTGCCTCGGTCTCCCAAAATGCTGGAATTACAAGCGTGAGCCACTGCATCCAGCCAAGTTGAACAATTTTTAAATAAATTTACTTTGTCACTTGGCATAATGGAGACCTAATTTAGGACATTGTCAACAATTCAACCCTAACTCCAACATCTTTGGGTCACGATTGTTTTGGTCTTACTTGGCATAATTATGAGTGACATAAATGCACACTTTGTTGTTTGATGGTCCGTGTGTGAGGAACAGTCTCTGGAGCTGTGCTGCCATTTCTGGAGCTGTGTCTCCTTGGGCAAGTTATTTACCTTTCTTGAGCCTCAATTTCCTCATCTGTAAAATGAGATGTGACAGTTAATCTTATGTGTCTACTCGGCAGGGCCACAGAATGCTCAGATATCTGGCTAAACATTCTCTCTGGGTGTGTCTGCAAGGGTGTTTCTGGATGAGATTCACATCAGAATCAGTGGACTGAGTAAAGCAGGTAGCCCTCCCCAGCGTAGCTGGGCATCCTTCAATCTGGTGAAGGCCTGAATGAAACAAAAAGGCAGAGGCAGGTTGAATTTGCATTCTCGGCCTAACGGGCTGAGCTGGGACATCGATCATTTCCTGTTTTCAGACTGGGACTTATACTACAGCCTCTCCTGGGTCTCAGGCCGTCAGGCTAGGATGGAAACGACGCCCCAGCTTTCCTGGGTCTCCAGTCTGCAGACGGCAGATTGTAGGACTTCTCAGCATCCACAGTCATATGAGCCAATTCCTCATTCCGTATATATGTGGTCTCCTGTTGGTTGTTGCACTGGAGAACCCGGACTCGTACATGAGGATGACGTGAGTTCTTACCTCAGCATTGTAAGCATTCAGTCAGCTGCCACATGTCAAGTGCTTCACACCGTGCCTGGCACGTGGGATGTGCTATTTGAATGTCTGATATTCTGGACCTTGGTCATGGTGGTGCAACTTCAGAAGCAGCCTGTGCAATGGACTGAATTATGTCCTCCCCAAATTCACACGTGGAAGCCCTAATCTGCAATGTGATTGTATTTGAAGATAGGGCCAGGAGGAGGTGCCAAAGGTTAAATGAGGTCATGAGGATGAGGCGGGGTGAGACCTTGATATGACAGGGCTGGTGACCTTATAAGAAGAGGCAGAAACACTTAGCCCTCTTTCCAGCACATGAGGACAAAGCCAGAAGGCAGCTATCTGCAGGCCAGGAAAAGGCCCCCACCAGAACCCAAATCTGCTGGTCCCTTGGGTCTCACACTTCCAGCCTCCAGAATGGTGAGAAAATACACTTCTGTTGCTTAAGCCACTCCATCTATGATATGTTGTTAGGGCAGCCCCAGCTGACTAATAGAGCCCACTTACATGATAACCCACTCTTGAAATCACCAGCTGGACACAGTGTCATGCTTTCTGTTCTCTGGGCATGGCACAGAATGCCTTGTCAGCAAGCGTTTGTGAGATGAATGATGGACCAGTGACAAACAGGTGAGCCCCTCCATTTAATGCGGTTATCCCACCTCTAGCTTTCGCCTTATGGTAGGATCAAAGGGATGCGATGGTGCCACCTAGTTATGAGAGGGGTCACTGTTCACTGGATACCTCCTGGGTATCAGGTGCTTTACGATGAACAGTCAAACCTCATTATTTGCAGATTCTGTATTTGAGAATTTTCCTACTTGCTGAAATATATTTGTAACCCCAAAATCAATACTGGGTGTTTTCACGGCCATTCACAGACATGTACAGAAGGGTGAGGAATGTGGGTCTCCTGGCGTGCCCGTGCCCAGCGGAGGCTGCCCAAGGCGGTGCCCTGACTTCCTATTGCAGCTCACACCGTACACAAGCGTTCTGTTTGTGCTCTATTTACTGCCACATTGTTTGCAGTTTGGTCCTTTTTGTGAGTGATTTTGCAGTTGAAAATGATGTCCAAACATAGTGCTGAGGGGCTCTCTAGAGCTCCTAAGTGCAGGAAGGACATCGACTATGATGTGGAGAAAATCCTTGTACCAGGGAAGCTTCATTCAGGCATGGGCTATTGTGCTGGCCAAGAGTGCATGTGCATGAATCAACCCTATCTATTTAAAAAGGTGTCTTTAAGCAGAAACACATATAAAACAAGGCGATGTATTGATTGGGTGATGAAAATATTGTGACCAGAGGCTCAAATAACCTGTATTTCCTGTAGGAACAATGCCTCAGTATTCCTAATTCAGTGTTCACAACAACTTCATAGAACAGAACTACCATGGATACTGAGAATCGATTGTGATTCCTCCTCCTCAGAATAACACTGTGGGTACTGTCCCTGTTTCGTAAGGAAGAAGACAGTGGCTGAAACAGTCTGATGATTGGTGCTGGATAACATCGAGTCAGGATCCGCATCTGCCTCCGTCGGCTTCTTCAGCCTGTGCATTTTCCAGTGCACCAAGCCGCTGGTCCCAGCCCAAAGTGTGGTGCTCCAAGCCTGTCCTCCTGTTCTCTGGCCCTCCTTTCTTTCCTCTCACCTGTCACACTTTCAGACAGTCACCAGGAAGCAGGCATAAACCTTGCGGAATGACGAGATCTGCAAGCTCAGGAAAGCCCCACGCCTCTGTCTTGGGATACTCAAACCACACCTCCCGGGCAAGGGCTCCCCTGGGGTAAGACCCTGATTTTCTCAGTCAGCATTCAATTAACTCCATTCAGCCTTTGCTTCCAAAATTTAACACCTCTGAAAGCAGGATGCATTTTGCCATCAGCGGCACCAATGCTGCAGGCCTCTTGCGATGTCGTGGTTGCTGTCCACACGGCCTCCTCCATGGTTGTTTCCCCTGGTGGCCTGACAGGACCCCGCAGACCCCTAATGTTAGTTTAAAAAACATTCAAGATGCTGGGTGTAGGGGCTCACACTTGTAATCCCAGCACTTTGGGAGGCTGAGGTGGGAGGATTGCTTGAGTCTGAGGGGGTCAAGGCTGCAGTGAGCTGTGATTGCACCTCTGCTCTCCAGCCTGGGCAATAAAGTGAAATCCTGTTTTTTATATATATATATATATATAAAATATATAAATATGTATATTTATGTATATAAAACATTATAATACACATATACATACATATATGTATATATGTGTTATATGTATACGTGTGTGTGTGTGTGTGTGTGTGTGTGTGTGTGTGTGTGTATCTATGACCAGGTGCAGTGGCTCATACCTGTAATCCCAGAACTTTGGGAGGCCAAGGCAGGCAGATCACTTGAGGCCAGGAGTTCAAGACCAGCCTGGCCAACATGGTGAAACCCCGTCTCCACAAAAAATACAAAACATTAGCCGGGCGTGGTGGCACCTACCTGTAATCCCAGCTCCTCGAGAGGCTGAGGCATGAGAATCACTTGAGCCTGGGAGGCAGAGGTTGCAGTGAGCAGATATCGTGCCACTGTACTCCAGCCTGGGTGACAGAGTTAGACACCGTCTCAACAGCAACAACAACAAATAATAATAATAAAAAATATATATGGACTATTATATATATGGATGTATATGGACTAATATATATATGGATATATATGGACTATTGTATATATATGGATAGATATGGACTATTTTATATATATATGGATAGATATGGACTATTATATATATATGGATATATATGGACTATTATATATATGGACATATATGGACTATTATATATATATGGATATATATTGACTGTTTTAGGAGGAATATGAGCCACAATTGTATGAAAATCTTTCCTGGACACCTTCGGATAAGATGAAATAAACTTGGAGAATGGCATCTGTGTTGGAAGAAAGTTCTGGACTCCACAGTGGCTTGCTCCAGAAAAGCCAAACCATCAGCTCTCTTGACAGCACAGAGAATGCCAGTGTGTGGGAAACAGACCGCGGTCACCCTGAGCGGCAAGGGGCTTTCCAGTGCTTAGGCTCTGAATGTGAAACATTTTAGAAAGAGATGAAACAATTTTTTTCGCTTGTATTTTCCTATGTGTTTGAAGGTCGATAGATGATAAAAATGTGTCTGAATAAGTCTGATTTAGTCTCAAAGATCTCTTTCAATAAACCTAAACATTTCAAACAGATAAGACAGGATTGTGTGATAGTTTAATTGGTGGTTGTTTTTCTTTCTTCATGGTACATAAGTTAACAGTGCCTCTTTTAAAGGTTAAGTCTCAAATTTGATAAAATACTACGTGGTTGGCATCAGGAAGCTAGAATGCTCCAAATCAGGACAAAAGACCATGTCAGAATAATATCTGGGCCCCAGGCAGAAGTGGAACAGACTACCGGAACCCTATGCCTCGTGAACTCCGGTCACGCAAGGGTTGAAGTGCCACTCAACGTTTCTAGCCAACTCACACGTGTTGCATGGCATATCTTATTCCAGTCATTTGATTTCAGTATTTTTGTATATTTGTTTTTAGTATATCTGTTGTAAACAGCCTATAACTGCATTTTTTAAACAGTTGGACAATTTTTCTCTTTGAAGTGGAGCAATTAGCCTATTTAGAGCAGATAGAATTAGGGGTTTATTGGATTCATACTTGGTATCTTGCTCCTTGCTCTCCTCTTCCCTCCACTGCACCCTGAGCCTGGTCTGGTTCTTCCTCTTTCTCATCTTCCTTATCTTCTTCTTCTTCTTTTTTTTTTTTTTTTTTTTGAGATGGAGTTTCGCTCTTGTTGCCCAGGCTGGAGTGCAATGGCGCGATCTTGGCTCATCGCAACCTCTGCCTCCCAGGTTCAAGAGATTCTCCTGCCTCAGCTTCCCAAGTAGCTAGGATTACAGGTGTACACCACCATGCCCGGCTAATTTTGTATTTTTAGTAGAGACGGGGTTTCAGCACATTGGCCAGGCTGGTCTCGAACTCCTTACCTCAAGTGATCCACCTGCCTCAGCCTCCCAAAGTGCTGGGATTATAGGCGTGAGCTACTGTGCCCAGCCTTATCTTCCTTATCTTCTTTTGAATGAAGCTTTTTCTCCTCATTTCATCTTTTCCCCTTTACTACTTCTTTAGTGAAAACCTAGAAATTATAACATGTACCTTCTTATTATCAAGTGTAAAGTTCCAGAGTGCTTTTACCCTCTACCCAGATAATACAAAGACTTTAGAACATTTTAAATCGACCTGCTTATGTCTCTGATATGTGGCTATAGAGATATTTATATATCTATATCTATAGCTATATCCTTTTAACCTTAGACATTGGTGCGGTCTGACATACTTATTATTCATTTAGATTTACCAAAATGCTTCCAATATGCTTCACTCTTCATTCCTTCTCACATCTCAAACTTCCATAGGGGATAACTTTTTCTCTCCTGAAGTACACTTTCTTGACAATTTGCAATCTGCTTGTGGTAACCTTATTCAGTTTTCGTTTGTCTGAAAATATCTTTTTTTGTCCTCATTCTTGAGAGAGGTTTTTGGTGGGCATGGAATTCTACATTGTCACTGTAGTCTTTCAGGGGACTGAAGATAAGATTTCTTTCAGGCAGACTTCGCGGTTGCTATTGAAAATTCAGCTTCAGGTCTGTCACCACTTTACGGATAATCATTTTCCTCCTCCTCTTCTCTTTGGTGTTTTTGGTTTCACTGTATGTGTCTAGGTGTGAATTTCTTTGTATTTATCCTACCTGGGAATCATTGGCCTTTCTAAAGCCTTGGATTTCTGTCTTTCATGAGTTCTAAAAAACTCTCAGTCGTGATTTCTTCCATTATTGACTCTCCACATTCCCTTTTGTCTCTTCTCATGAAACTTGATTAGAGCTAAGTGAGACCTCTTCCCTCTGTCTTCCTTGTCTTTTAACCTTTATTACATATTTTCTTTCTCATCCCTTTGACCCTCTGTGATGCATTTTTGAACAATTTCCTCTCATCTATATTTTAGTTTATGAATTCTCTCTTCAGCCATATCAAATCAACAGTTAAAACCATGAATTGAATTGTTAATTTCAGTTATATTTATTTTATTTAGTAAAATTACATTTTTGTGTTCAAGTATTCAAGTTAATTTTATTGATTTTTTTAACTGAACTTTATTTCTTTAAATGTGGTAAACATTGTTATTTTATGGTCTGGACCTGTTAGTTCTAAGGGTTTTGTGTGTTTTCTCTTTGTTCTTTTGCTGCTATGGGTTCTGACTCACGGCATGTTATTTCTTCTGATGATTGAGTATTCCGAAATGTCATCTGTTCATTCTCCATGTGGGAATTGTTTGAGGTTTAAGATGAAGATCCATTCCTTCAGAGAGAATTTATGTTTGCTTCTGCCAGGAATTTTGGGTGGATGATTACTTGGGTCCACATGGTACTGAATTCATGGGTTTGAGTTTTTTTGGACTAACTAGATCAGCCACAAATTCCGCCAAGTGTTGGTGTGTGGTTCCAGTGATTGGGGACTCTTCTTTTCTTTCCCCCTTCTATGCTCAGTACCATGGCTGCTCACCTCGGGAGGCCCTGGCTTTTGTCTTATGCCACACACATGCTGCAAGGCTGTGGAAACGGAAGCTCATGTGCTCCATTCTTGGCTAGTCCTTTCCAGAAGGAGTAGCTTCAGTCCTCTGCCTCAGTTTCTGGGTTGCCATTTCCTCTTGGATTTTGGTCTAGTAATTTACTTTTACCCATTTTGTCAGCTCTTGATGATTTTATATTTTCATAAAGTTTTAGCCAACCCTTTCAGTTGTTTTCAATGGGATAGAGTTAGTAGTACCAGCACCTCTATTATCAGGGTTGGAGGTCATGCCTGCCCCCTTTCCCAGGGTATCCAGGTGGTCTCTTGCTGCCCAGTACTGCCAGTCACAATGTCCCAGGTAGATCCTTGGCCTCACCCAATGCTCTGGAGATTTCTGTGCCTCTTATTTCCCAACAAGATTCACGTTATCATAGGTATTAAGCTGGACAGAACCTTGTAAGTCACCTAGGCCAAATATAATCTCCCACCAGAACCATTTAGGAATGTCACTGGGCAGGAGTGAAGGCGCTGGAGTCAACTGCCTAGCCCCAAGCTTGGCTTCACCAATTACCGTGTGAACTTAACACAAGTCACTCAGCCTTTCTGGCCTGCCTACTTCTTGCTGTAAAATGGGATGAATATTAGCAACCATAAATGTGTGTTTTGAGAGTGAAATGAAAGATGAGTAAAGCATATAGTATAGTGCCTTGTCCCAATATTAAGGGAATTGTAGCTGTTGTTGTTATTATTCCTGTCAGAATTTCCCATGGAACTTCATAAATATGCATAGTCAGATTCTCTCCTGGATCCCTAAGATTTGCAGAATTTAATGTTCCCGAGTGCGGCCTTCATGGGGAAGCCCAGCAGCCTCCGTAGAGAAGTGCAAGCCACAGCCCTCCATGGAAACTACCCGTATGGCCAGCCCTTCTTCTATTGAGGCTAAGCATCTTACTCATGCCTAAGGAATGGGTTGGTCTAGACTACTACCCAGATCCCTGATCCCACCATGGCCAGGAGTTCCCTCTGCCCCTCCTTTGTGCCCCTCTGCCCACACCATCTTCTGCCTAGAGTCTCATTTCCTTAGGACTCCCTCTTTACCAGGTGAGAATCCCTGTAAACCAGCTAAACGGGTCGGTGACTAAGTTAAATGTCCTGTAGGTGAGTCACCCTCCTGAGAGCTACAGTAATGCCTCTTCTCCATGGAAGGGAAGGCCCATCAGTGGATGCATCTGTTCCCCTGCAGGTCAGGACTATGCCCCTATGGCCCCATGCGTGCGAGGGTACACACATGCTGGGCACCAAAAGCCCTTGTCTTGTCTGCCCACCCATGCCCCGGTGAACTCCTTCATTCGGTCAACAAACACCACTGCTCATGGGAGGTGCAGGCAGCAAAGAAACCAATTCAGCACTTGCTCGCTTGACGTGTACAGTTGGTGGGACAGAGACCATGTTTTGCAGACTTTTCATCCTCACTTTAGTACAGTAGGTGCCCAGTGAATGAGAGCTGAACGAGTTAAAGCACGAGCAAAGTCACACAGAACGGTCGCCATGTGAGTGCTCATGGCGCGATGCCCAGCTCTGCCGCAGAAGCAGGTCTAGCGGTTCTGGGCCATTGGCTTCTCCTGGGGCTGCCCTCCCCATCGTCACTGGAAGGCTGGAGGACTCTCCATTATGGAGCCCAGGGGAGGTTGAGGACGTCCCTGCACTCCCCGCCCTGTAAGCATCCACCCCCTCATTTACACAAGGAGGGAGGGGGGTTTAGTTCCTTGAGGGGTTGGTGCCAGATTGTTGAAAACCACTGGGTTTCTTACTGCTGCTCAGTGGTTGAATTCGATATAAAATACATGTTCCTGTTCATTGCCATTTATGTGTTAGTTATCATTAACAGCCATTATAATTTTTTCCCAGTGGCAATTACATTGATATTACTATATCTAAATCAAAGAGGACATTACAGCAATTACTGTCATAAGTTGATTGGGAACCACCTAATTTTTAAGTGACACTATTTTCTTATCAGCACGATAATTTTCCTTCGCAATAAATAATATACCAGGAGAGCTGTGCAACCACCAAGTGTATTCAGCTTGGTTTGCAAAGAGAATCTAACGTGCCATCTTGCATATGATTTTTTTTAAATAAATGGAAGTGTACTTACAGTTTCTTCTTCATGTAAGAAGAATAAAACCAAGATCTGAAATCCTAGGATTTGAACATATTTTAACAGATTTTGAACCCAATAGCTGAACTGCACAGGGATGGGAAGAGAAGGAGCTTTTCACACTTTCAATCTGTTCTTCAAGGTGATGAAGAGGAGGGGGCAGGAAAGGAGGAAGGGGGAGTCAGGAAGAGGCCTGGGTCAGTGGCCTCCCTTCCCTTCCCCAGCAGAGTAGCTCTCACATCCAGGGTCCCTGGCTCTGCCCAGGTGGGTGCTGTCTGGATGGGTTGCAGAAATTCAGGCAAGATTAATATTGCTCTTCTTTCCAGACCACCCCAGGTGCCAGGAAGCTGTACTGGCCACAGCCTTGGGGCACAGTGGGAGTTCTGCCTGCCTGTCTCCTGCACCTGCCTGCTGGTGCCTCAAACTCCTCTCAGCTGGACCAGAGCCTTCCAGTTCCTAAGGGGCGCTCACTGGGACTCCACATGGGTGATTTCACAGTGAAGTCAGTGGTCCCTGAGGGCTGGTTTCCAGGGGGCAAGCTTCTCTCTCCCGGGGGTTTGGAGAACGACACTGCCCCTCGGTGGGCACTGGGTGGGTGGGGCTGGCCAGCAGGGAGCCCGGGCTTACCCTGAAGGGCAGCGGGTGGTCGCTGTCTCTCTCCAACCCACGGTTCCACTCTACCTCGAGCCCTCCAGAGTCTGTGGCCCACTACCCCAATGCCCTCCTTCCCACCTCACCCCCTTCAGCTAGTGGAAGGAGGCAGCTGATCCTGTTCTCCTAGTTCAAAATAGTTTCTTCATCTCCATATGTGCAAATTTCAGCTCAAATGCCCCCTGCACCCCTGCATAGAGCTGGCTGCAAACAATTCATCCTTCCTCTGAACGCCCGCTGGGACACTTCCCAACTTCTGAGTCAGGCAGATCTGGCTTAAGGACTTGGACATTTTCCAGCTGTGTGACATTGAGGAATTTACCTGGCTTCTCTGAACCACAGTTTGATCAATAAGTGAAGAGGAAGATAACTTCTTTGGTCATCGACACTCTGAATGCTTACTGAGTACCTGCTATGTGTATGGTTTTGAAAAGCTTTGGGCCCCACTGGTAAAGCTGCCAGGTCCCTCCCCAGTTGTCCTATTTACTGGCCCTGGAACCTCAGGCATGTCTCTTCAGTGCTTTGTGCCTCAGTTTCCCCATCTGTAAAATGGGGGTGATAATAATGGATCCTACCACGGGGGCTAGTTATGAGGATTAAAGAAGTTACTACCTAAAGCTGTTGGATCAGTGCCTGGTGCACTACAGAAATGTTAGATTTATTGATTTAAAAAAATGGCACCTCTTCCAGATTCTATGTTGATTACAAGTTGGAATGACAGTATTTTGGATATATTGGGTTACATAAAATACATTCCACATTTTTAATGTGGCTATGAGAAAATTTTAAATTCCGTATGTGGCTCTCATGTGTGGCTCAAGTTACTGTCTCTATTGGACAGTGTCAGTCTAGAAGACACTGGCTGAGGATTAGATGAAGTAACATGCACCAAGCGCTTAGCATAAGGCCTAGATCACAGTAGGTGCTGAATAAATGTTGTGTCTCTCCTCTGCCCTGCCTTTCCTTCTCCCGAAGCCTCTCGTTATTTGTGCACCTGCGTTGCTCCCTCCCTGTTGAAGTGTGAGGTCTGTGCAGGTAGGATTCTACCTGGGCCCTCCTGCCCCTCCTGCAGACTCAGAACCTACAGGCAGGAGATTTGGACACTTGCAATGGATGGCTGAGGCCACTTTCTTGGAGAGGGTATTCTCCCAAGCTCCTGGCAGTATTGTTACGTGGCAAAACACTTCCCTATTGTTCATACTGGAACCTAGGACTAGGGGCTCCAGCTCAGCCAGGCCTCAGCCCTCCCTTCCCCGCTGCCCAGAGGGGCCCATGTCCCACCTCCGTGCACTCTCCCAGCTTCCAGGGTTCCAGGGGGCTGAAGACACGGGGGAGGGGAAGGAAGAGAACAAACAATGTTATAGGTTAACTTCATATTTTCTCTTCCTTCATTGCATTCGGGCTGCATGAAGGGCCAGGAAATGTGAACTAAACATGTGTGTGATAATGAGATTGTTGGTGGAAAGTCAGCTTGAAAGGACTGGGAGCAATTAAGCTTGCTGACTTACACAAGCTAGAATGACAAGATGCCAGAGCCGGCCCCGCTCACCCATATAATAGGGCCCTGTCCCCCTCAGCCTGTGTGTGGAGTGGGCCTGTCAGCCCCAAAGTGAGCATCCCCATTGCCAGGGAGCTGGGCCTGCCTCCTCCTCCTGACTCCTGCTCCACCAGGCCCTGGTTGCATGGACTGCCACTAGCAGACACCTGTGTCCAAAGACTCTCCGATTCCATGAAAAGTTGTCCCCTAAAGGAAGTACATCTGTCCTGAGTCCTCTCTCCTGCAGTTGTAACCGAATACTTTAGGACATCAGCAGGCTGCCCACAAACCTCAGTCAGTGCCCTCATAGTGCTCCCAATAATGCTCCTGTTCTTGCAGACCTGGCAGTGCATGGGCAGAGGAGTGACACTCTTAACAACATGGCCTTTGAAGGCTTGGGCAAGATGAGCAAGCAGTGTTCCTGAGGCCTGGGGCCTCTGAAGTCACACACGTGCTGAAATCCAGGAAGCTTGACAGGATCCTGCCTAAAATTGCAGAAGGCATGACTCCTACACCTGCTGTTTGTTTTTGGAGAAAATGAGGATCTTGAGCTCAGTTTCAAGGCTTCCCTGGCTCACAGCCCTGCTCAGGTGCAGCCCTCCACACTCACATTCCTTCCCACCTCCAGGAAAATGCAGAGCTCAAGGCTCTTCCTAGATCTCTGTCAATATCCCTCTTGCAAAGAGATCCCAGCATGAGTGGGATCCCAGCACGCAGCAAAGGGAGGCCATTTCCACGCACCGCCTTGATTCCTGATAAGGTTTTGCTGTGTCCCCACCCAAATCTCATCTTGAATTGTAATAATCCCCATGTGTCAAAGGTGGGACCAGGTGGGGATAATTCAATCATGGGGGCAGTTTCCCCCATACTGTTCTCCCGATAGTGAGTGAGTTCTCAGGAGAACTGATGGTTTGATAAGGGGCTTCCCCCTTCACTTTGCTCTCATTCTTCTCCTTCCTGCTGCCATGTGAAGAAGGACGTATTTGCTTCTCCTTGTGCCATGACTAAGCTTCCTGAGGCCTTTCTAGCCACGCTGAACTGTGAGTCAATTAAACCTCTTTCCTTTGTAAATTACCCAGTCTCAGGTATGTCTTTATTAGCAGTGTGAGAACGGACTAATACAATGCCCCTTAGCTGGTCATGGGGTCCAACTCTCATTCACAGTCTGCTTACTGAAGTTCTTCTCTCTACCCCAACATTTGGTGATCTTGGCAGCCAGATAAGGGTGAGGCCGAGGGAAAGTCGTTCATTCCTGCCCCTTGGCATTGGCTCTGGGTAGCCGGATTCCCAGGACTGTATGCAGTCACCAGCATTTTTCATGCTTTTCGTGTGGGTGGCCTTTCCCGGTAAGGAGAAAGATATACACACAAGGAGCCATGACTGCCATGAGAGACCTCTCTCATCATGACCAGTGACTCTGATGCCACACTTGGTTCCAGCCATTGGCTTCTGGTTAGGGACTGATGTCCCTCATCCCTGACGGTCCCATGGAGTGATGCCTGGGGGATGGCCCATCCTGGTTGAGTTTAGGGCTGTGTCATAGCTGGTCACACGTTCTTAGGGATCACGTCCTCTATAGTGGAAAAGTGAATGAAGTGTTTGAATGGAACACAACCTGCTTGCTGATGTGTGGCAAGCCTCTCTGTGGGTCCCTTTCCTAGTCATGAGCTTTTAAATGACAGAATTTTCCACCGAATATTATCACAGATTTTCTGCCATTAACAGAATAGGTGGATGACCTTGGAATAAAAAGCTCTAGAAAAAGAATGCTGCATATTACTTTTTTAAAAAATTGGAAGTGCTTTATATTATGCTGGGAGAGTACAGCAGGGAGAGGCCCACCCAAGGCTTGGGTGAGAGTGGCAGAGTGGTGTGTCCTAGGGCAGCTGCCATTCCTCCTCGGGCCTCAGTTTCCCCCCTACAAAACAAGGCAGGTAGATGATACCATCTTTAAGGTCCCTCTTGGATCGGAAGGTCTGTGGTTCTCTTGTCACAGCTATAACTCAGCAGCATCTTTTACCCCTTGGGGATGCGTGCAAAAGCAGACACTATGGGGAAAACATTATCACAAACCAAGGAACCGTGGATTCGGCAGGGTGGAAAACTCCTCATCCTCAAAGAAATAGTGTGAGGAACAAAGTTCTCTTTCACTCCCAAAATGACTAAAAACAAGCCATTAGTCATTTTATCAAAGAGGGGTTAGTCCTGATTCCACTGGCCAGCCTTCATTTTGGGAAAGTGATTAACTATAAATTTATCTTTAAACTTTCAACCATTCAGCACCATAAGACTGGAGAAAATAAAAATAAAAAAAATAAACTTTCAACCAGGCCAGGTGCGGTGGCTCATGCCTGTAATCCCGGCAATTTGGGAAGCCGAGGTGGCAGGACTGCTTGAGCCCAGGAGTTTGAGACCAGCCTGGGCAGCATACGGAGGCCCTGTTTCCACCAAGAAAAAAAGAAATTAGCTGGGCATTGTTGTGTGTGCCTGTGGTCCAAGCTATTTAGGAGGCTGAGGCAGGAGGATCCCTTGAATCCTGGAGGTCGAGGCTGCAGTGAGCTGGGATTATGCCACTGCATTCCAGCCTGGAGGACAGAGCAAGACCCTGTTGCTAAAAAACAAACACAAAAATTTTCAACCAATCTCCATGTTCTTTAATAGATAGACACTCTGCAAGTTAAAATGACTACTGGTGTGTAGTACAAGAAGGGTGCTTATGGCCAGCATAAAGACATTTATTTGGTGTCACCTGGCTCAGTTTTAGGCAGGGTAAGGGGTCTCTGCTGGCAGCAGCCAATAGCCATGGCTCACATCCCAGGGGTAAGCTTGCTCCAAGTGATTCACCGTGGGGGGCTGAAGGCAGGCACCCCACCCCATGGGTAAGCTTGCTCCAAGCGATTCACCATGAGGGGCTGAAGGCAGGCACCCCACCTTGTGCTGGGAAGACAGCTGCTCACCCGGCTGCTGACCTGCCCTGCACCACTTCACCCGCGCAGCCCTGGGACTTGGCTGGACCTGCAGAAGAGATGGCAAAAGCCAGGGCCTGCTTTGGTGGCTGGTGTTCAGGGACCTCCCTGGCACCTGAACTCCCACTCCAAGAGTGGCTGGAAGGTAAGGCTCGTTAGATAAGCCTCTCTGAGCCCCAGTTCCCTTGTGTCTTCATTTGTGAAATAATAATATCATCTCCTTTGCTGGAGAAAAGAGTGCAGAGTCTAAGCTTGACCAGCGCCCCAGGGGTGCCCCATGAAACCCTCACCATGCCTGCCCCTTCTGCAGTGGCCCCTCCACCTTGGCACTTATGTAGCAGGGAGTGGGTGAGCAAGGGGCCTGAGATAAGGAGAAGCTTGGTCCTGGGCCGGCCTGGATTCAATGCCCAGCATGCCCCGTGTGGCCCTTGGTGCAGGGGATGCAGCAGTGATGCCCTTGGCCCCCCCTCGGTGGTCTTGTGGGACTCCACCTCAAATGTGCATGGGAACCTCATGGGGACATCACCTCAGCCCCAGAGGGGACGGGTGTGCCAGGCTGGCCCTGTCTTGTCATGGTGGTTCTGGAATTCTCCGATTCCACAGAGCAGTGGGCAGTTTCCCTTCCCAGCATTCGTTCTGTCTCTTCCCATTCTGTCTGGTATCTTAACAGCAACAGAGGTTTCTTGTGGTTCAGGTGGGATTGGCCACTCCCCGGAGAGACATCTGTTCCTCTTGCCATGGGTATACTTTGCTTAGCTCAGCCTTGTGTTGGAGGGGTGGTGTGGCAGGGTTTGGATGGAGTAGATGCAGATCCTGTCCCTCAGGCAGCTGTCCGATGAAGCAGTCTGAGATGGCCCGGAGGACGGCATGGCTGAGGGAACGCCTGGGAAATGGAGCTGGGTCCACGATCGCCTGTGCCGGGAAGCTGTCTACCTCTGGACCTTCCCATGCCATGAGCTCTCTTATTGCTTAAGCCAGTTTCAGCCAGATTTTCTGATGATTGAACACCAACACATCCTGTTAGATTTAAAAATAATCCACTAGGGGCCTGTCACAGGTTAATTTTATTCCACTTAAAAAACATTTAGCTTCTTCCACTTTTGGGTGATAAGGATCACAGGGATAATGAATTACAAAACTTTGCTATTCACCAAGTGGTATCTCCTCTCATTTTTCCTATTCCCAAGTCCAAAAAACCATAAGGGCTGTAACTACTGTCCTGGCACCAGGACGTGGGGAGCCTGTGCACACCTCCCAGACAGCCGTTTCCAGAGTTCTCCTCTGTGCCTCTCTCATTCCAAGGGGAACGCAGGGAGAGGAGCTGGTATGACTGAGGGCTGGGCATCGGGACAGGTGCTCTCTGCCTTATGGGAAGGCATCCACAGGTTAGGGTTATTATTATTCCTCCTGCATAGATGACAAATGAAAATGAAAAATCTGAGGTTCCTGTTGGTTAAAAATCTTGCCCAAAGTTGTGGCGACAATCTATGGAAGAGTGGGCTTTGAGCTTAGGCCAGTCTGACTTGCAGGCACATGCAGGCAAGACACAAGTCCCATCACCCAGTGGAGTCTCCCCAGACAGCACCCTTGTCCATTTGGAACGGGGTCCTCACATGTGAGCCAGGCACGATGGGCAGAATCCTAAAGAGACTCTTAGTGGAAGGATGAAAGTTGGGCTAGTTTATCTTTGATAGTCCTTCTTATCTTTCCAAGGGTTTAGTATTCAGTGTTCTGTTCACTTGCTGAATCATTCATCTGGCATATTGGCAGCCTACTAACCACTGGGTACTTCTTGGGACCCTCTTCAGTTCCAGTACAACCTTCTCTGACACATGAGGGTCAGAATAGTCCAGAGACTCCAATTCCAATGCCCAAGTATTAGGCACTACTGAGACTTTTGAAAAATCCAGCACTTGGGTTTATTCTGGGCAGTGCTAAGGAAGCACATGGGTTTGCTGGCAACAGAACATTCAAACTGGTCTGAAGAATCAAATATGTATTTGTTTGCACCATCAGGTGGACACCCGAGACCTGTGCTATCTATCTTCTTTCGCCTTCCCAGTTGCACAGATCGGTTCACCTGGTTTTCCAGGTGAGCAGCCTCAGGCAGTGAAGGCCCGTGATTTGCCTGAGGCTGTGGTGTG
Organism: Homo sapiens; assembly: GCF_000001405.40. Lineage (NCBI taxonomy): Eukaryota > Metazoa > Chordata > Mammalia > Primates > Hominidae > Homo > Homo sapiens. The sequence goes on from NC_000018.10 coordinate 75,192,044, forward strand.
GGACTGAAAGGAACCAGCACCAGCTCTCTAGGGTCTCATTTACAACTGGAAAAAACTGGAGTGCCTGTCCTGAAATCCTGCAATAGTATACACTTGTGAGGCACTGGGTGTGGACTTTTGTTCCATTTTAAAATGAAAGTGAAAAGCATACCTTAATCTAACACTTATCAGCAGGTACTATGCTCCAACCCCACAGTAAAGTCCCGGGAATACAGAGATGACAGTGAGGTGAGATGGGTCCTGCCTTCAAGGAGCCCGCAGTCTCCAGGGAGACACTGCAGAAAGTGTTAGAGATGAGATCTGAATGAAGTGCTTGTGGAACCCAGCAGTGAGAAGATATTTGCCTCCACAGGACTGGGAAAGTTATGAAAATAAACTCACTGAAGTTAGGCAAGTGACAAACTGCCTATACTGTCACCCACCAGTCCCATTATTAAATGATAGCCACATCTTTTTAAGATTTGCTGGTCAAAGCAAAGGTCCCACCTGGCAGCCAGAGACCCCAGGGCTCCTCAGATCTCATGTATGGTCTACAAAGGCCCCAAGAAGCTGACATGCACAAGAGGTCCAGCCTTCCTGTCCCCAGCCCAGCTCAGCCCAGCTTTCCAAAAGCTTTCTACTCCCATTCTCCCCACCCTGGCTCCTACCTGCCCTGCTGCCCCTAATTTTCTGAGGTCATCACCGGCCGCCTCCAGTCCTTCCTTGTTCTGCCTCCAGTCTGTGCTGGACTCTGGGGAGTGCCTAAGTGGAAGTGCTTATTCTCCTGCTGCCGCTGCTCACAGGCATCTCCCCAGAACCTCCTGCTCGGCTCCGTGGCCTCTCCTGTGGGTTGTGGCACATGCAGAAAAAGCACATCAAGCCTGGCTACGTGTTCCCAGGAGACTGTGCTGTGCTGACCACAGTCGGAACCCCAAACAAAGGATGAAGGTCAGGTGCTCAGGGGCATGGCGTGGGGGCCTGCCCAATTTCCACAGAGCACTGTGTGAGCGCCCAGGACAGACGCTAGCTCCCTGCCTGGGCATCCAGGGCTATCTGCAAATTCCTAAAACTAGATTTTATCTACAGCTCAATTGGCTTCCTTTTTGATAACAAGATGTTTTATTGCATTTGTCCTAGACAGACAGGTGTTATTCCAATGGCTACAGTGATGTATTTACGAAGCATTTGTATGGTTTATAACGTTTCCCTTATGAAGGCTACTGCCTCTTACATTACTATAATTTCTATGGGCCAATCTTTAAATAAATGCTACATGTGTCGCCGCATCGCTTGTTCCAAGTGACCCGATTCAAAGGTGATATAAATGGGATGTTTCTCCCCTTCATCAGGATAATTGTTTAGTATCTTGCTAATGACGACATAAGCCCAGTGACAGCGGACCCCCCAAAGGCCTGCTAGGAGTTTTACTGACCACTCCAGCTAAAAGAGTGAGGTTTAACTGGTGACCCCAGACCAGGGGGGAGAACACGGGCATGACAAAGAATTCGACTAGAAAAGCATAAGGGAAACACCAAGGAGTTTAGGTCCTTTCGAGCCCTGCCTTGATCTGAAAGGCAGTGAAGGTGGAGGTCTGGGGCCCACTGCAGGCCACTCCTATTACCTTTCTGGACTTACTTCCTGCCCTGTTTAGAACTGTATGAAAACAACTGCCACCAGAGCCCTCCGAATATCAGACATACAATCAGGTGCCACAGCTGAGTTTCAGAAAGCAGGTTCCCTTAACGAAGCTGAACGTGTGATGATAAAAAGGAACCATCTTCATAGTTGTGTTAAGCCCTGGTGTTGCAATTCATATCCAGGTAGCCTTTGCGTTGCTCTGAAATGCCTGATGAAGTAGCATTTTGCAAGATGGGAATCTCTCCAAAGGCAGCGTAATAATCCAGGACCTTACCACCAGCAGCATGTGTGCGTGTGTGTGTGTGTGTGTGTGTGTGTGTGTGTGTGTCTCTTGGGGGGGGGTCACCTGGAAAATGTTGACTCCCAGGTCCCCTGTACCTCCTGAATTGGGACCAGTATTTGAACAGGTGACTCATACGGATGTTAGCGGGTAGGAAGCACCCCTCTCTAGTGAAGGACAGCCTTGGTCTGAGAACTATCCACGGACTCAGGCTCTGCTCAACCAGTGATAAGTGATCTTGGGCAAGTCATTTTTCTGTGCTTTAATTTTTCCTTCTCTAGTGGGAATCATTCATCTCTACCCAATTAACAGTAAAGAAGTGAAAACAGCAAAATTGCAATCAAATACGTCAAATGCGCAAATAAGTTCTAAAATGTTACAAAAAGTATATGTACAAGTTGAAAGGACAAATATTCTCCAATACTGATAATGGTGGCATTTTAATTTTCCTGCTGCTGGAGAATGAGCATTCTCTACAGTTGACTTGATGCCGGGGCTCCTTCAACTGGCCCTCATTCCACAAGCAATTCTCCAAGTTACTTTGAGTAAAAACCCTCAAGGAGACAATTCAATTTCCAAATGTAAATTCCAACAACATATAGAGGGAACACTATCGCTACCAGTCCCCTGGTGAGAAATGAGGTTTTCTACAAAATGTGATTGCCTTTGACATTGTTGCCGTTCCTGTGAAGTGGTTTTTCAATGTTAAAAGAAGCTGTTTCTATTGGGAAGGGATTTGTTCATGTAAAGTTGAAAGTTTACGCTTGTTATGCATGAGTTCAAGGGAAGACAGAAACGATGTGGAAAGACATGGATGTTCAATGTCATGTGGTTTTGAAGGGCTTGTTTCTGACCCTTAATTATGATCTGTCATTTATACAGAATATAGGGTTCTTGCCACATGTGAGCATGAAACGTGGACCCACTGATGTCTTCCCCACACATATCCCCTTCACCTTAAAATACTTCCTGCCATCAATGAGTGAATTCATCCCCCAAGGAGCTGAGTCTACAGGATTCAGAATTTGATTCTGGGCAGAAGAGCAAATTCAAATTCTAGATATTCTGCTATGAAGGCAAAGATTATGATAGTCAAACATTATCAGCTTTCTATAGGCAAAAACATGTAGGTGAAATCCTTCTAGAGAATGAACGCTCTACACATGATTTTCTCTATTTGATTTTCTTTATTTGATTTGTAAGAACACATTCACAGGAGCCCTTCCTCCTAGCATTAAAACTAAATTATGGATATTAAGCCATTAATTCCATTGAGGCTAATTTGTTTTTAACTTTCTGTGATATTTAGACGACACAGAATCAAATGATCTGGAATCCTAATTGTGCTGGATTAGAGTTGAACACACTTTCATGGTCAGAACCGTGATACTTCTACTGGGTTTATCTCCACAAAAAGATTCATAACAAAGGCCAATTGCTGTTCTTCAAACCCCTAGTCAGCCGTATCCCAAAGGACCCGGGCAGATGGTAAAGGGGACTGCAGAGAAGTCACCTGGCGGATGGGAGGGCATTGGCCAGTGTTCCAGCTTCACTTCTGAGTCCAACGGGCTCTGTAACCTTGGACCGGGCACCTTTTCTCTCTGGGTCCCAGTTTCTTTTCTTCATTCATAAAATGGGTAGAACTAGATTATTCTTTAAATCCCACATTTAACAGTTTAAAAGCAACTGGGGCATGTTGCGGTGGCTTATGCCTGTAATCCCAGCACTTTGGATGGCCGAGGCAGGAAAGTCACTTGAGCCCAAGAGTTTGAGACCAGCCTGGGCAACGAGGGAGACCTTGTCTCTACAAAAAATAAAAAAACATTAGCCAGGCATGGTAATGCATACCTGAAGTCTTAACTACTCAGGAGGCTGAGGTGGGAGGATCGCTTGGGCCCAGGAGGTCAAGGCTGCAGTGAACTGAGATCACGCTACTGTACTTCAGTCTGGGTGACAGAGCAAGACCCTTTCTCAAAAAAACAAAAACACAAATTGAGTCTTCTCATTCACAAGAGCCAGAGATGGGTGCAGGCTCCTCCCAGCTGTAAGTTTCTGCTGGCAACCATGGACCTCCAGGGTTTCGGCATCTAGGGCAACCTCTCTTCTAAGGACACCATTCCTTACCCACGTTTCAACATCTCCCACCAACCAAACAAACCATCCATTTGATCATTCTAAGACCCTGTTCAGTTCTTTAGGTGCCGAGGATAAGACACAATAATTTTATGAGGATTTTTCTGAGCTCTAAGCATAAATCCATCTTTCATATTAGATGCTACCACCTATGTGCAGGATGTTTTAATTATTTTAATTTCATACCGTTTCAAAGACATCATCAGATAGATAGTGCTCCTCAAGGGAAATTTTGGCTTGGGGTGGAGGCACATGTTCAAATTTCTGCACTTAGGCCAGTATGGTGGCTCATGCCTGCAATCCCAGCACTTTGGGAGGCCGAGGTGGGAGGATTGCTTGAGCCCAGGAGTTCCAGAGCAGCCTGGGCTACATAGTAGAACCTCATCTCTAGTAAAAAAATACAAAAAAATTAGCCGGGCATGGTGATGTGCACCTGTAGTCCCAGCTACTCAGGAGACTGAGGTGGGAGGATGGCTTGAACCAGGGAGGTTGAGGTTGCAATCAACCATGATTGCACCACTGCACTCCAGCCTGGGTGACAGAGCCGAGGTCTTGTCCCAAAAAAAAAAAAAAAAAAAAAAAAAGTCTGTACTTTGGCCCAGCGCTTCTCAACATACATGAAGACGTATTGGTTTTCTCCAAACTGTGCTCCCCGGGATACTTACCCTTAAGGGCACCCCAACATGCTTCCTGAGGACAGTCAAGCCTCCTGGGATGCAGTGAGTGAGCACCAATGGGCAGGTCTATAATGGGCAAGAATAGACTCGAGGACAATGTGGACCACAGAGCCCCTTTAGTCTTGCTGCTGTGTCACACTAGCTACTCAGCCAGGGAAACAATTAAACAGGATTCAAGCAGACATAATTGAAATAGGTCCTTTTTTGACTTCCTGTGAATATCAACTACTACTAAGAATCACTTGATCTGATACATATTATTAAAATGTTATTTGTGTGTTTTGTGTAACTTTTTTTTTTCTTTTGCCAACATTCCATAGTTTGTTCATGGTAACAGCAGTAAGGTTCTCATGCCAAGCATTCCTCCTTTTACAAGGGGGATAGCATGATGCTATAAGCCTAGGAAAAATAAAATTCAAAGTTTAAAATGAAAAAAATAGAGTAAGACCTACTATTTGATAGCAAACAGGGTGACTATAAGCAATAATAACTGTACATTTTTAAATAACTGAGTGTAGCTGGATTGTTTGCAACTCAATGGATAAATGCTTGAGGAGGTAGACACCCCATTCTCCATGATGTGCTTATTTATTTCACATTGCATGCCTGTTTCAAGACATCTCATGTACCCCATAAATATATACACCTTCTATATACCCGTAAGAATTAAAAATAGAAAAAAAATGAAAACAAACTTTAAAGCGACCACACCAACCATATTGGTAATCCAGTTTAAAGTGACCACACCAACTGTATTGATGATAAACCAAAGTGACCACACCAACCGTACTGATAATCCCGCTTAAAGTGACCACGGCAACCATACTGATAGTCCAGTTTAAAGTGACCACACCAACCGTTTTGATAATCCAGTTTTGTATTTTGACTTCTGAAATATGATCATAAATGTTTAATTCTGGGCCATAACTGGGAAATTAGTTACTGAACATCTAACTTTCAACAAAAAAGCCCATGAAGTTTACATAGATAATTCTTGTGTTTAACCAAGTAATAAAATATTTAATAAAATGAAAGTATACAGAAGAAAATTATGAATTCATCAAATCAGGCCGTTTTGCATCCAGATTGTATTCAGAAAACTTGTTTAACACCTAGGAAATTACTGTCCAAAGTTGATAGTGCTTGGTCTTTTTTATCAGTTTTTATTCTGAAAGCTGTGCATTACTAATCTACTTTTATGTAAATCTGAAATACAGTATTTATCCCATATGTCCACATGGTAAAGTAATCAAGAAAGATATTTTCAGTGCTTAGCACCCCCACCCCAATTTAAAGGAAACTCTGACTGTAGTAAATTCATGCTAATTGAGAACTCTGGGGAAGGGGTTAAAACATTACCCAGGTACAAGTCGGGTGGCCATTATAAACGTTACCCAAATAAAAGCCAGAAACAGGAAGCCAAAAACCAGGTCCCTAAGGCAGGCATGTGTCTTAAATGATATCATTTGTCAAGCTTCCAGCATCTTGTGGTGGTGAACACAAAAAGAAGGTCTGCGTTGTACTGAGGACATTACATCCTCATTAGCTGGAATGTTCCTCAAGTACATAATGCAGGATTTTCATTTTAATAAGAAGCAGCTACTTGTCACTGCACTTTCATTAGATAAACACAGAATGTAATACTAATGACCATTTACAGAGGCTCTATCCTACTCCTGAGGAACTTCATCCAGATGAAATCATATAATGACAAGTTATAGAATATATCATGCAAAACTTCCTTCATTTCTTTGCAAACTATTCCCTGAATTTTTTTTTTTTTAATGCTGAGGTCAGTTAACAGCAGTAGTCATCATCAAAGGAACCCCTAAATGACACTGCTGGTATTTTCTGCCTGCAAAACAGGCTTGAAGGAATAGCATTTGGCTCTTTAGAAGTCATAACCAAATGGTAACAGATCACTGGGACTCCTTGGTTTCTCAAAGAGGCAAGCTCCTTCCACCCTGCCCGGCTGGTGACCTTAAGCCCGACATGCAGAGAAGTCCACGCTGAGAAATAATTTACTCACTGGGATTGTTCCACCCTGGCCCCTTCTCTAAAAAGACTGACAATTGCCCTGAATTATGGATGTACTTTTTGTGATATGTATTACAGTTCAGAAGAAAGGTGTTGAGACCATCGTACCGTTTCACCTCCCATTAGAGGCTGGTCTTGAACAATAATCCCAGAAGATGAAACTGATGCTGAACTATGACCCTCAATTTACAAATCATTTTTCAAAAGAATAAAAAAAAGTTTAAACATATTTTTGGCATTATCTGAATGGGCGGAATCTTTCATGCTTGTTTTCTAAGAATAAGTGAAAACAGCATGCAGTGCACTTTCTTAGTTTGGGGAAAGAGAGAACATGAGGTTTTCAGATTATATTTTATTTTAATCCTGGGCGTTTGAATTTTATTTTTACATAGCTGCATTTAGTATATTCCCTCAAAACACAATAAATTTCTATTCTGTAGCTTAAGGGATCCATCAGTTAAAATGTTGGTCTTTCATCTTTATTACCCTCCCATTAAAATGAAACAAACCGGGACTCACTTCAGTTTCGAAGAAGCAATTTAGTTGGTAATGTCCTTACTCCCCAAGTCTTTACAAAGGGAGAAAGTACATTACTGCTTAGATTTCACACATCTATCTGCATAAGAAGCAACTAAGCCTTTTGGACATAGACTATGTTAAATTTAATAATATTCTTTGATTAGATTATTTTATTACAACATTTTTTCCATTACCAGTCATTTCCTGTGCACAGTTACATTCATAAAACCTGCTCCCCCCTCCTTTGTTTGTTTGTGAATGTAAAAGTGAGGCAAAGTCTCTTTCCGTGTGGCTGTGGCTGTTAGGTCTGAAAGGGATGGATGAATAACTAAGCACCACACTGGACGGGTTTTTCCTAGTCCCCTGCACCAGTAACCCTTTGCTATAATGAGGACACAAAGAGCCTCGCATCAGGCCGCTACCCTTCTTCATAACTCAAAAGCGTCACAGTGGCAATAGCCTCTAGTGCTATTTGTCTTTAGTGCAGTTGTGACACTTCGGCATGATCCATAATTTGGCAGCTATTTACCGTGACATTTCCCTTCAGTGCAGCCATAACATTCAGTGAAGCCATTATTTGGTTCCATTTACCATATAAATTGTATTGTTGTGCATGCATGCTAGCAGCTACATTAGGTACCTGAAAATGAGTAAATCTTGTAAAATAGATACTAACAGCTATTCAGCAGTAGGATTTCCTTGCTCCTCAGATGGAAGGAAAGAAAAATTAAATACAGTCCCCAAATTTCCTAGAGCATCTTTAATTGCGTCCATATTTACTGAGCAGGTTAGATACACCGAAACCTAAGACTTTGAAAAATAATCTGGTGGGCTTCACCTTCAATCAGAACGGGCCCATGGGGTTTCAGCGCAACGGTGACAGCGGCAGCAGTCTTCAGGGCACTAAAGGTTAAGAGGGAAGCCGATGAGCCACAGGCGTGACTCAGAAGAGAGGGTGCAGGTTTCGCTGCTTTTCCTGTGTGGTCAGTGGGTCAATGTGGGACATCAGGCTATAGTGCCAAGGAGCATCTCATTCCACCAGAACACGTGGAGAGAAAAATGGGAATGCAGAATGAGTGGCTGCTATTCTGTTTCCAGAATCAGAGGTAACGCATAGCTTCTAGTTCGAACGCCTCTAAGGAGAAGCAAATGTATTCTTCCTTGAGATGACTGAGGTCTCTACGGTGCACAGGGCGATGGGACATACCGTACCTCGAGCAGTGTAGCATGCTGTTACTAAGGCCTTGCCGTGTGCCTAGACAGCGCTTCCCTCCTGGGGCCCGTGTTTTGTGGTGAACCCCCACTGAGAATGGAGCGCACACTTTTCTCTTTCCTGTGCCTATATTAATTTTAAGTCCCCCTAATCTCTGTGGTTTCCCTTTCCAAAACCTACTTTCTGTCTATGTAAGTTTTCAACATTAATTTGCTGCTTCAGAGGAAAGAGAACATTTCCATTTCACATGTGCCTTATCAGGTTGATGGTAGATAAAAGCCATTACGTGCTACTTCTTCAAAACACATCTGTGTTCACGGAATCATTTTTCTAATAACAAAATCAAATTTGGGAGGGAATTCCCCCAAATGTCCATTTAGATAGTTGGTTGGTGATTTATAGAAAAAAAAAGGACCATTTCCTGAGGATATAGATTCTGAAAATATATGGCTGGCTTTTGCTACACTTGTCACTCATGAACTGCTTATGAGCATAAGACCAAATTCTCCCAAAGCAAAGAAGTCGGGAACCACTTTCAAAACTGATTTTAAAATCTGATCAAGCTGAAGACATACTGACTCGATCAGATCTGGCATCAGGAATGAATTTAGTTCCCTGGAACAATAACATCTGGAACGAGACCATCCATGACTAAAGAATTGAATGTAAGCGTTTTCCCTCTTAGCCATGGAGGGAAGTTTTATTAGCACATTTTTTTTTTTCCCCCAAGGGAAGAGGAGGAGGAGGAGGAGAAGGAGAGACCTATTCATTAACACCTTACTTTTGTTTTAAGAAATATTATATCCATTACCAACTAAAAATAAATTGATTTGAGTAATTCTGAGACATAAAGTGCCCATTTTCTTTCTCCCTTGATTTATGTCATTGTTCTGTTTTTACAGCTTACTGTTGACAGAGTGAGGTAATTCAACTACAATTTTTCCAGTGTTTTTTCCCATGTACATATAATTGACAGCACGGAATATGGACTCCAGGCCAGTAAACCTGCCCTCTGGAGACAGATCTCCAAGGTCCACCTCACAAACCAGGTCTCCGCTCACACACATCTCGAGCAAGTGGCTCATGGCTGCTTGATACTTAGAAAGGTAATGGTTCAGGAAGAAGCCCTGTACGCTGGCAGATTTCTTGAGCAGTTTGGCTGGCAATGTTCCTGCTTTCACAGGCGAAAGGCCAGTAGGAGTTTGGTAGCCAGAGATAAACCCTATTACTATCAAGCGCCCTTTCGTAGCCAGGGCGTCTACAGCCAAGTCAAACATGGCTCCCCCAACAGATTCATAGACCACATCGACACCTTCAGGGTACTCCTGCTTAAGGACGGTACCTACGGGTTCAGTTTTATAGTTGATAGGACGATCACAGCCAAGAGATTTCAGAAAAGCAGACTTTTCATCAGAAGAGCAGGTTCCAATTACATGGCACTTTGCCTTCTTTGAAAGCTGCATGGCAAACTGGCCCGTTCCCCCAGCTGCTGCTGTCACCAAAACTTTTTTCCCTTCCGACAGTCCTCCGAGCTCTTTCAGGCTGATGTATGCGGTGGTGCCACTTACCAGCAGGGTAAGATACTCGGGTTTCACTGAGGGCACTGGAGTTGCAATGCTGGCAGGCACAACTGTGTACTCAGCAAAAGAACCAGGTGCCATGTAAGCCACAGCTTGGCCAACTGTGTATCTGGCACTAGCAGAGAGGCCTAGGGCCACCACCTCCCCAATGCCTTCGAAACCTATGTCAAAGGGAGGCTTAACTGAGGGGTCATAGCGGCCTGCTGAATAGTTGATGTCAGATGCGTTAACACCAACAAATCTAAAAGAAAACAAACAAACAAATATGTTACGATGGGTTTTTTGTTAGGCATTTAGATTCTGCTTAGAGAAATTCCTCTAGTTCTGGCGACCCTGGAGGGGTTGCTAAGCTATACAATCTGATCGAATTTGAGAAAATTAGTCCTGCTGCTCAGATAAAAAAAGAAATTAAACAAGTATTAGTTCAATGTGCTTTGTCTCAGTTTTTGGCATATTTTTTCCTTTCATCAGTTTAGAAATAATTTCATATCATTTTAAATGGCAAGTTGTTTGTTTCACATTTTCACATGCCATTTATTTGTCTTCTTTCAAAAGTAGAAATAAGCAAAAAAAAAAAAAAGAAAAGAAGGAAAAAAGAAAAAGAGTCAGGAAATCCTCATTATATATAAACTTCACTGGAGCTGTGAGTTGGAAATTAATTGGCCTCTTAACAAAGATGTTAAAAACAACACTGGGATAAAATATATTCAAAGAAGTAGACTTGTATTGATTCTGGCAACAATTTAACACTTAAGATAATAAGAGTAATGACAATGATATTATTAAAGATTGATGGAATGTGCAAGGTCACTGGTTGCTACATGTTCCTGCAGGGGTTGTTTGAAGCACTGTTAGAGTGGCTGTCGCAAATTTTCTTTCTGATGTAACTACATCCAGTGTGAAAATACGCATTTTGATTAATTGAACAAAAATTGGGTAGAGCGATTTTTATGAAACATTCAACATTTCACAGTCCTTTTCAAATGAAAAGGAAAGCAAATCGTTACTATATTTTTCCTCAACAAGAAGCAGAGACATAACTTGATTAATACCAGATGATTATTTTCATCTTGGTATCCGGAGTCAATTTAATTGCGAGGCCAGTATTTTTCCCAGCTTTTTTCATCTCAGTATACCTCCTAACAAAAATATCCTGATACATAGGAGGAAAAAAGCCATCTACTAAGAATGTCAGAAGGTGGCTTAGACACATAATGGAAGACCCTAAAAATGTCATTTCCACCTGTAATAGAATGAAAAGGTAATAGTAACTGGTGGAGGAGGAAAGCCGTTAAGCAGGTCATTTAAAAGGAATTCACTTTTAATTTAACTTAATAAGCCAAAACTGTCCTGTATGCGATACACTTTCACGGTGATATAGGTAATACTCTGCGCTTATAAAAGCTCACTTATGATCATCCCCCATGTATCTACAGGACAGAAAAGTCTCTGTATATTGTAGAAATAAGAACGCAGGGAGCAACTGCTTTCTGTTATGTCAAGCTGCATTCAGACGCCAGCACACCACACAGCCTCAATAACACCCCACACAATTCCATACCCGTGGAAGATACACAATCATGAGAAGGGGGAAGATGAGTTTTGCTGGTTTCTTATTTGGAATTTAATATCAAGATGCCTACGTTCTATTTTTTTTTTCCTACATTCTATTTTTAGAGAAGGGAAAGAACCTGCCATCTTTCCTTTAAATTTACATAATTCTCAAGGCCTGGCGTTTTAAAAAGGGCCCACTTCCCTGGGAGCTTGCTTCTGGACTTCACAGCAGCAGCCCAGGGCAGAGCCAGCTGGAGCCCGTCTCAGTGCCTCTGCCTTAGGCTGTAAAGCAAACTCCAGGAAAGGTGCCCGTGGGGGTGGAAGTGACGGTAGGGTTTGCTCTGGAAGTGGGGGGACAGGAGCCGACCCACTGCCAGTTGTGTTCTGTGCAATCCTTTGCCCACGATTAACCCTTCCCACGCCCTTCATCCCTCCCAGTTTGTCCCCCTGGTGTCTCCACAGTCCCAAAGGCAGTAGCCGCTCCTCTGCAGGGAGACCCCGCCTTGGGGGGACACCCGGGCGGCCAGCCCCTCTGCGACGGCAGTCCTCCCCACCTCGGGATGGGCGCGCCCTGGGGGGCTCTGCAAGGGGAAAATGCAACCCCCCCTCTCCCCGCCCCAGGCTGTGGTTTGCCGCTTCCTGGGAAGAGGTGGAGAGATGGAGCAGGACGCACACCGGAGCAGCCTGGGGAGCGCGCACACGCGCTGGACCGGGTTAGCAGAGGCCAAGTTTGGGAGGGGGGAGTGGGGCTCTGCTGGGAGCTGGGGCGGCTGCAGCCAGCCAGCGGCTGCTTGAGTTTGCCAGGGGCCTTTGCTTGAAAAACCACACCAAACATCGTGGTTATTCGCAAGGGCAAGCGCTGGAGCGGTGGCAGCAGACGCGCGGGGCCCGCGTGCCCGTCCAGGCTCCGTCCATCTAACTCCCTCTCCCTCAGAAGTGCCCGCTGCAGCCCTCAGCTCCAGCCGTGCAGTCCTACGGCATCCCCACCGCCACCACGGAGAGGGGATTCATTGACCCCAACTCCCGGGCGGGCCGGGACCGCGCAGGCCCGGCGCCGCGGTGGAGTTGAGATTCCTCAGGCCTGCGACCGTGACCTCGGCCTCTCCGGGTCGGGCGGGGGCCCCGGCAGGCGCGCCCAGTCCGCGCCCTTCGTCCCAGCGCCGGCCGCGCAGCTCCGCCTGGGTGGACAAGTTCTCTCCGAGTCCCGTGCACTCGGCGCGCCGGAGCGCAGTGGCCGACAGACAGGGCCCGCCGGCGGCTTGACCGTGACCTTGGCCTCGCAGGCACCCCCATTTCTCACCCCCGCTCTCCCGCCCCGCCGTCTTCTAAATTGTCTGCGTCGTCGGTGAAGGAGGCTTAGGCTGGCTGACGGCAGGAGCCCGCGGCGGCTCGGGTGGCTCCTCGCGCCGCGCTGTCTCCTTGGTCTCCCTGCCTCCGGTTCGCGGACCCCCACCTCCACCGGGATCCCTGCTTTGACGCGGCTTCGCCCCCGCGGCTGGTGAGGACCCTCCACAGCCCGGGACCCGCCTGAGTCCTTACCTCTGCGTGAGGGTCCGCAGCTCGCGCCTTCCGCTCCACCAGAAACAAGTTCAAGCGCAGCAGGCGCAAAGCGAATGCGGGGCTCGGGATGGGGAGCAGGGGCGGAAGGGCCAGGGAGCCACAGAAAGACAAGAAAGACACACTGGGAAGGATTCGCGCATTTGGAGACCCTCCTTGTACCCCCACCCCCCCTTTAATTGAAACTGTGTGCATGCAGTGAGCGCAGGATTCTAGTAATCCGACGGGAGGATCCACTTAAAAGACTAAAATCCAGAAACCCCAGGAAAAAAGAATAGGACCGGCGCAGGCATTCTCCAAATCTGTACCCTTCTAGAGTCACCAGCTTATATGTACTTAAAAAGTGCTAAACCCCCTCGTCATGTTTACTGAGAAACAGAGCGATCCTGCGCAGGGGAGAGGAACGCTTTCCTCTGAACAAAAACCAAAGGCGAGGATTCAAGTCCAGAGTAAAAGCCTTCAATACTGGGAGACAAAACAAAGTCGTCCAAACCAGACCTGCCTTAAGAAAAAAAAGAAAAAAGAAAGAAAGAAAAGAAAAAGAAAGAAAGAAACAAAGAAGGAAAGACAAGAAAGAAAGACAAGAAAAAAAGCGGGGGGGAGGGGGTGGGAATCTCGGCCTGGAGAGTCAGCAGAAAACACTGTTCCCCTTCCGTAAGCAACAAACCGTTTATCAAAAACGCCTTCCCCATCCCCCACCGTCCCTTAGCCATTCCTACAAACTCTTTGCTCCATTATCTTACACTTGAGCAGAAAATCGTTAGAAATATTTGGAAACGAAATAATCTGTCACCTTCTTACGAAAAAAGCTGAAAATAGTGCATAAACTGATTTAACCTGGGGATGTCTCTCTCTCTCTTTTTCTTTTCTAAGGACTGAGCATAGAGGGGGAGATGGGAAGTTGTTCTCGGATACATAAAACAGTAAGGTAAGAACTGGATAAAGGACCATCAATTATACATTCTATAGGGATTTTATATGCCCCTTCTTACATCTTTTCTAAATAGTAAACTTTATTATCCTAAATCAATGTCTAGCTTACAAGCACATCCCTCCCTGTGAATGAAGAATTTGTATTTTGTGCTAAGATGCAATGAAATGTGCAAATTGTTCACTGAAAGAAAAAAAATCAGAGCACAATTAAAACCACCAAACATCTTTCCCAACAAGGGAATTTAGGCTTACTCAATTCATTCTAGAGCGGATTTTAAGATGATAAAAATGAGAGGCACTTGCATAAAATTTAAAGCAATTAACATTGCTTAGGGGAGATTTGGTCTAGGATTAAAATGAACTAACCTGCAGTGAATTATTAAGCCTCTATTCTTAAAAAATTCGGTAAAATGTCACATCCACTGACACTGTTTGCAAGAACACAGGATCTTCCTACAACGTGGTGGTGGGAGCAGATTTTCCAACAGAGTAGGGAAAGCGGGAGGCAAAGATTCTGTCCCCTCCCAACTCAAAAGAAAACTGTCCCCATTCTTTTCCCTTAAGGATTCAAGGAAGAAACTAGGGGTTAGGTTGTTCATATGGAGATACTATTTATATTAAAAGGATTCTTGGCGTGTGTGCAGGGAAAAAAGAGGCATGGATTTTAAAGTGGAGCACATTGGGGAGCTCCAAACATGGGAGTCTGCACTCCCGCGTTCTGACCACAAAATTCAGGGATCCACCTGTCTCCCGCCCCAGGACCAACCCTGGTGACCCAGGGCAGGCAGTGCCTAGGCACCCTGGCTGTGCCTCTCTCCCCAGGGGAGAACTTGCCCTTTGGGGAAGGGGAAAGGGAGGGGTCCCAGGGCAGCAGTAAGCCTGAAGGGAGAGGAATCACAGGAGGAAAAAAAACCCCACAGAGTTTATTAACACTCGCAGGTAGAGAGGCCCAGGAGACCCAGCGCAGCCCGGCGGGAGCCCTCTCCACCTCTCCACCAAAGGCAGGTGGTCCCACCAGGCTGTGGCTTATAGTTCTCTAACGCCTCACCTTCCCCCTGCCCTTCCTCGCTCAGTCGCCTCCTCCCCATATCACACCATTTCCAAAAGGAATTTTATTCACAAACTTTTGTGTGTGTTTATACTAGTGTTTGCAATCAAGAGTACACTTTATCAGAAGGAGAAAAAGGGAAAAACCCTGTGTGGAACTTCTTGCCCGTTAAAGTTTGTTTGGAAATCTTTTCAGTCTGGTGTCATCTCAACTTCTAGCAAATCACTCATGCGTTCTGTGTGCTCCACGTGAACACATACTCAAGCCCTTCTTTTTAGCTGGGCTGGGTGCACGCTCTTACTCTCAACAGCACTGGCATTTCATCCCATAATGAATCAATCCTCTGCTGTGTCCACAGCCAATGCAAACATTTTCAAGGATCCCTACACACTCCCCTTTAAGCCATTCCAGACCAGCCCCCCACCCCCGCCTCCACACAATCCTACCCATGGTTCAATCATTCTTCCCAAAAGGTTTCCAAAAGTTTTATATCGTGATCAGCATTCTTCCATACTACAGTCTTGTTAGGAAGGCTAATAGGAATCTCGAAAATGGACAAATTAAATGCTGCATCAAGCTACTTAGGAAGGTACATTTTGTCCTTCAGTCCGTGCAAGGGACTTTACGGTACTTTCTAGTACACAATTTACAACATAGTTACAGTCAGAACTTACTCCTCCCTTTCGATATTATTATTCAACTTGACACATGCAGCACCGTAAACATTTCGATGGGACTTTGCAGGCCTCTGCAGAGGGCATAGAGGAGCGCCTTGCCAGTCAAGTCGGGCAGCCAGGGACCCACGGAGCAAAGACCTAAGCGGGCATGGCTCCGATAAAGAGTGAGGTCCGTTTCCTCCCTGTTGCTTCGCCAGTTACTAAAGATGAGTGAGGCGGAAACACGACGGTGGGGAGCGCGGGGAATGGAAAAGCCAGAAGGTCTCGCAACAACCCGGTGTCACCTGAATGTCTGCAAAACGTGCCGGCAAAGGCAGCCATGCCCCCACCCCGACCCTGGCCCAGCTGCCCGGGACACGCGCCACGCGGCGGTCGTTAACACTCAGGGGACAGACAACAGTCACACTGCACTGACAGCACGCAGACAACACCGGCGAGGTGCACACCCACACATCCAACGACAGGCTCCGCCACTGCGAGGCGGCTGCCAACCTGGAGGGAACAGGGAAAGCCAGCCGGGTCCCAGCCTCCTTCCTCCGAAGCACGTTTACCTAAACGTCGCAGTTTGCGTCCAGGCTGCTCCCGCTCCACCCTAAAGATTATGTCAACGCAGGAACTGTGGGTGCGCGCGGGCGGCCCGGCGGGGAGCCTCCCCTTCTGGGTCCCGTCGGTTTTATTTCGGGAGCGGGAGGGGGAGGAGGGAGGGCTGGAGGAGGGGAGGGGAATCCCAAATTAAAATAACCCTCAGTTATGAGGACGTTCGGTGGCATCGGATATTCACACCAGCAACAGTCACATCACATTCGCCTTCGCCAGATGGCGGCGGGTTCAACTTCCCGGGATCTCGCAAACTCAGGCTGTGCGCCCGAGCGCGCGCCGGAGTGTGGGCACGCGGGCGGGCTGGGGACTGCGGGAGCGGCGCGGCGCGGCGCGAGCCCGGGGCGAGAACGGGGGCGTGGGGTTGGGGGGCGCCGGGCTCACCGGTTCCGGACGAGGAGGTCTCCGTCCCCGGGGAGCGGCACCGGGCAGTCCCGGCTCAGGGTGACGGCCTCGCGGAAGTTGGGGCTCAGCCGGGTCACCACCAGCTTCTGCATGGCTTGGGGAATGGCGGAGCCCTGGAAGTCCAGGAAGTGGCGGGCGTACGACATGTCCACGATGGCCCGGGCCCCGGTGGGCACCAGCCGCAGCATGGCCTGCGCCTCCGCCCGCTCTCTGCGCCGACGCTGGCCGGGGTCGGCCCCCGCCCGGGCCGCTCGGCTCGGCTGTGCTCTGCTCGGCTAGGGCGGGCGGGTCCGCCCCTCCTCCGGCCGGCGCCCTCCCCCTGGCTCCCCCCTTCCCCGCGTCGCCCGCTCCCGCTCCCCCCGCCTCCCCGGCGCCGGCGCAGCCCCCGCGAACCCGGGCGCACCACCCCGGGTGTCCCGGCCTGGGGACCGCTGCCGCCCCGGCCGCTGCTCCTTTAATCTTTTTGTTTTGGTTTGAATCTGCTCGGCGCAGACTGGCCAAGGATCCTCTCCGCCCTCCCCCTTCCTCCTGGCGCGGGAGAGGCACCGGATATCCCCACCCTCCCCGAGCTCTAAAAGCCGGATTTGACTCCTCTCGGGCAAGGGTGGCGGGGGGGACGGCGGGCAAGGGGGGACGGGGGACTCGCGCGTCCCGCGGTCGTCTGCGGCCCCGAGCCGGCGGCAGCCCCGGGCGTCCCCGGAGCTGCGCGGCGGCCGGCGCAGGCGCCTCCCCTTCCCGTGCGAAGCGTTCACTTCCTTGCAAGGTGGTACGAATCAACCCCGAGCGCGGCCCGGGCGGCGGGGCACGACCGGGGACCCCGGGCAGGGCGGGGAGCCCCTGCCGCCGCTGCCGCACGCGCACCCGTACCGACCGCGGGGCGGGGAAATGTCCAGTGCCTCCCGCTCCCCAGGCTGGTGGCTTCCTGTCCCCGGAACCCCTTGCGCGTGCTTTCTGTCCACGGTCTGTCCCATGCAAGTTGCAGGAACTAAGCCATTTTATTTATTTTGGCCTAGATTTCATGTTTTTCCATGAATGTTTTAAGTAGATCTACAAGACTGTTACAGGTTTCCCATTGGGAGAGAACACACATATAGAAAACCAGAAGGCCAAATTCCCAGAGCACAGACACATTTTAAAGTTCTACGTGGGGATGCCGAGGGACTTAACTGAATTGGAGACGTTGCACTGCTGTGTGAGGACCTCATTTTCGAACCCAGCTAGAAAGATCTGTCGTTCCATCGTGTCCGTTTTCTCCCTACTGGCGTGCATGGACCAAATGTCAATTCACTTTTTATAGAGGGGCCAAATTAAATATTTCCACACTTTTCTGTGATGAACTAAGTCCATCTTTACATTTTTATTTAAATTGTAAAATTTAATTTTAAAAATATCTTGCTTTTCAGTTACCCACGAATTACCAAAATATAAAAGCTACTCTGGGCTCCTCCCCAGCCAAATCTAACCCCCCAACCTGAGATTGCAAAAGCGACACAGATATTTTTCCCCCCAAATGTAGGACATGCTTCACCCAAGGGTAGTTTGGATGCACGTGGTTGCGTGTGTATGAATGTGCAAGTGTGTGTATGTGTATGTGTGTGTGTTGGGGGGGAACTAACAGGTTTAAAAATCTGCAGGAACTAATGTCTACTTAACTTAGAGCATATGGGTTTTACCCGGTATCAGCCAGTGGGTTACAATAACAACACTGAATGAATTCCTCCAATGTACAATCTTTTATGTTATGCTGTATTAAGATTTCTTTTTTTTGTCATATTGTTTAGCTCCGAAAAAAAGAAAACAAAGCAATTAAAAAGATTGACAGGTATGGTTTGTGAGAGACCTATTTGTAATTGTCAGGGTGACGTTGGCGAGAGGAGGAGGAGTAAAAACTGAAGCAGGAAAAGCAGCTCGATGTGTCTGTCTATCAGTTGAGACTGTCTGAAAGCTCTGCGATCCGAATGTGTGTTATATTTCACTGAAAAGAGGAGAGAGCGAGAGTGCATCTCCCTCTCTCCCAGGAGTTTGAGGGGGGGGGGGACAGTCCACGCTCATCTCGCCCACCCAGTGAATGTCTGCTCTTCACCCCCTTTGCACACACTCTCCGGGTTGTTGTTGCCTTTTTTTTTTCTTGGAGGGGGGGGTGCTTTTTGTGTATTTTTCAAATTTTTTTCTGTTGGAAGATCAAGACCGGCCAAAAATCCATGATCAAAATGTGTTTGCATTAGATTTCGCATTGGAAGAAGCGGCGATCCTGGCGGCCAAGCCCCCCGGGTGGAAGCGCGGGGCACCAAGTGGCGCTCCGGCGGGGTGACACTGTTTGATCTGTGACTGTTTGGAAGGTGGAGCAGCGCCTGACATCTCCCCCCGGCGCATGTATGTACGGGGGCTTCACTCCTCTGTCTTGTTTGCTTTCTTCCTCTTAGACTAAGTGCGGGGAGGAAAAGGACAGCCTGCATCGGCCTCGCTGGCGCACAATGAGAAAGCTGCGACCCGCGCACTAAAAACACTCGCCGCGACCCCCAAACAGCGAGGAGAGAGGGGGAGAGAAAGTTGCGCTCGGCGACTCTCGGCTCGCGGAAGAAGGCGCAGGGGAGCGCCCGGAGCGGCGCGCCGGGAGGAGCGCCCGCCCAGCAGCAGCGCGGCGGCGGGGAGGCGGCAGCATGGAGCGCGGGCCGCGGGCCGGCCCGCCGAGCGCCCGCTGCTGCGCCCGCGGCCCGCGCCGGGGATGACTCCGGGCTCGGCGCCCAGGCCCCGCGCGCTCCGCCCGCAGCCCGGCGCCGGGAAGCGGGCCGCGCGGCCGCCGCCGCCGCCTCCTGAGCGGCCCCGGGCGCGGCGGTCCATGCGAGCGGCTCCCCGCGGTCCGCGGCGCGCCCGGAGCCCGGAGCCCGCGGGGACGAGGCCAAAGTTGGGCGCGCCGCGGAGTTGCGCCCGCGCCCGGGGCCCCGCGTCCCCGCGCCCCGCGAACTCCGGCGGCGGCTGAGGCGACGGCTGCGGCGGCCGAGCAGCATGCCGAGGAGGAAGCAGCAGGCCCCCCGGCGCTCGGCAGGTAACGGGCGCGCGGCCCGCGCCGCGGGGAGTGGGCGCCGGGAGGAGCAGGAGGAGGGGGCTTCGCGGGCCGAGGTGCGGGACGTGGGCCGCGGGCCGCCCCAAGCTGGGGAGGGGAGGCCCAGCCTGCGCTGGCCACAGTCGTCTGGAGGCTGCGGTCGCCGTCCTCCCCCACACCCCCAACCTGGGCCGGCGCGTGGAGCAGAGAAAGTTCGCGGTGCTTCTCTGCGCTGCGGGAAGCCCGGATGGCCGGGGGAGGCCGGGGGCCGCGGGACGGCGGGTGCTTCTGGCTACCTCAGGAGGGGGCGTGCGCTGAGGGGAAGTAGTTGCTCCTTGGCTGCCGGAGCGCACTGGAAAAGTCCTCCAAAGGCGGGGAGGCTGAACCTGACACTTGAAAACAAGGTCACCAGGCTGGGACGCAAAGAATGTGTTCAGAAGATTTCTCTGGAAAACAGCAGCCTTTAATGTCCTGTGCAAGAGGCCCCCCGCCCCCACTTTTTTTTTATTACCTCTAAAGATGTCTTTTGATCAGGCCAGCACAAGGCAGTGATAGTGCAGACTCTGATTGAACAGAAAAGTTATTTTTCTCTGGAGGAGGAACTGGCAGGAGCTGGTTTTCCTTGTTTTCTGTTTTATTAGAGGATTGCCATCCTTGATTTGATGTGTGATTGATCGCCTGTCATCTGGCAGCCTTTGATCTATTCATTCCTGATAAACATCAATAAATCACTCACCATGGAAACACACATGCTCCTGACAGCTCCGCCACTATCAGGGCAACTTTTCTCTCTCGCTCCCCCTTTTGCTGCTCCATTTTAATTTTGTCTCAGAAGTTTTACAGCTGCAGCATCCCTTAACTCAGCTCACCTACTAATCCATTGCTAAACCTGGGGTGGGTCAGCTGCCGTGCGTTTTTGAGCACAGGTTTGAAAATAGCCCAGTGATTCTGCTGCCTGCTCAAGTCTTGTCTCAGTTTTGGACATTGCGTTTGTGGGGCTGAGAATGCAACCCATATGCCAGTGAGTTATCGCTAAATAATAGAGTAAATCAACTCTCTCCAAGCTCTTAGGGTAAAAATATTAGAAGGAGTGTTTTATGTTTAAACATGAGCGACTCTTTAGCTGTTGCAGTACAGAATAGAATCTGAATAAGTTTGAGTATCACATTCAGTAATGTGCACGTGTTCAAGTCTTTATACGTGCTTTTTCTGGGGAAGCACTTAAAGCAGAGATTACTGCTACTAAAAAAATTTGGGAATAGTATCTACGTTTATGAATGGTTCAGTAAAATAACCTCATCATTTCCATTAGATCACTGATAGAGATGCTCTCAAAGAGTTGAAGGAGATTACCTTATGCTGAGTATTCACAACATAAAAGGAACAGAATGGAGAATATTTATTTTGGAATAACTTTGAGTAATGGAGGAAGAAACCTTTCAAAGAGAGTATCTATGCCACTGGTAGCCCCCAAATAATATAGCTCAGTGTCTCAAGATATTCGCCACTTGCTCATGCTAGAAACAAGAGGTCTTTACATTTTCACAGTTAGAGGGATTTTTTTTTAAATGACAGAATGTACAATAAAAAGTTGTGTTCAGAAAACTACTCCTGTACTCTTAAGAACTTTTGCAGTTAAAATTGCGGTGAATATTTCCAAGGACAAACAAAATGCTGAGGGAATGAGGTACTGCAACTTTAAATACCACATTTTTTTTTTTTTTAAATAAAAGGTTTGAAAGTTGACAAGGGCATGATGGTGCATGGTAATCCATCCTGGCAGCTCTTACATAAAAACAAGCCGTCAAGGCGACTTTTTTCCAATATTGATTTAATTGTCTGTCTTTTGACAGGCACATATATCATTGGCTTTAATGGTCAATCAAAAGTTGGCAGGCTTAGTGTTTCCATTCTTTCCTCTACACGACATTTGGCATACTTAATCAAAATGCTGCAAAGTGATGGCTATGAAGAGTTGATGACTGAGTCATCTGCTGTACAGGAACTTGAGAGGGAAAAAACCCTAAAAAATGGAGCCAAAATATATTTTAGTTGAGAGGAAATTGAGACAGCACATGTTCCAAGTGTCCTGTGTTTTGAAGTGAGATTTCAAAAATAGATTCCATACTAGAAGGTTCTGTGTAAGTTTAATTACAGGGTTTATTATCTCTACTTTGATTCCAAACCTGTGGGATTCTTGTGTTCATTAGATGAGCCATTGTTTAGCTCTTCCCCCCTCACTCATAAAAAGCATTAACGTGGATTCCTAGCAAAATAAGGCTGTTTGCTTTCATCTGGAATTACTTCCATTAACACACGTTGGTTCACACTTGCTTATTTTCACTAATATTTACATTGGCATAAGTCCTTCCTATATTTGTAATGGGCTAGGTGAGAAAATCCTGATTTCCTTCATCTTAAGCGTTTAATAAGGAGCCGTCGATGTTTATAATCTCTGCAGAAGCCAGTCAGATTCCCTCTTAAAGTAGCCACAATGCATTGGTAGCAAATATTATTTGTTCATTTTCTGGAAAAGAAAGAGGGCAATGATATACATATGTGAGTCAAGCGATTTTCCAAAGTGTTTTTATTATAACATCCTGACTGTTTTTTTCTTAAAGCTGCATGTTGGCCTGCCTCACTGTTCCATCCGTAACTGATGAGTTTTTCTTGAGAGTATCTTAGTGTCAAATAATTGATTGTTTGGTAGCCAGGAAGTTGGTGGATGACAGATGTAGAATAGCAATACTTCACAGTGATGAGAGAGGAAGGGAAAATTATCCAAATGAATCCTCCTTATGTAAAAAAAATAAAGAAATACTGCTCAGAGGAAATGGTCCCTTCGTAATGAAGCGGCTTCTTAATTATCAAAAAAGGTAAGGTTGTTTAGCCAGCTTCATTAACAGGCCCCTAATTATCTGTAAACCTGATGGATTTGTGACAGGCGTAACGATTAATGCGGACAAATTCAGTGAGCTGTCAAGTTTGCATCCCGCTTGATGTAATCACGTTGATATTATACAGTCCCCATAGCCTGTAGTGCAGTATTAACTCAATTTGCTGGTGCAGGTGACAAATGGACTTTGCTACCTGACTAATCATGTCACCGAGACAATGCTGCTTAATGACCTCCGTAATCCTGGCTTTGAACTGTGCAATCAAGCCAAGACAGAAAACCAACCACTCAGCTGTTATGTATTTTTATTTCTTCAATGCTGAAGACCCTCATGGTTATAGTTGCTGTGACTTAGACATGCTGTTTTAAGTGAAAGGGAGGGACAGGCCTGAAATAAAAAGTTATTAAAAATCAGTCTTTTCAGGTGTATGCAGAATAGATCTGTACCAGAGAATGTCGCTGGCTGGGAGCACACCGGGCCGTCTCCAGTGATTCTCATGCCATCTGTAAATATGTGGACTAGGGCAGGGCAAGTCTGTGTCTGGGTAAGAATTATACCTGTGAAATCACAGGAGTGTGCCTCTCTCAAGATGGTGAACATCTCAGGCCCTGGTAGGCCTGAAATTCCACCCTGGCACACACACACAAAGAAAACTGATATTGAGAAAAAGCTTAAACGGTGGATATCTCAAATTTTGTCAAGCTGTAGAAATGGATGTTTAGATTCAACACCCCAGTTGTAGCTCTCAGTTGAACAGAGGAGGGAAAATGCTTGATCCTAAAATGGCACCTTTTCCTCCCAGGAAGGCTAAATGATGAACTTCCAACTGCAATATCATTGCAAAATATTAAATGATGTTGATTGGATGAGTAAGTAGATTTCAGAGGTAAACTGCTTTTATAAATAAGATGAACAGGAAATATTCTGTGAAAACATGTAGTGTCTGGATAAACAATTTGTCTTAGTGGTGCCACTGTAATGGCCGCCCTCCTACCACCCTGCACACACAGGTTGTAATCCCACGGGGAGGGGCCGTAGCATGTATTTACATGTGTTCCTTTGTTAGTATTTTGTCAGCTACTTAAGGCTGCCCTGTTCTGCTGGGAGTGTGTGTGCTGGAGTCTCTGTGCTTATACTCTGTGTATGTGTGTCTGTGTGTTTGTGTTTGTGGGTGTGTGGTGGGGGAGGGTTGGAAGGGGAGGGGGGCTGGTCAGTTTTATTCATTCATTCATTCACTAAGAGATTTAGGCGCCGCCTGCGTATGCTTTCTGAATATTTAAGTTTAATTTTGTTAATTATTATTTATTCATACAGGGGGATGAAAATAGTAAGAAACAGTTTTGAATGAAGACCGAAATATCTTTTTTTTAATTGTAGGCATGTCTTATTTCCTACTCACTGCATCTCTTTAGCATAACTGTTAGCAAACAATGGATAATTTTCTTTCATTGCTTATTATGTTAATATTATGTTAATGTATTTAAAAACATCTAGTTGTGTAGTATACTTCAAAATTACTCTTTAAAAAAATGGTGATATTGTGTATTTCCTGTTGCGGTGCTTGTGATGTTTACAGTGGTGGGGTAATTTGTGATGAGCTCTTCTAGGCCAAATAGAAGTGAAACTGGATCTGGGTAGGAAGTTAGAGATTTTATGTTAATGTATTGGGGAGGGGAATACATTCCAGAAAGTTTCTGTAGTATCTATACAGGCCGATAACGAAAACTGTTTCACTGTAAGACCATTTTCTCCCTAAGACTTATCATACCCTTGGTTATAAGAGGTTTTGTGTTGTCTTAGGTCAGAAGTAGTATTTTAGAAATCACTTTGCCCTATTCTGGTCGTTGGATGGCTGCATATGGGTGCAGAATGTGTGAGCTATTTTTTGTGGCTGCTTTTGAAAGCATATTGGTGATGGAGTTGAACCAAGACAGTCGCCCAGGGTGGTGCCCACCAGTGAGGCTTACGTTTCAACAGAGAGCAGGGAGGAGGGCCTGGGTGGGAAGGAGGAAGTGTTGGGGTCAGGATGGTATTGGCTTGGGGAGCTTCTGGAAAGGCATGGTCCACTGGGCCGGGACCCACTCCTGTTTCTGCCTGTGCATTTTCACTCCAGCCAAACGCCAGACTCACCGAGGAGGAGGGCCAGGGGAAAGGTTAATTGTGCCCTGTGCCGCCTGATCATGTATAGTAAATGCTATCAACAGAAAGTTCCTGATCAATGGCGCCTGCTTTCTAGGCATGCTTTAGCTGTGGTGGTGGAGAGGCCTGGGCAGGGGTTTGCCAAGAGTTTTGGCTGCTGAAGGGAAGGCAGGGCCTAGACCTTACTCCCTGTGTGTGGGGCAAAGTGCCTTAGGCAGGCCTCTGCAGAGGGCTGCTTGGTTCTTATGAACGATTAACAGTGTCATAAACAGAACATCCCAAGAAATAGATAATCATTGATTGTGTGAATTCACATTTGCAAAGAACACTTGCGATAATCATTTTCTTTTAGGAAGACAACAACTTGACAACCTGTAAGGGATTCTGAATCGAATAATAGAACTAGTTTGTCCCCTCTCCCCTCCTCCAAGGGTTTTTTTTTTCTACTTTCTGTTTTTTATTTTATAGACCAAATGGAGCACTTGTCATAGTAGTGTTTTTGTTTGTTTTGTTTTGGTTTCTTGTTTGTTTTACTAGGCAGAAAGGAAAGTAAAGACTGTACTTTGGAGGCATTAGAACAAAGTTGTAAATGATATCTTCTGGTTTATCCTTTTTAAGAAAACAATGAACCAGGTTTTCTTTTTGGAGAAAGGAATCCTTGTGTGGTTGTGCCTTTGTTGGGCTGCGTTCGCTCTTGCTAGACCGCAACTTTAATAATGCAAGACTTTTATGTTTCATGCAAAATATTATGTATATGGGTTTCTACCTGCATGGCGTGTCACGAAGAGCATGTTGTTATGTTGATCGTGGAAAGAAGGGACTTAGGGAGATTGAGTATTCTCAAGTGGTAGCTAGCACTCACAGTGATGACAGAATAATGACATTTATATCTCATGAAGAGAATGGATATTGGGTCGATTGTTATAAAAAGAAACCTCAAAGAACATAAAAATTTAAAAATATTCTGAAAACTTAAAGAGGTGTGCTACCCAGGGGGATTCTTTCTGTTTTTAGGTACATGTTTTCCTCTCTTCCCCACCTCCCACCTTTTCATTTGTGTAATCAAGCCCTAATGCCTTGACTTTATGTGTAAGATGTGCACTATTGTTGAATCATAGATGGGGCAGATATTAGGAAGGGATTAACTGCTACCAAAACCCAGGTTTCAAACAAAAGCCAGGACAATTTAGGTAGATTAGAGCAAAGGAAAAAAATATGTGCATAGGAAGGGTATTAAAGCTGACAGATGAACAGGGCGAGGGACAAATTCTCCTACAGCAGCTGTGACTGCTGCCATTATCTTGACAGGTGTCAATTAAGAATTACTGCCTGCTGGAGTCATTTTTCCAGCCCAGCTGTCTGCGTGTGAAAGAAATAACACTTTACCCTTGTCACTTTGTTAGTTCTTAGCTATAGCCTCAAAATGAGTGTTGGTGTGCTAATCGATAACTAGTGTATTAGCAATTTTGCACATTGATTTATGAAGGGGAACAGCTCCTCCTGTACAGTTATTAGCTGCTGATTAAATGTGCCTATGCCCAGCTAAGGGTGGATATATGTTCCCTGAGAGGCCAGGTCTAGAACAATCTTCTACGAGACTATGGTTCAAAACACTTTCATCATTGTAAGTCGTTAACTAGACAAGCCCCACTTAGCCAAGGGCAGGAGCCACACCTGCACCTGTACACTGTGGGGGCCGGGCTGGGGGGAGCCGTTCCACCCTAGCAGCCTGCACCCACGTCAGTTCTTATTGTTTTCTTGGTTCCTCTCGGAAAAGCCTATAAAAAGTAAATGGTAAATTACTCCGGGACAAGGCTCAAGTTCACAATGGACAAAGAACAGCAAGTGTTTTATTGGAACTTTCTTAGGGATGAGGCGGAGCCTCCCAGACCCTACCTGACCACAAGAGAGTAGTCAGTCAATACTCTTTGCTGGGAGGGCTGTTTCCTGGTCGAAAGAATGGTGAACATGTATATTTTTTTTTTACTCAAATTTTTTTGAGTCAAGAATACCATTCATGACAACAATAAAAATAGATAATGGCACAGAATATTAAGAATGAAAATAACTGAAGACAAAATTTATTTGTGATAAAGCATTGAGAATCCTTGTGAATACCTTCATGGTGAAGGGATTGAAACAGTTGAAATAATTTTTTAATGACATAATATTTTAGTATTGATTAAGGGTGACAGTAGGTTGCTGACAGAAGAGAATGCTAAAGGAAATAATTTGATCTAAGGGATCAGGGTTGTAAAATGTAAATATCAGCATGTTTGATAGATTTAATAAAAGGTGTAGCTGGGCAGAGTAGAAACAGGTAATTTTTTAAGTTTTTATCAATAGGGTTGATAGAGGATGCCCTTACAAACAAAATAAAGTACCACTGTATTTTTCACCCAGGAAGGTATTTATTTATTAAGTTGATAACATTTTGAAAAGCAATGAATATAATTTTTGGGACAGCAGTTTGCAGGAGCGATAACACTCCTGGAATTGTAGACAGCCTCCATGATCATTTGTCCTTGAGATACACTAAGCACCATTGTTATGACATCACTTAGGTGGAAGTAAAGGTTAAATCGGAAGTAGTTCAGGGTTTTTTTCTTGCTATAGAATAATTGTAGTCTTTGCCATGCAGTCTTTGCTTTTTGCTACAGACTTAGATTAAAGAAAAATATTCTTGAACTCTTTCTTTAGACTTTTTGGGGGAAAAACCCCACAACAACGCAGTATTCTTCAGGAATATAAAAGCCTTTTTAATAGCAGTGATAATCTGATGCAGTCTCATTGCTAGAAATGTTTCTAATAAGAAAATAAATGAGGGTCATTCTTTGCACACGTGACACGAGTTGTATATGTGTGTAAGTGTACTTTGTACTGCCTGCTGGTTACGTGCTGAAGGCACGCGTAGGTGTGCAGAACAGGACTTGTTCTCATACCTGTAGATATGGAGGCACCTGTGATACATGCACAGTCATATGTGACCAAGCCCGGGGTTGTGATGCCATGGTGTCCAATTGTTTATGCACCCCACACTGAAATAGAAAAACCTCAGGACTGTCAGGAGTAAGAGGCCTCACACATTTTCCCCAGAACACCGCATAAAGAGGAGTTTTGTTACATTTTAAAATCCAGTGTTAATATTTACTACTAGAGAACCCTTCCGGAAGCATGAAAACCTAAAGACTTAGGCTTGCGGGCAAGGTCCTTCTGCATTTA
This sequence comes from Homo sapiens, assembly GCF_000001405.40. Taxonomy (NCBI): domain Eukaryota; kingdom Metazoa; phylum Chordata; class Mammalia; order Primates; family Hominidae; genus Homo; species Homo sapiens. The sequence goes on from NC_000018.10 coordinate 75,220,172, forward strand.
AAACACTGTGCTCCATGTAGGGCTAAAGTGCTAGTTGACAGCAACTCAAACAAAATATTAATTTTTTTGCGTGTGTGCCTATTTTCTTGGGGGACATAGGAAATAGTGAATTGCATAGAGATAAGCATCCTGAACCGACTCTTTTTTTACATTTTAACTTCACTGGAGAAATATATTGTTAAATTTATGTACTTAGAAAAACCTAACAGTGTGGCTTACTGAGAATTGGAATAAACAGGCCTCCTGTTACCATTTTTAATGGTTATTGTCAGGCAAGGAAAAGAGGATCATTTCTTGAGAGATTTTTGAGCTCAGTTATGCTTTGGTACTTCCTTCATTAAATCACCTGCTTGGATTTTCTGGTTTGGGAATATCTGGATTGGATTTGTATTTTAATTAGGGTTAAACTGTTTATAGATTCCATTGTCTTACAGTAAAATAAAACTAAAACATTAAGGTGAAATCACAACTGTGATGTTCTTTTCACTTCATATTTCCTAGGAAGGCCTATTCGCTAAGCCGCTTGTTTAACCTTTTCATGTTTTCCAGGCTCTCGTTTCTGGATTTGCTTTTGTTGTTCATCCACCACACTGCTGCAGCAGTAAGCAGTTTTCTTAGATGATAGACATTTTTTTCTTTCTATGTCCATTGTGTCTTTCTGAAATTCTGTGCCAACAGGAACAGGGATTTGTCTTGTGTTTTTAAAGGAAAAAAGTCAAGAATCAATTACATTATTGTAGATTTTTACCATTTTTATTTTCTCTGCAAAATATAAGGCAGGATTTCCTCACTCTTGTGATCGTGGCGCATTCTGCAGGAAAATAGCCAAGTAGAATCCCTCCAAGCTCCTGGGCACAGGCTGCTCCCAGGCTCTGCCTCCCAGCAGAGCCCGCGTTAGCCATCTACATACTGAATCGGATGTGCACTTCCAAATTTGAGATGTAGGCATTTCTGCCTCAACTTGCTAGCTGCGATTTTAAAAGGTGTGTTCTAGTATATGGTAAATATAGGTCAAGTACTTACATGCTTATAAATTCCAGTTTAAAGCAGGCACGAAGGCATGGATCTATAGGAGCGAGTGATGGGCACAGGCTGACTCGAGTTTTAGAAAATTTGGTTATAAAAAATATCCTCAGTTTTTAGTTAAAAGTAAAGTGCATCTTCAGCAAGATCATATGATGAAATAAATTAAATCAGCAGTGAAGGTCAGTATACATTCTGACTTGGGAATGTGAACTTTTCAGAAACCTGTATTTATTACATTTTACTATTTTTAAAAGCCAGCTGCAAGATTCATAGCAAGAAATGGTACGACATACCAATGAATGCTGAACTGAAGTGAAGGCTCTTTTCAAAGTGGTTAATATGCCTTATTGGCAAGTCATCCCTGGTGCCTGTGTCATTGTTATAGCTGGCTTTAAAATATATGGATTTAAAGCACAAGTATTGTGACTAATATTTATTTCAAGTACAGAATGTGTCACAGCAGTAGGGCATCCTATTATTAATGCAGTAAACTGTGTAATACTCTATAAGAGCCTGCCCTGCTTCAGTTCTTAGCTACATGAAAATAACAGTAAAACATGTCTGTTTTCTCCTGCCTTGCTTTATTGTTACCTGGGAAGGTCCTGGCATCGAGAAAAGCCAAATCCGGGCAAATAATATGACCATAAACAACACCTCAGCATTACTGTGCTGTGCACAAATCTCCTTGAACTGCCTCCAAACTTTGAGAATATATACATATGTATATAGATTAATATATATGTATATATTTTAAAATTCTTAAATTGAGGGAAGCTGCTATAACTCTAGAAAGTAATGGGAAATAAATATTCTAAGTCAGCCAGGAAGTGATTCAGATTGTTAGTGCTTGGTGCATTGTCTGTATATGAAACACTAATATTCTTAATGAAAATAGCGCACTGGCGGTTTTAAAAGGAAGCCGCGCACAAAGGTCTGTGTTGTGTAGCGGCGTGGCTTGTGTGCTTGGGTTAGAGGGGGGTTGTGCTACCTTGCAGCGTTTTATTTTTGCAGTGGAAAAGTTGCCTGACTTTTTTTTTTTTTTAAGCAGGTATTGAACTGGTATTATTTGTCAATTTAAAATCAGTAATGAGAATTTATTTTAGAAAAAGGAAGCAGAAAGGATCTCATACCTAGGTGGAGAGTAGGTGCAGAGAGGGAGTTTGTAACTTGTCTTTTCTCCCTACTTTTCGATAACTGGAAAAATTAGTGTCTCAAAAGCTTTCAAGGAGAACTAACTTAAAACTGCGATGTTCACAAAAGATCGTTGTCTCCTTTTTTTTCTCAACTCCTCCTCCTCTCTCTACGCAGAGCTCCGAGAAGCTGGTGGAATGGGGTCGAGGGATGGTCCGGGGCTTGAGCACTCCAGGAGCTCAGGTTCAATGCTGGTGACAGCCACCCTGTCCTGAGATCATGGGAGGGGGTTTTCGTCCTCCTCCTCTCTGGCTTATTCTAAATTATGCAAAATGAGATGCTAACTATTTGCTCCAGGCAGACTATGTTTAAACCCAGTTCTCAAAGACTGCCCCCTCCACCCCCCTATTTTTTGTGGAGACACATTCGAATCCAGTAGGTGCCCGTGTACGTGGTAACCTAATCCCAAGGTTCTCAAGCAATTTTCTGAAAGTAGGATCTTGTTGTGGTGTTTGGCTAAATTTCTGGGAGTAACTGGCTAAAGGCATTAGACTACTGAGAGTCTGGCCTATTCCCAAAGGGTCTCTGCAAATTAATCACCCTGTGAGCTAAATTTGTTTATAGACATATTTGGAATGGAGGAGATCCACATGGGATCCTTCCGTTCATTTGTTCTGTAGAGCACCTGCTCGGAGTATTCTGTGGTACACCTCCCTGCCTCCCAGCACTGCGGTACTTGATATCTCATGATGGGTGTGAGGGTGATGATGAAGATAATAATACATTTATTCCTCCGTTCTTCCTCTTGGGAATTCACGGCACTCAGTTATCTCAACGAGAGTGGAGGCGGTACAAGGGATTTAGGGATACATGGAAATTATATATATATAAATTCGTTTGTCTGTTTCTATAGCAATTGCTTCTTAAAAATAATTTAGTAGTTTAATACAAAAGCAGTGGATGGGTTTTTATGTGCTCGTATAGGGAAGATTTTTTTAGTTTCACACATGTTCAGTTTTAATGGGTAATAATTACATCTTTGTATTTTGATGTCAGGCTGGTTATGAGGCCTAATTCTGCAGGCAGCCTCCTCATTGATTTGCACCTAACTGCTGATTTTAGAGAGAGGGAGTTGCAGGCCAGGATCCCCTTCTGTTTTTCAGACAAGTTAACACATAAGTGGCTCCTTCAGTTCCATTTCAACAGACAGTTGCTTTCCTGGCCTGTCTTCTCCAGGCCCTGGAATCGAATATACATATGGTTTTGTGGTTGGGGCTTTTTTGAAAGACAGATTCCTTAAAAAAAAAAAAATTGTCCCCCACTCCCTACCCCGCCTCTCTTGCTAGGCATCCTTTTCCCACCTCCTCACTCGAGTTTGTAGTTTGCAGGCCTGATTCTCTGCAGCCCTGGCCCTGCATGTGCTGGGAAAGCAGTAAAAATGAGCACTAATCAATCTTCCAGAGAGAAGCAATGGGCATTAGAAGGCCGCTATCCTGTGACTAAACACACCCCCTTTATGGAGTGTTGGTACTAATAAAGGCCAGCTTATTACTGAGGCAGAGACCAAAGCCTGGATGAGGTCAACCATGACTGACAGTCATCAGTCATTCTTAATGATACTTTTTCCCGTGCTTTCTAAGGGATTCTGAGCAGAGTGCAAATCATTCGGGGTCATTCATAGTTCATGTACCCACAGATGGCAAAGGTTTTGAAAGACTTCAGTTTAAACTTGTAAAAAAAAAAAAAAAAAAAGATCCTCACTTTTTTTTTTTTTAAAGGAAGGGAAAATACCCCAAAACAAAACATAGATTTTTCTTATTGGAACGCTTTCATGTTCTTTCAACCTAATAGATGTTTTACACACTACGGTGCTTGTGCATTATTAAAAGAGACATAAATTTATGTTTTATGACGTCTGTCTTCTTTAATTATTACCTTTGATGTCTATTGGTGACTAAAGAGAGCTTAACAGGATTTCTTTCTCTTCTTAAATTTCGCATCGTGAAACCCAGCTAGTCCCTGACAGATGTCTGTTCCTCACCTTCAGGATTATTTTATAAATCCCTTTCTGATGAGCGGAAGTGTCAAATCAAGGACAGGTCATAAAGTAAAAGTATAAACCTTTTAAAGAGAGACCTTGGTAATATATAAACATTCTGCACACTATCTGAATTTTTTATGGACTAAAGAAAAATTATATTTCAGCTGGAGGAAGGGAGAAGTTTAAACATCAGCCCAGATTTTAATGTATGATCCCCCCCTCCCCGCAATACTCTTATTTATAGCCATCTAAGAAACCACTGGCTTTATCGGCTATTTTAAACATTTGGACTCGATTTGGAGCCTGCCTGTTAATTGTCCATGTTTAAATTCAGAAGGTTGACTTTGAATCAATGCTTGCACACAGTATAGGATACAGGGTGGTGGGGAGGGGTGCGGCGGGCATTGGATGTAGGGTAGAGGCCTGGGTCTTTGTTCTTTCATTAATCTCTTTTTCCCTGTTCTTTCTCAAGCCTCAGTTTCCTTCTCTGTAAACAAAGGGCTTATATTATTAGAGAATTCCTAACGCGTGCTATTCTACAACCATGTGATCCATTGCACCCATCTTTAGCACCCCTGAGTTGGAGGAAGTCGCCGTCATGAAGCAACAGCTGTCCTTTTTTTTTTTCTTTCTTAGAAAAGCTGGTTGTACTTAGAGAATTTGCTTTTGGTAAAATTTGAGTTTATTTCTACTTATGAAATTGGAAATAAGCTGAAATCAACAACTTCTGGGCCCTCCTGCCATTTTCATGTCAAGGCACATGGAGACATGTCAGTGCACGTGGGACGTGGAAGCTGCACAAGGGGTGTTCTTGGGTGTGGACGTGCATGGTGGGCGCACAGGCCTCTAGGAAATGCTTCCTCGGTTCTGGGCACCTTCAATCATGGATGATGGGGCTGGAAACTTGCCTATAGCTTTTTAAAGAAAAATTAAATATTTTGAATTGAATTCAGCAATTTCTTGAACACCTACTGTTTGTGAGTGAGGCCTGGCGGTAGGTGAGCATGGCGTGGAGCTCGCGGGAGAGTTGGAGATGTGATCGCTTCTGTCCGTGTGTCAGCGTGATGGCCTGTCCACGCCGCTTTCTTCTGACTGTGAGCTGGCCCATCTCTGTACGCTTGCCCCACAACCTCAGCATGCCCTTTGGAACATCAGAAGTCCCCCACAGCCTCAGCAGGTCTTCTGAGAACTAGGAATTAGAGCCCCACTGTCGTGGAAATCAACTCGTCATCAAGTAGGGCCGACAATGAGACAGCTGACCATCCTCCACATTCCGAGCCTGAAGGGGAAAGGTTTTCCCAAGGAGAGGTGCTGGTGGGCTCGCACGCCATCCTGAGCACAGCAGACAGCAGTTAATGCAAGACTATATCTCGGTGGCGGGTTTTACTTAATGTTCTTTATTATGAAGAATAGCGATACCTCAAAGCCATACATTTTTTGAGAGTAGCTTCTCCATGTTGATTTTTCTTTGGATGGGTTGCTTAGAACGGAGCCAAAAGAGAGCCACTTGGTGGAGAGGCAGGTTTGCACTTTGCCCTGTTTTTGTGTATGTGGATGTCAAATGTCAATTTGTTTGGTAAAATGTGAAGCTGAATTTATAAATCTGTGCTAAGCAATTAGTTTGGAAATTAGTGCTATCTCTAGGAAAATCCCCTTAGCAGGCATCAGATTCAAACGATGCAACTCAGTAGGTGTGGGGGCAAAACTGCAACATATTTTCAAGGCAAAATCTTACAAATATAAACATTATATCAAATATAAACATATGTTTGCAGTGTACAAATGTCTTGCATATTCAAAGCAAATAAGTCCTGATGGGGGAGGAAAAAGTATTTGGATGTAGCCGTTATGTTTAATTTTCCTCACACAGTCAGTAGATAGTCTGTGTCTGCAAAGGATTGGTCCTTTCTTGCTCCCCACTCACCCAACTCTGTGGTTCTAGAACCTTCTATTAATTCCCATTGGTGAGCCCATGAAATCTTTGATTCCTTCTTGATTGCTCTCTGAAGACGCCTATCAGGCACTGTCTTATCTGTTTGTAAAGCAGCTCAGGCCCCAGATTTAAGTCATGGGTCTGGCTACAAGTTAGAGTGTGATTAATAATTGACTAATGTAGCTTTTATTTATCACAGGCTAGCACATTTCGCCATTACTGAGTTAATTTATGTTAAGTGTAAGCTGTCGTTCAATCTGTTTTTCAACTTTTTTTTTTTTTTTTTAAATCCTAAGTCTATCTTTCACTTTTGGAGAAACAAAATCCTCATACAGGGCACAGACACACTCGATGCCAAAAAGTTGATTTCCTTTTCCCTGGAGCCATGCATCACCAGCCCTCCCAGCCGCAGTGTCAGCCCCTGACAGAATGACATGTGTCATTTATCAAAGGGGCCAGGCCGGGCCTTGGGAAACGCCGCCGACAAAGCCTGAGAGAGTTCATTTTGCAGTCCCTCCTACCCTCTGTGAGCCCCTTGCCAGGAAAGCCTGTGATGTTTCTGTCTTCAGAGCATTACTGTAAGTCCTTCAACCTTCACAGAATTAACCCTCCCCACCTCAGCCCGCTGCAACAGCTCCGAGGTCCTGCCTGGGAAGGTTCTGAGACCCAAAGGAGTGATTGTTCCAAGCCCAGGAACACACAAGCCCCCGGCTCTGTAGGGACACCCCATGGAGTCCCGGCTTTCCGTGCAGAAAGCATGACCCAGGTGCCCCTGCATCTCCCCACTTTCTAGCAGGCTTTAAGGATTCAAGCCCTGAGTAATACTCAGTGAGACAAGGTCAGAGGCATAAAGAACCAGCAGCAAAGCATTTCCCTGGTATCCAAATTCATAGGTCCCCCACTCCTGCGGCAGAAGTTTGGTCTTCTATTTTTTTTTTTTTTAGAGTCTGCCTAATAAGTGTTTTACTCCAGGCTATTTTTGAAACCACCTACTAAACCCGATAGATGTTTCTTCTTTTTCTCTGTTGCCTAGAATTTGTAACCCCATTCCCGCCTGCATAAAGACAGTGATGAGGTTCGAGTCTAAAAGTTGCTAAAAAAGGATATTTTGGAGGAGGAAGAGAAAGGGCCATTTTTGCCCCCAGATTGTTTACTTTTTATATAAGTTCCCAAACCACTAGAAAACCACCAGAAAGTGCAAAGGAAAAAAAAAGTCAGCCAGAGGAGAGCATGCTGTGAAAATATAAAAGCATTTGGCTAAAATAAATGTTTTTTTCTCTTGAAGAGTAGAGTTTTGCATTGTAATCATGTGTGAGAATGTGAGAAAAGTTATTGTTTCTCTCATCCCCACCCCTTTGTACTTCGTACAGTCCCTACCACACTGAAGTTATTTACAGCATCAGATACCATTTAAAGAGATAGTGAAGGAGACTGTTGCCTTCGCCAGGAACTTTCCAGAAAGAAGTCCTATAAATTAGCCATTGCTCAGGAGTGGCTGTTTCCTAGGCGGAGCTAGCCCTTTCATTTTTCTGCATAAGGCTAATTTATTTTTGCAGCCAGATGTGGGCTGACAGCCATCACTCAGGGCTTCCTTCCCCCGCCGTTAGGAGGTCTGGAAGACAGTCACGTTCCCCATTTTGCAGAATCCCCATCAACATTATTGAAGATGGATGTATCTTTAAAGCAAAGATTGATTGTGGATATCGGAGTTATGGTGTCATTTATCATGGTGAATATTATTTAGACTTGGGTTGTACAAGGCTGTAACTTGAGACACAGCCAGGGGAGGGACAACCTGAAAACGCGGATCCATGAATTTTAATGGATGGATGCTTTTTTCAAAGCTCAACTCACTATAGCGTGATTTACTTTTCTTACTGCAAGGAAACAAGCATTTCAGTCTTAAAGAGACAGCATGCCAGTGGTCCTGTTCTGTGGGTTCCACCCGGGAAGGCATTACCAAGGGCAGTCAGAGCCCAGGCAAAAATGCTGAGAAGGCGTGAATGGTGCAACAGACTCTGGCCATAGACATGTACATTAAAGATGGCTTTCCAGATGGATCTCCTCCTCGCCATCCTTATAGGACCCTGATAGGGTTAGAAATGGAGATGTACCCCAGAGCTCACCATTATCAGGGCAGCAGTTAAGATGCTATTTATTTGAAGCCAGCTAACCTCTCCTAAGTGCTACAGATAGCGGCCATTTATATTTAGGAAGACAAATGAAGCCCAGGCTCTCCCGTGTCAGGAGCATGATGCTGTGGGGAGAACGCACAGTTATCCTTGTGTGCCTAAAGGTAGTAGCATATGCAATACAAGCAGTCTTGTTGACCTAATTAATATCAGTCTTTTTCATTTTGCTTCAGGATGGCAGCGCTATTGACATTTGCTCAGTAGGGAGTTGGTTCTAAGGGAGCTGGGTATACAGGATGGTGTATCCAAAGTTGAACCTCTCAACGGTTGGTCCTCACATCTCTAGTCCTTGAAAATGGTGGAGATGGTCTAGTGCATTTGTCCTTTCTTCCAGGAGCACGGATCCCAGCATCTAGGCATTCACTCAGACACCAGGGAACAAGGGGCATCCCACTTTATTTCTAACGAGATGCTTCATGTACCAGAAACCTGGGGCTGCTGGTAGCTATTAGTGGCTTAGGTCATGGCCCTTTGGCCCCTAAGGCGTTTTATTTGTTGCTAATGTTGTTTTATTTCATCTTTCCATTTCAGGGGTTTTGTTGCATATGGTGGATAGAGGAGCTCTCAAAGTGAGTGAGGGGTTGGCCACAGTCAGCCCTGGGCGGGGCAGGTGTTGGGCGTGCTGCCCTGGCCTGCGTGCAGCCATGTGACATGCCATCCCAGGGCAATCTGGGGGTGGGTGCCACCCGACCTGCCGGCCCTCCTCAAAGCCCACCTCAGCTTTGATGCTCAGAGAGTGTGGCTTGCACTGCAGAGCCTAAAAGCCCTCTTTGGCTTTTTAAATAGGGAAGGTTTCTTGGAATTGTACAGTCTGTTAAACGAAAGTAACTTTCTTTCCAGGATTGATGCGTCTCATCTCTGGGAGCTTCCGGTCCGATGGTGTGAACTGCTTTCTAGTATAATGGCCCACACTGTATGCACCATGCAGGGGGACCCATCGGAGCACCTGTCTCTGTCTATGTGATTGCTCACTGACTTGTTCACGTCCTTGTAGGCACTCTGCTCCATAAGGGCAGGGCCATCTTGTTCTCCTTCCACTGTCAAGAGTCCAGCACGGTTCCTGGCTCATAGTCAGAGCTCCCGGTGCTTGTTGAGGGACTGAAGCCCCTCCTTGGGGAAGCCCTGGCTCTTGCGAGGACAGGTGAGTGTGACAGTCTGTGACATGCGGTCTATGACGTGCCGACCCTGGGTGCTGGCGATAGTAGGTGAAAGAAGAAAGCAGGAAGCTGTTTTTGGTTTCAAAGTGCTAACCCAAGTCAGGCAGTGGACTGGTTTTTTTGGAAGCTACCTTCCATGTAACATCAATCTAACCTAAAAGAAACAAACAAAACCCAGTGTAACAAGAAAAGGGGGCAAAGAAAGATGGTGAAAGGAATTGCCCATGCCTCCTTTTGAATGTTAAGTAAAAACAGGAAAATACCATCTGGAAAAGTAATCTGTTCATCATTATACATCTACTTGTGGAAATGCTCATAATGGTGGTGATACTGGGTATTTTAGAGGACAAATACCAAGACATCCTCTCAATCCTATTATGGTTTATAGGTCTGTGTTTATTTGCAAGTTAAAAGCACATTCTTGGCCTTTTAGGAACATATGACATGTCTACAAACAGGAAGTAGTTTATCAAATTCATATGAATCATGGCATCTATAGTGTTGGCCGAGGTCAAATCATTACACTAAATGTATTGTAACCATTATTAATGCACAGGGTCTCCTGCCATCTTTGTGATGTAGGACTGCCGTTTCCTGATTAAAAGCTGTTTGGTGATGAGAAATTCAGCAGCTCCTGTCCGTCCTGGAGTGACTGACAGGCACCCAGAGCTGCCGTCCCTGCTGGAGCAGCGTGTTCCTAGGAGCGCACCTTACGGAGGGTCCTGAGTGCCAGGAAATACAGGAAACAGGAAACAAAAACAGAAGTGACTCAACTTTCGCAGCCACAACTGTGCATCCATAAGGAGGCCAAATTTATCACGGCACATTATGGAGCTCAGCAAATGTCATGAAAACCATTGTTTTTTAATTTTTTTCTTGGAGAGTTTGAATGAGGTGATTTATGGTAGTTATTCATCTTAAGGGTCATCCATCAATTTTTAGTTGCTAGGCAATCAACCCAGCAGCTGTTTGCTTTGAATCAAGCTGAAAAGTTGTCAGTCACCACACGCAGGTATGACCTTAGTGGTTGCAAACATCATGCGTGCGAAATTAAAGAGACGTCGTCTTCTTCCCCGATTCCCCTGACTTCCCCGTGATTTGTGGAAGTGGTGCGAACCCTTCCTGGCTATTACAAGACAAATAAGAACAAAGGAGGGTGTGGAAAATTACTTGACTGGAAACTCACAGATACTCTTCCAACGCTGTATTTTACCCAAGTTCCCTATGCAAGCTGCATGGGATGGATTATAGAAGTAAGTGCCATCAGTGGATGGGAGGTGAACCACTTGATTTATAATATTTAAATAAGCCAGTTAAAAAAAACCTGTCAGTTCCCTTGTGGGGAAAAACCAAATATCAGCATTTCTCAATGTGCATCCCAGGCTGGAGGCCAGCCTGATGGTGTTTTTGGGTTGGCTGTGGGTGGCATGTGAGGAGATGCAGTTTCTCTCCAGTGGTGGAGGGTGGGAACTGTGCGTGGGCCTGACAGGCTCTGGGCACACGAGGCGCTGTAGGTGCCTGGCCCCAAGCCTGGCACAGAGTGGGTGCCCAGGTGGTGCCCACTTGCTCCCTCTGCTGAGATCTCAGGCTGCTGTGCTGGCAGGGGCAGCTCAGGCGGGTGTGGCCCTGGAGCCAGGCTGCCTTTGCCCATTACCACAACACTGTGATCCTGCCTGGGGCATGGTCCTTCGGAGGTCATTTCCACAGTTGCTTGGTGTGAGTCCTTCTCTGGCCTGGGGCTTCTCCCCAGATCTTTGTATTTTTGTCCACTACACCAGAACACTGTGAGTCTCATTAGCATTGTTGACCCCAAGAAGACATTTCTAGATAGCTGTTCCTTGCTGGCTCATGTGTAAACAGTGTTTCCTGCCTGCACTCTGCAATTTTATTTATTTATTTATTGATACAGAGTCTCGCTCTGTCCCCAGGCTGGAGTGCAGTGGTATGATCTTGGCTCACTGCAACCTCTGCCTCCTGGGTTCAAGCGATTCTCCTGCCTCAGCCACCTGAGTAGCTGGGATTACAGGCACCCACCACCACACCCGGCTAATTTTTGTATTTTTAGTAGAGACAGGGTTTCACCATGTTGGCCAGGCTGGTCTCTAACTCCTGACTTGGGTGATCCTCCCGCTTTGGCCTCCCAAAGTGCTGGGATTGATGATAGGTGTGTTCCACTATGCCTGGCCCACTCTGCGATTTTAGATCTTCACAGGGCTTCAAAAATTATCCCTAGGAAGGAAAATAAGTGCATGTGATGCCTTATTTATTTATTTTTGAGACAGAATCTCGCTTTGTCACCCAGGCTGGGGTTCAGTGGTGTGAACTCAGCTCACTGCAACCTCTGCCTCCTGGGTAGCTAGGATTACAAGCGATTTTCATGCCTCAGCCTCCCGAGTAGCTAGGATTACAGGCCACAATGTCTGGCTAAGTTTTGTATTTTTAGTAGTGACAGGGTTTCTCCATGTTTGTCAGGCTGGTCTCGAACTCCTGACCTTGGGCGATCCACCTGCCTCAGCCTCCCAAAGTGCTGGGATTACAGGCGTGAGCCACTGCGCCCGGACTTTTTTTTAGTAATTGAGGCTAGATTTCCCTCATTTTGAATCTTTCAAGCAGGAATTTTACTTTGCCTCTCAGTTGAGTTTTAATGCGTCTACACAGATAATTTACACCAATAAAGCCAAATTTTAGGGGACTATGTGTTGTATACTAGTATCTTTTTACATTTGATAGTTTCAATGGACTTGATTTTGCTGATGGCCTTTTAGACCATGTAGCTGTAAGATGTTTTGCATGTATTTTGGAAAGTCTAAAATAAGTTTAATTTGGAGTTAGGTTTGTCTTTCTCAACTTTGCATTGAGAGAGATATATATATCTTATTTATTTAGTAGGTATTTCTGAGGGTCTGAAACACGTCCTTTTGACAGATAGTTCTGCACATTGGAAAAGAGAGTTTTCTGATCTAGGCTTTTCAGGCGCCAGTTCTATTTCTGGACTCCAGGTAAACCCTGAAGGAAGTGGAGTGTGCCCCCAGTTCATTCACATTTTAAAGATGGTCCCACATCTTTTACTTGAAATCCTTGGGGCCAGATATGTTTTGGAATTCAGAGCTTTTCAGATTTTTGAAAAGAAATTTAGTGCATATACTGTATATTTTGCAACATCCTCAGCTTAAACATGAGATTTTCTACAGATAAATGGATTAATAGTCACAATACTTGGGTGAGGAAAGACTGGCAGTAACCTCATGTCTGTTCTGGTCAGGTTAAGTTTGCCACGCACAGTTAGGAAGACTCTTCCAATTCTCAGGGCTGCCTGTGGTGAAGGGACTGGGGGTCTGTATTGGTGCACAGCCCATTTCACAGGATGCCTGTCCCTATTTCTGTAGGGCTGGTAGCCTGCCTGTGTCCAGCAGCCTGGGAGCAGTTATGAGCTGGGCCACAGCCTCAGCAGCTCTGGAACTCCCGGCTGCTGTCATAGTTTTCTGTGTCGTAGGAGTTCTCTTTGGAGTTTTCTCCCATGTTCACATATAAAAGTGATATCAGTTATATCTGCAGTCTGCTCCGTTATCTCTTTAAATCATTGAACTGTGGAAACATATTTTACATCCCAGTATATTCTCATGAGTCTTATAAAGTACAAACTTTTCTCACTTTTGGGGGAATTTGGAATTAGTATTATGGCACACTTTACTTAGGAAAAACCTGAAAACTTCCCCTAACAACGTTCCAGGATGTTTCTGCTGATTTTCATGGTGAATGTATAAATATAGTGACAATACTAAAAAGAGCACCCTGCCAATCATGTCAGCTCTTTAAGAAATATAAGAAGATGGATGCCGATGTTATGTGTGTTGGGTGTGGATCACCAGTTGTTAACGTCTGAGAAGCACAGATGTGTTGGGATGGTTTCTTGTTTTATTTTATTTTTTGGAGTAGGGGGACATAGTATGAGTCAGCCTGGTGGATTAATGTTGGAAATCTGCAAGTGCTCATAGCTTCTGCGTTTACAGAACCCTGAAAGAGAAACTACCTGTTTGCTGGTCTGATAATCCCTTTCCTAGTGGCCTTCCTTTTTGAGGAGTGACGTGGGGCTTCCTCACACTTTTCACTTGGAAGGACTATTGCATACTCTGAATTGTCGAAGTCTACCTTGCAGCACCTTTTTTCTAGCGAGCATCCGCACGCCCGGCTTGCACACTGTGGAGGATGCGGTTCACTGGGTGGGAAGACTGTCTTTATGCAGTGGTTTGGGAGGATTAATTAATTGATTTTTAGATGCTTTTACAAACCCTTTTGGTGACTCGTATTTGCACACATACTGATGTCCCTTTTTGCCGTCTTCAGAGCTCTTTGAAATGGAGGGCCACACTGGAGGCTTTGTTCTTTATATTCCATTTACCATCATTTAGAAGATACTAATTTTAGATGGGCTCCCCTCTACACACAGAGAGAGAAGCTGAAATCTATTCTGCAAGTGTGGGGGAATCTTGCACGGCAACAGCCACACGGCCAGTGAATACATGATGACTGGAGCCGGAGCCTGTGGGCCAGAGAGAAACGGGGCAGCCTGGGAGCCCTTTATTCAGAACTGGGATTGTGGGTTCCCTGCGCACCTACTCCCTGCGGCCGCCCTGGGCCCTCTCCTTAACTCCTTCTTTTCCTTTCCCTGCTGTCTTTCTTTCCATCCACTTCCTTATCTCTTGCTGCCATCTTCTCTGGCAATTTTCAGCGATACTTTAGCTTTAGAAGTGTTCCTCGTAAAGTTTTTGCACAGTTTTAAAAGTTATAATATTTTGCAGCATTTTGTGCTCTTCAGAGGACAATTGCTCCAAAATCTAATAAGTCATAATAAACATAGTTCTGGAGGATGGGATAGTGGCGATGCTCTGGGAATAATAACTGCTTTGCTAGGGCTTCTGCATGGTTATTTGAAGGGGTTTTTTTTTCCCCCCATTAAATTTTGCATCTTTTGTATATGAGATGGTCTTCATTATTGTGTTTTTATGGTATTTGGTTGGATACCAACTCAAATTAAAAAAAATGCTGTGAGGTTGTGGATATTTCTATTAACTTTCCTGTTAAATATGACACGTTCACCCATACATATTTCTATAAACTTAGTTCAAGGGTATCAGTAAAAATATTTTTCCTCCTCCCATTTGCTGTTCATAAAACACTCGAGGGAGGAATTGTTTCTGTGATATTTTAGATGGGTTTTACAATAAATTGTAGATATTGTGGTGCACCACAGTGCCTTTTATTTCATTTTCTCAGTAGACCCAGCGCATCGAAAGATTTTGTGTATTGAAAAACTGCTTTTGATGAGTAATAATCATTAGTTTTTCTTTTTTTCTTCCAGTAGTAAAGGTGTAGACCCCAGCCCCCAGGGTTCCTGGTGCTTGTGAGCCGTCAGCGTGTCACACCCGTGTTGTGAGAGGTTTCCATGCATTACCTCCTGCGCGTGAATGTGAGGGTTTAATCAGCACAGCCTTCCTGAGCATAAATCACGCTGCCTTAAATCCTTCTCGGAGGAACCAAGGCGGGGATGTAAATAAGAAATAAATATTGACATTAAACGTTTAATCCCCTTGGTTTCCTGACATGTGGCGTTGGGTCCCTTATGCTCATTCTTGCCTTTCTGGAACCTTCCAGGGGGACTGCCGGTCGTACGTTGATGCCATTGGGTAAAGAACCCCACAGTGGCTTTGACCTCAACATCAAAACTTCCCAGCTCTATACCTGCAGAGAGGGTGTGTCTTTTCTTTTGCTGTTAGATTTCTCAACTATAAATTGGGATGATAATACCTGGGACCGATTCCTACCTTGTGGAGTTCATGTGCTCATTTCTCCAACTGCTGGCCCATTCATTTGTTTATCTATCCAATACATACTCATTTTGAGTACTTGCTTATTTCTTGACAGTTCAAGGACAAAGTAAAAGCAGCTAAGAAGGTCCTTAAGGTAATGGAGCTCACGGTGTAGCAGGAGTATTTTGAAGACTGAAGTGGTTATCAATATTAACTTCATATGAAATATTTTATTATGCATCCTGTGGATGTAAAAATTTCATTGAGCAATGAAATAAATGTTATCAGGATTGAATATGGGAAACAAAAATTCCATTTTCCAATTCATCTCAGCCGTCTCCTCCTCCATGCCTCCCCGTGGTTTGGCAGCGACCTGCCTCTTGCCTCTGCCTCCTCCAGCGTCTGTCTGGCTCCTTCCTGCTCTCCAGCCAGCTCTTCCATTCTGAGATGGGGAGGCCACTCCTGTGCTGCGGCGTTGACACTGTCTTCACTGTCTTCAGGTTCTGCGTTTCAGACCTTGCCTCCACACCCACATTGAACAAGCAAGCTTGCATGATAGGAAGCGTGCGTGATAGGAAGCTTGCGTGATAGGAAGCATGCGTGACAGGAAGCTTGCGTGATAGGAAGCGTGCATGATAGGAAGTGTGCGTGATAGGAAGTGTGCGTGTGTAACATTTGTGGGGTGCTGGCCACCACCCTGCAGCCCTGCAGGTGCCTAAGGGTGCTGGGGCCTCCCAAATCTTTCCCCACCTGACCAGGGGTGTGTGTCTCAGCTGTTCTTCCCCCTGACCTTCCCACGAGCCATCACAGGAGGGAGATGGCGTTCTTTGGGCAGACCCAATTCTAACAGGTTCCCCTTTCTTTAAATCACACCACATTGTAGCTGCGTCTTCCCCGTGCCTCTCACTGGGAGGGAAGGGGCTGGACAAGAAGATGGACAGCTGTCAGGTGCACCTTTTCTATCCATATCCCAAAGTCACATTGGCACCTTTTAGATTATAAAACACGTTTAAGGGATGGCGTTCATTATTCTTTATAAATACTAATTGTAGCATTCTTCTGTTTTCAGTGTACCCTTGCAAAGTGCCGATATCTGATAATAATAACAATAGCTATAACAATAATAACAGCAGAAGGTTTGGAGTTTAAACTCCATGGGGACAGGGGTTTTGTCCGTTTTGTTCATTGCCTGTACAGGTAGTGTCTGGAACACTAGCAGTACTGCCTGGCAAATGATAGGCGCTCACTAAGTATTTTAGAGTTGCTGAATTGACTATATTCCTGACACACTCCACTTGCATTATATAATTTCAGTTTTATAGTTATCTTATTATTCTCTTCATTTATAGAGTGAGGCTTACGGAATTTAAGGTCCTATAGATAGTGCACACAGGTTGATGTCATAAGGTTACAGGGTAAGACAGATAGGGTCATGTAAGTTAAGCCCAGGAAGGTCTGACTCCTTGACCTCTCAAACCATCCGTAAGTTGTTAAAGCTTTAGTTTTTGTCATCTGTTTCCCTAGACTTTTTCTCGGATTGTTGTGGCGGGGAATAGCAGTGGGCTGGGATTCAGGGTAGCAGCGTGAGCCCTGGCCTTTCCACTAGGCGGCTTCTGGGTGGCCGTTAGTGCCTCAGTTTCTTCAGACGTGTCAACAGTGAGTTCAGCCAAAGGATCCTGAGATCTGTTCTTGACTGAGAGTTGCGTGTCAGGGCGGTTCCTGCACCTTGGTGTGAATCTTTCTGTTGCTGTCATGTTCCATGTATGAAATAAGAACAGTCAGGCCAGGTGCGGTAGCTCATGCCTATAATCCTAGCATTTTGGGAGGCAGAGGTGGGTGGGTCACTTGAGGTCAGGAGTTCGCAACCAGCCTGGGCAACATGGCGAAACCCCATATCTACAAAAAATGCAAAAATTAGCCGGATGTGGTGGTGCATGCCTGTAGTCCCAGCTACTCAGGAGGCTGAGGTGGGAGGATCACTTGAGCCCATAAAGTTGAGGCTGCAGTGAGCCATGATTGTGCCACTGCACTCTAGCCTGGGCAACCGAGAAAGGCCTTGTCTTCAAAATAAAATAAGAACAGTCATATATCTTACATGCATGCATATATATGTGTGTATACATATATACACACAGGCAAACATATATGTACACACCTTTTTTCTGTTTGTTTCTGTTTTTCTCTTGCCAGTGACTGCAAGTATTTGTAGGAGAGGCTGAGTGTCCTTGCTCACATCAAGCTCAAGGGTGAGAGATGTTTTTGGAAACAGTCCTCATTCTGAATAACTCACCATGCGTCTCATTTATGAATTAGACTGAAGCCTTCTTTCTTTCATTTATTTATTTATTTATTTATTTATTTATTTATTTTTGAGACGGGGTTTCACTCTTGTTGCCCAGGCTGGAGTGCAGTGGCGTGATCTCGCCTCTCTGCAACCTCCGCCTCCTGGGTTCAAGCGATTCTCCTGCCTCAGCCTCCCGAGTAGCTGGGATTACAGGCCTGTGCCACCATGCCCGGCTAATTTTGTATTTTTAGTAGAGACGGGGTTTCTCCATGTTGGTCAGGCTGGGCACCTCAGGTGATCCGCCCACCTTGGCCTCCCAAAGTGCTGGGATTACAAGCGTGAGCCACCACGCCAGGCTGACTGAAGCCTTCTTAAACAGGCTTATGCTTTGCTTGGAACTCTCCTCAGCTACCCACCGGTTACTGCTGTATTTGCAGCCTTGCACGTGACAGATGGAAGCAGAAGTTTCCCCGTGGGCACTCAGGATGCTACTGGGTGCAGACATGCCACGTAGACTAAGACTCATTTCTCTGGACACCCTCTAACTGCCACGGGCAACTGTGACTCATGATGGAACTCCCACCAGCGAGGTGTAGACGTGTAGTAGAGTCGTCGTAGGCAGCTCCTGTAGCCACCTGTGCGGGGTACGTTGGAAGCTCTAAGATGACTAAGAATTGGCAAACTGGGACATGAAATCACAGTGATCTGGGAAAAGCGTCGACATGGATGATATCTGGTTTGTTTTCTGTACAGGGGGAGTGTGTTCTTGGAGTGAGACTAACTGAGAAGATCTTATCCAAGGCAGGGACCAGGCTCTGCCTCCCCGAAGAGCCCCTCAGTAAAGGCATCAGGATGAAGACTAGAAAAGTCTGTGCGTTTCTGCAGGGTTTAGTGCTGGGGGAGGAGCTAGGATTTGGGGGGAGGGGAGTGTCTTCTTAAGAAAAAAGTACAAAATCATGAATGCAAAATCATGAATGCAAAATTAAGTATGAGGGTGACTGCTTGTTTAGTATGAGAAAGAAATCACAACAGAACAAATCTTAAAAAACTGAAAATGTGGCAGAATCTCAAAAAATAACTTGATTTTTAATTTGTTGCCTGACACATCTGTTTTCCTGCATCTTTGGCTGCACAGGAAGGTAATTCAGTCATTCCTTTAGCCTGGGTCGTGGGAAGTGGTTGTTTATTCCTGATGGCTGGGTCCAGGAAATACCTGGCCTCACGCACTGTCCAGCTTCCCCTCTGCAGTCTGCACAAGGCTGCAGGCCCACGACGCTGCCCAGGCAAAGAGGCTTGGGGCTGGGATGCGGCCACGCAAGATGGGAGGTGGCCGCGGTGTAAACTTCCCCTGGCCAGGAAGAGCAAGAGTGCCGTAGTTCTGCCATTTTGGAAGCCCACATGGACACAGGGTCCCCAGGGCTCTGGAAGGGCCAGCGCAGGCCAGGGGCCCTGAGGCTTCACCTGCATGTAGCAATCCACCTCTGTTTAGGGCCCTGCCAACTATGATAATTGTCCTTGTTATGTGAGTAATTGATGCTTCTGTATTAATGGTTTTATTTTATTTTATTTTGATTAAAATCTCAGGGGAGCCTCAAATGCATTTCTTAAGAAATTATATAATGATTTCATTATGGAAGAATACGGACACCTTGACCATGTGCTTGGTTTAATTTGCAAAATTAAATTTTTGTTTTAAACTTTTGGTTATGAAAACATCCACCCTCTTGAACATATCTCCTTGAGTGAGATTAAAGTCCCAGTCCTTTGTTTTTTTAAGAGACTGGATCTGGCTCTGTCGTCCAGGCTGGAATGCAGCGGCACAATCATCGCTCACTGCAGCCTTGAACTCCTGTGCTCAAGGAATCCTCCCACATCAGCCTCCCATGTAGCTGGGACCGCAGATGTGTCCTACCACACTCAGCTAATTTTTAAATTTTGTTTTGTAGAGGCAGAGTCTTGCTGTATTGCCCAGGTTGGTCTCAAACTCCTGGCCTCAAGCCATTCTCCTTTCTTGGCCTCCCAAAATGTTGGGATTCTAGGCATGACCCACCATGCCTGGTAGATTTTAGGTTTCTTCTTCTCTGATAGGACATGTACATTTATGTTGGAAGCAGAGAACTCAAAGCATTGAATACGAGGAGGTACGCGATGGGTGTTGGGGGCAGCCCAGCATGCTTCCACCATTTCGAGAAAACTCTATTTCTTGATGTTTCTAACATGTGTGGCAGGGTTGTGGTCATTTGTTTCCCTGCTTTTCTTTGTTGAATGTGATGAATATGGTAAAAATAGGATTAAAGTGTTTGATGTCCCCTCCTTGAGCCCAGTGATAGAATTTATCCTTCAAAGATAAATTATGAACTTTTGACCTTAGGGAATATAAATATCCTTGGAGAGTTTAACGTTTTAAGAAGTCAATTATGGTTTTAATAAGCAAAGCTAAAATTTGCTTACCGTTGCCTAAGTATGGATTTAGTTTTAAAGGCTGCCCTCTCTCTCTCTTACACATGGTTTTAGGATCTCAATTTCTGCCTGAAAGTGATATTTCTTAAAAATTTTAAGGATAGTGAATCTTACAGATTTTAAGGATAGTGAATCAGCTTTTAAAGAAAAAAAGGCATTGCTCCTTTTTTTTTTTTTGACCTTTGGTCAAGCTTGAAATTTTAGTGAGTTATATAGATAATTGTGAAGTGTAGAATTTCTGGCTAGGGGCCTGTGAGTACCCAAAGAGGGTTGGGTTGCTTGTGTGCCGCGTCCTGCAGTGGGTCCTGCCCCCAGGTGCACCGCGAGCCTTTCCTTGCTGTGAACAGTGAGATTTTATGATCTCAGTCCATGGGTTTCTCTCAGCTGGAGCACACTGTTTCTCTCCACGTAGCAGCAGCACAAGTTCCTGTTTTGACATTGTGTCAGCTGGTCCTCCTCCCCAGCGGGGGCGCCCGTGAGCTCCTCTGATGCTTCTGGTTGGTCCCCCACTTAGTTATGTGCCTGTGACTGCGTGGACACTCCCTGCACGAGGGTTTCCTCTTCTCCTGTACCATAAGGTACTTCAACAAAAGGATCCCATTGCACAATGTTGCAACCATTACAAGACACAAACCTACTCAATTTTGATCTTAAGAATCAGTAATTTTTAACAGGTTTAAAAACCTGCTATTTAGTTAAATGCATTCAGAACAGTGGCTCATTTGGGGGTGTTTGTCATTTGTAAGTACGTGGTTTGGTGTAGGAAGATGGAATCCACCTGCTGGGCTCTAGGGGCTCCTGCTGGGGTACCTGCACCATGGGCAGAGCCCTCATTACATTTTCTGGCCATGGGACAGTCATTTGCCTGTTGGCTGCTCCACGACAATTTTGTTTTCTATCATCAGTCACAGGTATTTATTGAGCACGTGTTGTTTTGGATGCTGGGAACACAGTTTCAAACAAAACACGTTCCCATGGAAGTGGGTCGTGTCTCTAGTATGCACCCAAGGGCTCTGCAGCTTGTGGGATCCAGAGTCCGGAGTGGGCTGGGGGTCTGCTCCTGCAGTCCCGGCATGTTTCTGGGATTAGAAGAGCTATGCTATCTCTCCCCTGTAAAAGCGATTGGTAGCCTTGTTGTGAGCTTGCAGTTCAGATGGCACCATAGGACTGGCTAGCTGGGGCCTGGCTCTCCTGTGCCATCTGGGTGGCTACTTGCTGCATCGCTGATGGGGGCAGGTGAGTCTCCCCCTCCGCATAAGGAGTCACGGGCCGGGGGTTGGCGGGATGTGCGTCTGTGCCTGCAGGTGGGCAAGGAAGCCTGGGGAGAGAGTTGATGTCCGCGGATGGGAAGGGCCACGCTGGCCATTTCATTCTATACCTGGGCTACTAATGTTTATTCCATCTTGTTTATGGTTCTTTTAGCCAACTTCTTCCTTATTTAGTGACATTCATAACAAATCAATACAAATTAAAACCATAAACAAACCAATAGTTAAAACAACATACATTTATTCTCTCCCAGTGCTGGAGGCCAGAACCCTGAGATCAAGGTGTTGGCAAGGCCAGCCTCCCTCTGAAGGCTCCAGAGGAGAATCCTTCCTCCCCTCTTCCAGCTCCTGGTAGCTCCTGGCAGTCCTGGGTGTCCTTGGCTTGTGGTGCATCACACCAGTCTCTGCCTTCTCCGTGTGTCCTCTCCTCTGTTGTAAGGTCACCAGTCTTTGGACTTAGGACCCATCCTGATCTAGTATGACCTCACCCCAGCTTAACTAATTATATCTGCAAACACCCTATTTCCAAACAAAGTCACATTGTGAGGTTCTGGGAGGATATGAATTTTAGAGGACACTATTCAACCCATGAGAGATACCAAAGGACAAAATTACATTATGTCCTGTCATTTGTGCAGCAGCCTTTATTGAGGACTGGAGGTAGAGAAGTAACCCACTCTGAATCACAGATGTGCTCAGGATACTTTGTCAAGAAAACAGCCATTAATTTGGTTTGATAACCAATAGTTGTGGATAACCCATAGTTATCATTGATAATAAGCAACTCACAGAGTGTCCTCTTGACCATGTGGTGTTTTGACTTTGGCCATTGCTGGCCCCACAGTGACACACGAGCTGGCTGGTCCCAGCAGGGAGTCATCGCATCTACAGGCACTTACTCAGCAGCTGCAAGGAACCTATCACTTTACCAGGTGGGGAGGGTGGCACAAAAGAAAGGTCCCCAATTGCTTATCCTCAAGAAACTTGCACTGTTTTGATTCCATGGTACATGTTGAAGCAAACTGAGGTCAGTAAATAGGTGGACCATTTGTCATTCTGAATACATTTCCATGAAATTCGGCAGCTCATTAGCAAAATATTTCTTTTATTTGGTTTGGGCATATTGATTTGGATATCATCTTCAAACAAAATGGTAGCTGATGTCTGCTACATAGGGTCCAGCTTTTGTAGAATAAATATCAGCAGAGCTGTCGTTATTAGATTTGGTAATGACAGAGATGTGGGCAGTTCAGCAGTGAGCAGTGGTGACTTAAAGTGAGAGAGGGTTGGGTGAAGGGTACTAGCTGATTGTTGCTTGGATTTTATGGCCATAATGCATGGTGTTTCCATAGCTTATACTTATTCGTTTGAAGCAGATCTGTTCCTAATATCCGTG
This sequence comes from Homo sapiens, assembly GCF_000001405.40. Taxonomy (NCBI): domain Eukaryota; kingdom Metazoa; phylum Chordata; class Mammalia; order Primates; family Hominidae; genus Homo; species Homo sapiens. Next base: position 75,242,867 of record NC_000018.10, read on the forward strand.
GGTCCTGAGTCTTGAAATTCTTTGCTTTCCAATTCTGTCTTCCTCCACCCCTAGAGGGGCCTCCTAGTGAACATGTGTTGCTCTATCCTGCATGTCACTCTGCTGTCCCTGAGGTGCACACACTGGGGGTGCTGTGGTCATGCAGGAGAACAGCCCGGGGGATGGGGCCGGTGAGGTCTGGAGGCAGATCAGAGAGGTCCTGGGTGCAGATACCTGGAGCACAGCCTAGGATGCAGCTGGGGCATGGCTGGCACCTTTCTGTGGGGTTCTGAGGCCAGTCAGGGACAAGAGGGGTACTGCAGGCTTACCCGGGCTGGCCCATTTTAACTCTTCGTGGACTTTTGTATCACCCCTGGGTAAGGTTGTCATTCACACCGTAAAGTGGTGTAGCTCCGATGGTTTCCAGTTCATTCTTCCAACAGCCATTGTTGAGTGTCTGTCGTATCTGAGGCATTCTACTGGACATTTTGAGAAATGCAATGATGAGCGGGACGGATCTTGCCCTCAGTGAGCTTGCAAGTCTTGTTGGGGAAAAAGACGCGTGTGTATACCTCTCTTAATGAAGTGGAAAGTGATAGATGTTACGGGGGCATTCCAGATAACTTGTTATGGGGAGTCAAAACCCAGAAAGATACTGCTTGTCTGGGTGGGCTGAGGGGTGGGGAAGATGAGGAGATCAGGGGCTTTGTGGAGCAGCAGCTTGTGTGTGGTTTGAAGGATGAATCAATGTGGGTTTGTCATTGTAAGCAGCAGTTGGAAAAGGGTCTCCTCCTTGTGGCGTTTGTTTGTGGATTCAGTAGGACTAGCTGAGGAATGTTCAGATTTAGGAGAATGACAGGCACCATGTATTTTCACCTGTAACATCAATCTTTTGACTTAGCAACCCTAAATTAGCCTGAGAGTCCAACATTTTTTTATGTACTATGTGTGCATAGTCCTCCTTTGAGTTGAACTTGGATAGTTTTGCCTTTCCTCAACATTATTAATAGGGTCTTGGTACAGACTTTTCAGTTATAACACAACATGTACGTCCTGAAGGAACAGGGCTTATGGAAAAAATAGAGCTGGGGCCAGGCCGCTCAAACTCCATGTAGCTTGGAAACAGTATAAAAAAATACATGATACATTTCTAATACATAAAGCAATATTATGGTAAGTATGGGGTTTTATATTAGGAAAAAGCTTGTTGGAAGGGGATGAGGTTGCTTGACTAGCTAGATCGGAGCAGGAAGGAGCAAGTGGAAAGCAGGTTGAAGACAGCGTGGTGGAGCTGCACTGTCGGGGGAATAGGCATCGTGCTCGGAGTTCCGGGTTCCCTTGCACCCCAGAAAATTCTGAGGCTGGTGACCTTTGCTGTCGGTGGCCCTTCCACCCACGGTTGTGCCCCTTTTAACTCTTCCTGGACTTTTATATCACAACCGGGTAAGGTTGTTATTCACACCGTAAAGTGGTGTAGCTCCGATGGTTTCCGGTTCATTCTTGCAACAACCATTTTTGAGTGTCTGTCCTCTCCAAGGCATTCTACTGAACATTTTGAGAAATGCAATAATTTCTTAAATGCAATGATTTCTCAGTGATGTGGCGCATTCCTGTGCTGGAAAAAGCATGTGTGAACCCATGGGCTGTCACCTAGACTGATATGACAGTGGCCCCTGTTGGCTGGTGGAGGAGGCGCTGGCCTGGTTACAGAGCCTGCCTTCTGGCAGGTAGACCAGGCCGGCTTTCTCCAGTGCGGTTGGGCCGGAACCCCGGGATGGTGAGCCTTTCTTTGTGGTCGTTGCTCTGCCAATCTTGAGTCCGTCCTTGCTTTTTGCTGGCATAAAGCGCTTTGGGTATGCTGTGTTCTGCAGGCTCAGTGCAGCGTTGAGCTTCAGTGCCCCGTGTTTCCTGGGGGATGAGGTTCCCGGTGAGTCTCCCTGTTATGACTTGAGACAGTGGATAATAGTTACAAAAGGAGGCCTTGGTTTAGTGAGAGCTGGTTCAGGTGGCTGAAAAACACGACCGTTTGACCGAATTCCTTTCAAAGATTTATAATCCAGCCCTAAATATGTGAACGTTTGTCTCTTCTCTCTCTCCTCTCTTTCTCTCCACCTTCCCCCATCTCTCTCTCTTGTCTGTCTCTCCCTCCCTCTTTCTGCCCACATGCACCATCTTTCTCTGTCAACACTGAAGGAGAGAACTCTTTTAAAAGTTAATGAACGAGTTGCAGTGGAACCCTATTAGATTTTCCTTCCATTAAATGCCTGCTACAGACTTCTAGTGGATGTTTTAACTAGGCATTGTTATCAAAAGGACTATTGCACAAATTAAAACCAGGCCCACAATCTATGAAGAGAAACCGGATTGACTTTTTGCCTTCAGGTAAAAAAGAAAAATGCATGGAGGAGTTGAACTCCACATTGGTATTTTTAGAAGTTGGATGCGGGAAATAGCCAGTGCCACCTGAAGCTGTGGAAACAAACAGGAGCTTGGACTTTGCAGGCATACCTCTTTTTAAAGTGAAGACATTTTCAGGAACCCCTGGATTTTTAAGGGTATGTCAGTGTTAATTTTTAACTATGTAATTGGTATTTTAAATATCTTTTTAGTTTGTACGATGCTGCTGTGCGTGTCCCATTTTTAAACCTGTGGAGCTCTCTTAAAAGGAAAAGGTCAGGCTTTCCAGGTGCCCGCTGCACCAGACGTGGGCTGTCTCCTTGCAATCACCGCAAGAATGGAGAATTTTTAAAACTGCCAGATTTTTAGTTTCTTGTTTTGTTCTGATTGATTTTATTTTAGCAAATTTACCCCTTTGTCCCTGTAAAATTTGCTTAGTCAAATGACAGATTTTGTGTTTCACATCCGGGAAGTCGTTGTCTTATCCAGGCAGGTCCTGGAGTGTTCTTCTATTTCTCCATCCACAGCTTTGTGATAAAGTCACTGTCAGTTTCTATCATAAATTATTCATAATCATGGTGCTTAACAAAAGATGCCAAGTTCTCAATGGATGCCCACTCTATGTACCATAACAGAAAAAAAGTTGTGTTTTCTTGTACTAAGTGTTGTTCTGATTAGTCTTAGTGTTAAATCTTGGTTAGCACTTGGCTTTGACTTCCACAAATACAATGCTCTGAATCAAATAAGTGCCAGGGGAGCGGGCTTCCCCTCTCCCCCAGCAAACACCACCTCACCGCCCTTCCAGGCACGTCACCAGCACCGAAGCGCCTTTACCTTATCAGCGTGGATTCAACCAAGACCTGCGCTTCACGTTTTGCTTCTTGAAAGCCAACATTTTGAAAAGAAAGTCAAACAGAGCATTTGTTAGTTGGGCATTTCCTACGAAAGACCAGCTCCAGTTCTTTGGAAGGAAATTGGCCAGATGCATGCACTGTTCAGGGCTTGTCTTAGTGCTAAAATGTAGCTAACGTGTGTGGCAAAGGTGAGGAAGTCCTGTGAGCTTCATAGTGGGAAGCGTCTCTTCTCATCTCAGGGCAGTGGGGATGACGATGGGGGCCTTGGTTCTCTGTTCAACCTCTGATGGGGTGTTTTTGGTTTCTGGTGTGTGTGTGTGTGTGTGTGTGTGTGTGTGTGTGTGTGTGTCAGAGAGAAAGAGAGAGGTAGGTCATATCCCTGTATCAGGTCCATCAAAACACACCCCAGTGCAGAACTCTTGATCCCTTGATTGCCTGCAAGCTCACAGCACACAGTGATAAGTGAAATCTCTGAGAGTAGATTTAATTTTATGAGCTGTATTATCCAAGAATACTAAGCCGTGGAGATCATGCTCAAGTCATGGGGTTTAAAGGGGTGATGGCTTCAGTTCTCTGTGTGGGGGAAGAAAGCCTGTGGCCTTTTTTTGTTTTTAGGCACAAAGCTAGTTTAATTGAAAGAATAATTTGATTTGCTGCTGCTACAGCAGAAGAGCTTGAGATGTGGCAAATTTTCTCTCCTTTCACCCAAACTCAAGAATTTAATGCTAGCAGGTGAACTTCTGAAGGCTGCTATCAAGTAGACAGAGACAATAACTGTCTTAAAAGCAGAATTTTGTCAATATTTTTTGCTGTGGGCCAAAGAACATTCACAATAATGGAGTACTAAAGCCCTGCTTGAAAATGCTGTAGAGGGAGCGGGAGTGGAGGATTTATTCCAAGTTTGAGCCTGCAGTGTTTTGGTGGTATATATGATTTCTGAATAATCTTTTTGCTCGAGCAAATGGAGGCACCCAGATATAATTTTCTGTTCAGGAAGAGCATTTGGTAGGCATTGCTACCCAGGGTTGCTGAACTGGAAGTGCCCTAGGCTGTAGTTTCTTTTCAGTTGCCGCATCGACCCACCACCGACCGTACACCTTCACCAAATGCCAGTGTTTTCTGACAGATAAAACAGGAGGTGGAATGGCCAGGAGCAGGCCATGCGGTCAGGGCTGAGGCGGTGGGCCTGCTGCTGGGAGAGGTACCCCAGAGGGCCACACTGCTCCTGCCAGGGGGGGCTGTGCCTCTTCTCTCAGTGAGTGGAGTCCCTTTGCCCTTGGTTTTAAATATGCCATTTCACCATGCTTTTGTAGAAAGTTGGTTAAACAGCAAATTGCACAACCCACAAAATGTAATGGCCTTTATGACTTAAAACAGATGCTAGATTCAGTTGCGTGAATTGCCTTGCCCCTTAAGTTATCTTACTTTGAAAAGAACGATTCCCTGAAATTTCACTTTGGAAAACACTGTTTCCCTCATTCTGCTTATGAGAACTGGTGCCTACATTTTTAATGCTATTGCAGTAAAGCGATTTTCTGATATAGATAGAGGTGAAGCCATTTTTGTAATTTTTCCAGTGTTCTCCGTATTTGGTATAATTAGAAGGGAGAGACGGAGGAGCAGTCACACACTCATATGTGAGCACACACACACTCACCCACAGCAGAGAAGCACAGCTTTGTCCTTCTTTTGAAGTGTGAAAAATATCAGTGACCTTATCATTAAATATACTTGTTGCTGTATTTATTTGAAATGTTCAGACCTTACTTTTTTTTTTTTTTTACTTCCTGTTCATTTTAGTGGGAAAGGGTGATAGCAAAAGATTTTATTTATTCAGAGCCACAGTGCAGGCAAAGTGAAAGTAAATCCTAGGCTTCCGGTGCATTCAGAAACCACAGTAAGAAAGCACTGTTTTCTCAAATATAAAGATAAGCGCACTAGCCAAATAATTTTTTTGAGGAGGTTGGAACAATAGAAGCCATCTAGAACTATTATTTGAGGCTATATATGAAAAATATATGTGAGCTTACAAAAATGTTTCTCATACTGGAAACTGTATCCATCAGGCAGACAAGACTTTCATCATGTTTATAGACAGTGATAGCAATGTAGCTCTGTCATAATATCAGTGGCCTCAGTAATTGTATTCTACTTCAAGTATAAGGTTCTGATTCTGGCGCAAGTTAATAATTCTGTTTTTACTGAAGACTTTTTCCCTTCAGAAATATCATATGATGAAGTTGCCTGTGGAAGGTGATCGAAGTGTATTCACCCTCAGGTTCATCTGGAAAGTCCTAGACTGTGGCCCACATGTTTCCTTCACGCTCACCTTCGTGTGTATTTCAGGCATTACCTTGTGATTGTTTAGATACTCTTATCATTATACATAATCCAAGGGTTATTTATCGTAAGATAGACTGAGTAATGCTGAACTCACAAATATGGGGCTGAAAATGTAAACACATTTTTGTAAATCCAATTGACAGTTAATTGGCCCACATTAATGGAGAGTTGAAGTGAAAGAAAATAGAAAACCACAAATTTCTAAAAGAAATTTTTCCCCTCATTTGGAATCCATTTTATACGTTTATTGGAAGCTAATGTTTCAGTTAACTATGACATATAGATATACGTTTACTTGCCTAATTATACTTGCTGTTAACAATACATCATGTGTTTGCCTGTGCGTCCAGCTTTGCGAGTGTGATGGTTTAATTACCCTCTGTGGTGTCTGCACGCTCTGCTAAGTCTTGTGTGGGGGAACGGTTAGAAATAGCCGCAGAGGCAAGGATTTAGAAGCTGGTGTGCCGTGAAGCCATAGGGTCACCCACCAGCAGCAGTACCAGGCGAGCCACCTCCGCGTGGGAGGAGGCCCAGGTGTCTGCTTCCTAACGCGGGGCCTGAGCCGGGCACCCTGGGGTGGAGAGGCTTGGATGGGAGCCCCAGATCTGGGCCACTGTGGTCCCTGGGCTACTGGGGGAAAGCCAGGTCCTTCACCGCCCTCCTGCCTACCCGGGGCTCTGGGCTCCAGGCCGTGGCTGCTCTCTGTCCCTTGTCCCTGCGGCCACCCAGGCCCCACCTGCTACCCGGGCAGGCTGCTCAGACACACATCCTTCCTAGTGGTCTTCCTGCAACTCCTCTGGTGGAGACCCCGGAGCCACACGGGTTGAGAGCCCTGGGTGCCTCGCCTGCCCCCACGGGGTCCTGGGGAGAGGATCATGCCCTGTGGCTCTGCATCGCTCTCACCCCTGTGGCGGGTGGGGGCAGCTGGCCTTCTCCCTGCCCTACCCCTGCAGTAGGTGGCGCAGGGTGCAGGCGGGTGGGTGGGGGGAACAGATGACTTCCTCCTCATCTAACTCCTGCAGTGGATGGGGGTGGCTTTGGTAGGGGGGAAGGGTAGGTAACTTCCTTCTCATCTCACCCCTGAAGTAGGTAGGGGCAGGTGACCTCCTCGCCATCTCACCCCTATAGTAGGTGGGGGATGCATGACCTCCTCCCTACCTCACCCCTGCAGTAGGTGTGTTGTGTGGGGGTGACTTCCTCCTCCTCAACTCACCCATGCAGTAGGTGGGGGACGTATGACCTCCTCCCTGCCTCACTCCTGCAGTAGGTAGGGGTGAGGGTATGACTTCCTCCTCCTCACCTCACCCCTGCAGTAGGTGGGGGGAGGTTACTTCCTCCTCCCTGCCTCACACCTGCAGTAGGTGGGGGTATGACTTCCTCCTCCTCACCTCACCCCTGTAGTAGGCGGGGCGGGGGTGACTTCCTCCTCCCTGCCTCACCCCTGCAGTTGGTGGGAGGTGCATGACCTCCCCATCTCACCCCTGCAGTAGGTGGGAGGGTTGACTTCCTCTTCCTCGTCTCACCCCTCCAGTTGGTGGGGGGCGCATGACCTCCTCATCTCACCCCTGCAGTAGGTGGAGGACGCATGACTTCCTGCCTTCCTCCTGCAGTAGGTGGGGGGTGGGGGTGACTTCCTCCTTCTTGCCTCATCCCTGCAGTTGGTGGGGGACGCATGACCTCCCCGTCTGACCCCTGCAGTAGGTGGGGGGTGACTTCCTCCTCCCCCTCTCACCCCTCCAGTAGGTGGGGGGGTGACCTCCCCATCTCACCCCTGCTGTAGGTGAGTGGGGTGACCTCCTGGCTGGCCCTGCCAGGCTCTTCCCTGTCCCCAGTCGCAAGGGTACTCTCCCAGCCTCCACGCTCCACGCCCACACCCTCGCCCCACTTGCCCAGCCCCGGCAGGAGCTTCTCCCCGCAGAGTCCCCAGTGTTTTCTAGAAGCTTTGCCTCCCCCTGTGGGCTCTCCCTTCCGTCCCGCTCTGTAGCTGGCAGGCGGCCTGTCCTCCCTGCAGCAAGGGGCCAGGGTGGGCGCAAGCCCTCCTGCCCTCCCCGCGTGGACGTGGACGGGGCGGTGCGGGCTGGCCCAGGGTCCGGGGTGCCTGCAGCGTGCTGGGCCAGCCAGGCGGTAGAGGGTCGGCTCAGCCAGTGCCCATGGCAGCACCTGCATGAGGTCCCCGCTTCCTGGAAACTGAGCCCGGGAACGGCCTTGGCCCGGGGAAAGCAGGGCTGAGTGCATCTCCCCTCTGAGAGCATGAGGTGCTAGCAGAGCTCGTGGGCCGGGCCTTTACCGTCCGGATGGGTCTGGGATGAAGGCCACAGGTCACCCAGAGCGGGACTGGGTCAACAGTGGCTTGATGTCCTGGCACAGACGAGGGTCCAGGATGGATTCGATTCCTTCGGTGCCTGTGGGAGGGCGGAGGCCTGGCCGCAGTTCTGCAGCCGACGAAGGGTGGTCTGAAGACCCCCGACACCTATTTCAGTGCCTGTGCCCTCAAGATGTACCAGCCCCGGGCGTGTTTGCGGGGACATGCCTCTTTGCAATGAGTGTAGTAGTTAACCCCATGCACAGGAGTTATTTAGACCACACTCTCCTATTTTTGTAGGATCTTTTAAAAAATTACTTTGCTTTTGTCAGTGTGTTCTTCTATTTCTTTTTACTGGTAAAGTCAATTACTGAAGAAAAATAATTTCGAACTAGAAATTATCTTTTTAGTTTGAAATAAAATTATGTGCAAGGAGCTTCTAAATTATCTAATATTTTTTCCTCTTTGCAAAAGTGTTAATATTATATGGAAAAATTGGAAAAACACAGAAAAATAAACAAACCAAAAAAAGCATTATTCAAGATCCTCCTACCCCAATGTAGCTTACTGTGAACATTCTTATCTGAATTCTTTCAGGGTCTTTTTCTTTCTTGTTTTTTTTTTGCTCTACAGATATTTTTCAAACAAAGATGGGAGGATGGTAGTATTTATTGGCTTGCTTTTTCACTCACTAAATGGTGAACAGCTTTTTACACAATTCTTTATACATTTTCATTATTCTTTCTTTAGGGTTTTTTTTTTTTTTTGACATTGCTTGGTCAAGCTTTGGCACCTACTGCAAACCTGTTTTCAAAATATATCCATCTATCTTTCCATTTCTAGTGCATGAAAACGATCATATTCCTGGGCCGTTGCCAGCATGGGTATTTTTTAATTTGACAATCTTTGCCAGTTTAGTAACTGTGAAGTAGTGTTGTTTCAGCTTGCATTTCTTGGATTACACGTGAGGGGGGAGCAATTTTTCCATATGTTTTATGAGACAAAGGTATTTTTTCCTTTTTGAATTATTTTCGGTCATGTTATTTGCTAATTTTTCTGTTGCTTTGTTCCATCATCTTACTCATTTGGAAAAGCTGGAATAAAGGTGTTAACTCATCGCTTTAGCATCTCTATACTTGCAGTCCCCACCTTCTGTTGTCTTTTAAGATTATGCAAGTGATACAGGCTTATTTTAGAAAAACTTGAACAAAGAAAAAAATTTAAAAATTAATGAAACTTATTTGAAATCCCATCATCCAGAAATTACCAAAATTGATATTTGGGTATATATTCTTCTGGATCACTTCCTATGCAGATCTATTAATGTCTGTCTGTCTATCTATATTTATCTCTGTCTCTGTATCTATTTATCTATCTTTGTCATTTTCAGTGCATGTATAGTATCCCATTTTGTTGTTATGCACAAATTACTGGAGAAATCAACCATTGTTGGAAGTGTGGTTTTCTCCCACTTTCATATTATAAACAGCTGTGTAATTAATATCTTTGTATGTATATCTTGGCCATAGTCTCATCATTTCCTTGATAAATTCCCACAAGTAAAATTACCAGGTCAAAGGTTTTGGATGTTTTAAATTATTTTGTTGCGTGTACTGCCAACTGGCCTTCTGGGAAGGTCGTGCACATTTTCAGTCCCACCAGTGACATGCATTTCTCTGGGTTATGGCATTTTTTGATATATTGAGTTGTTTTTATGTAGTTTAGTTGGTCCTTTCTTGCATAGTTTCTGCTTTTAAAGTGATGTTTAAAGGTGCCTTCCAATTCTCAAGATTATGTAAATATTCAGTTTTATTTTTATGAATTGATTGTTTTATGTTTAAGTATTTGATACATCTAAAATTAATTTTGGTATATGGTGTGGGAAGGGCATCTCACCTTATTATTTTTCTAAATGCCATTTATTTAAAAATCTGTTTTTCCTAATTGGAATTCTAAATGCTAACTTCATTGTACACCAAGAATATAGATATATGTATATATGTATATATTTGCGATTGTCTTTCAAATTCCATTTTGATTTCAATGAACAATCTGCCTCTGTTCCTGCCCTGTGTCCCCTTGTTTTAAGTACTATATCTATAAAATACAATTTAAATAATATAGCTTTCTACCCACCCCCTGTGCCCATTACTTTCCTTTTTTCAATGAATACTTTTTTCTGTTCTCCTAAAGAAACTTTAGAATCATTTTTGTCACACCTTGGGTAATTTGACTGAAATGGTATTTAATAAGTTAATTCTGGAATACTCAGCATCTTTATAGTGGTAAATTTTCCATTCTAAAAACAACTTTGGTATATTTTCAAGTTTATTCAAATCTTATTTGCTACTATTAAGTTTTGTGAGTTTTTTCAGAGGTAATCGCCTAGGTTATTTATTTATCTGTTTTTGTGATTTTCTCCTTTGTGAATGGACTTTTCTGTTATATTTTAACTGGTTGTGTATTGAGATGCTGTTGATTTTGGGAATCTTTCTGATTAGCTGTTTGTATTAGCAGATGCTGTTGTTTGCCTTTGTATGTGGTAGCTAGATTTCAGTACTAGATTTTAGTACTTTTTTATCATGACCTTCTCTTGTGGCTTTTCTATTTTGAGAAAATACTATAACTCTTCAACATTGCTGAATCAATGGGGAGTGTTTGGATTTTTAAAAAATCAAATATCAGTTGACAATGATGCCTTAACGCATCTTCTGCAAATAAATAATCAATGGTTAAAATCAGCCCAGGCTGCAGCAGCATGGGAACTCCCGCTCTTCAGCGGAGGTTTGGGAAGCAGAAATTTTACTTGGGTAGTGTAGAATCAGTGAGATACTGGGATTATTTACCCTGGAAAAGGAAACCATCTTCAGGTCTGTGAAGGCTGACTGTTTAAAAAGTGAAATCTTTTCAGAGTGAATTGGCAGGAAAAGGGGCTTAAACACAATGAAATAGTGAAAGCAACTATATGTGCAAGTAAAAATTGCCCACTGGATAGATGGCTTAGGCATGAGGGAAAGGACCTGATTTTTTAAAAGGTGTGTTAATAATGAAATCTTCCTAATTTTCTCACAGTCTTCAGTTTTAGGGAAGGCCTTTTGCAGATATTGTTCAGATGTGCTGCTTTATAAAATACCCACCAGTTTTTCAGATCAGTGTTATCTGGTAGTGGTGAGAGAATCTTTAAAAACATATAAAATCATATGGGTTTGTATTTGCCACTGCACAGGCCTAATTCCTGTTGCGTAATCTCCAGATCCTTTAGCCCCTGGCCTGGGCCTGGCGTAGCATTGACTGCAGTATTCCTGTGTTTGGGGTAGTTTTTCATGGTCGTCTTTAAGCTAATGTAAAATATTTTCCCCTTTTTCATGCTTCTGTTTGGTTTTAAAAATGAAAATTAAATCTTGGCTTGCTATTCGAGTACACTGTGATTTAGAAGTTAAAGCAAGGAATTGACAGTCATGTTTTTGCTCAGTTTTAATAAATGTGTCTCTTAGAGCCACCCATTTCTTCTCTGTTAAAAGGGAATACTACTGCTTTATGGGACTACAGGATGCTTTAATATGATAATACATAAATAAGGATTTGAGACATTAACAGAAAATATCTTTTTGAAACATAGTAAAACCTCGTCTATGCAGAAACCTATTAATTACCATCTTTATTTTTCTAGATCAGAACTAAGAATCAGAAGGGATAAAAAGACACTGAGCATGAAAAGTCCATGTACTGAATTCATTATTTACTCATAGACAATATCTCCAGGTTGTCAATCATTATTTAAATTTTATTGTTCTGTTACACACAGTTCTGATATTCACGAGTATCTTCTAGGCTACAGCAAATTAAAAGTAGTAAATTGGGAGTGGGAAAAGACACACAGATAACAGGGAGAAATGATAGCAGATGACCTAATAGTAAGCAAGAAGAGAAGGAAAAAAACTATAGCAAAATAATAAATAATATGAAAAGCACAGCACTGTGGGCCTTTTCTTAGAAATGGAATAGCTCTTTGCCCTTTCTGGTTATCACTGATCGCTCACAGGTTTTATTTCTAGTTGTTAGAGAACTTTAATTTTATTCAGCATGCTTTAAATAGTGTGGCAAAAGCATGTAGATTTTATGTAGATTTTTCCAGTGCTTAAACATTTTTATAAAATTCTGTTTAAAAGGGTAAACTCCCAATTATCCAGAAAACCCAGCCTCCAAAAATGACTCCCCAGAATAGTTGTGATTTTACTTCATGATATACTTTCAATAATTGATAGTATAAATTCTTTAAGTATTTTATGGACACATTTTTTGCATATAGTCTCTCGATGATGAAACACACCTTCTGTATCTGTTTTAATGTATGTATCCTTTGAATTGAATTTGCTGGAAAAAATTTGGTTCTGTTCCTCTGACATGTATATTTCCTTTCTTCCTCCTCTACCATCTGGGATGCTTTCTCTAATATCGCATTTGGAAGAGGATGACGCTCACTGTGTTGTTTCAGCATATGTGGGTCTGGTTGAATTCACGTCTGCCTGTTCACCTCTAGTTTTTCATTTTCACACCTCCATGGAGGTGGTATGCTGCTCTTCCATGCCTGGTAGAGCTGTAGGAAATGTTACTTAAATGTGTGAATGTGACCACCAGGGTACATTTATCTCAATAGGAAACAAATATGCTAAATACAGGTAACATGCTATTTATACTTACAGGTAATAACTTATATCTTCTAACCAATCATTTTCCCCCTAACATAGCTGGGGATATTTTACAAGCCAATTGTCGCATTAAAAACTGTAACTCTTTGATTTTATATGTGATACAATATCTAATAATACTCCCAGGAAAATGCCAGTTGTATTTTTTAGTACCTGTGTGATTTTCTTGATTGCTAAAATATACGTATGTAGATTGAACATAAATGAAAAAATTGAAGTCCGGGTTTGAAGATTTCTAGGAAATTACTTTTCATTGAACACAGCTGCCCAAATTGTTTGATTTCTGTTAAACACAATGGAATTGTTCCAGTGATGCTGCAGTTACAAAAACAAAAGATAACAAATAGACCACGTTTCTGCATGTGTATTTTACTTCTTGTACTCAGGAAGAGACTGAGCTAATGAAGAAATTAACATTTGTACTTATGTCCTAGAAGAATGTCATCAGAACTATTTATTGCTCACTAAAGAAATTAAATTACTTAATGAAGGTGAATTATTAACTTAATTTATTAGGAATTTAATTTCGGAGCTATTTTCATAGGGATATTGGCCAAGGCAAGAATGATAACACTTTAATGCATAAAGACACTCAAATGACTTTAAATAGGCAACTAAAACTATTTCAGTGGAAACAGATATTTCTGTGCTTTAAATAACAATTTTTCAAAGAAGATCTATTATCAATGTAACTATGCAATCATAAGGAGTATGACTTCTTTAAGATGAATTAATTTTCAACGGTAGTATTGCTTATCATTGACAGGCATTGTATCATTACTTTATAAATTAGGTTCCATTTCTAAAATAATTGCAAAGCAGTTTTTGGTAGCAGGGGAGCTGTTCATTGTTAATTTTCAGTCATTGAAGCCCAGAAATCAGACAGATCAAAGTGTTCTAGGTCTGGTCATAGCAGATCAGCTGGGTCACAGAGGTTTCTGAACCACATGACCCATGGTAGAGGGGTGTGTATAGTTATTCTGAAGCCTAAACTGAGTCTACTTCCCCTGGCCTAAATAAGATATGATATCATTGCCTTTACTGGATAGTTCCACCTTCTCCTATTAAAAATGCCACAAAATGGAGAGGGAAGAGATTTCTTAATATCTATGTGTTAGTGATCATAGTGAAAGCCAGAACTGGCAATTCCCTGGAATTTTCTATAAATATCTTCATATAAACATCATTATAGTGATTCATGAATTAGATGAAAGAAATGTGGGGAAAAATCTCATTTCTTCTTTAAATTGTTGTTTCTGTTTGAAATTTTTAGTGATTTTAGTAATTTTCATGAGTATATGCAATATGAAGTTTTTGGGTAATTCCTGAAGCAACATGTGTTATGTAGATACCAAAACATCTCGATGATGTGCATTTTACCTGTTCCACACCCGAATACAACCTCGGATAGTTAGGTAGCTGGAGGTTTGATGCTTGGAATTAAGATTATGTTTTAATCTTTAAGTTTTGGTATTTCAGATGAAGTATTTTTACTTATGATACACTTATGGGGAAATGCTGCTCTTTTTAAAATATTCAGATAACTTGATTGTATTGCCTGTTTATCAAAAAAGAGTGGTGATGTGCATTTGTTGCTTCAAAGATGTATGTGAAACACCCTACTCTATCTGCATCGCTGATGAAAGGGGCCCATACTTCTATTGGTTGCAGTTTTAAAGAAGACAGTTGAAGAGCTTTATCAAATTGACCTTCAATTGGGGGATCATTAATGAACTAACCTCCTTCATTGAGAGATTATTCAAGGCCCCGAGTAGCATGTGATTTCCCTTGTTTTGCGGTAATTCATTTGAAACATTTACCAAAAACCTTAATGTATACAGAAGATGCTAAACTTTTTTAAAGGGCTGGGTCCTTTTTATTGCTGTTGTAAGCCATGCCTCTTCTCATCGTGTGCCAAAACAAAAAACAAAAAACCCACACATAATTCTGCCCATGTTTCAGAATCTTGGCTAGGACAAGGCAGAGAAAGTGAGAGTTTAACCAATTAATAAGAGCAAGTGCTTGAACTAATACAACTTTCTGTGAGAAAATGTTTTTAAGGATTATTGATTATCTGAGGATATTTTGTAAGTTACTAATTTAGGAAATTTTTCATTTTTTAAAAATTTAGTCTTCAGTTACTTTAGGAAACTTAGTGTTCGTAGACAGAAAAAAAAAAAGGCTGGTGTCTGCAGATGAACTAAGGAACGGCTTTGCTTTTGCCTCTGGGATCTCTCTGATTTGGTATTCCTGATGAGGAAGCATCAGGCCAGAATGTTTGTACGCGCCCTTCCTCCTCCTCATGGATTCAAACGCCAGTCGTCACGTTAGTCATGTTGCACATGTTCCCGTGGTAACAGAAGCTCTGCCATCCCCTAGCTCTGTGAGCTTGGGTGCCTCATCTGCCTCAGTTTCTTTGTAAAATGATAGAGCTGTTGTGTGAAGTACATGATAGGAGGGCTGCACGCTTAGAACCGGGGCTGCACACGGGGCTGTGGACGTCACAGCCTCGTCATCAGAGGGGGCATCTGGACTCCTAGCAGAGCGGGAAGAGAGGAATTCCCGGCCTGTGGAGCAGTGCTCCTGGAGGCGGCCTCGACCTGCTCCTAGGACCCATCTGCCGGCTGCTGCTCCTCTGTCTGGGAGACTCTCTCACCTGAGCGTGACTCGGTGTCTGCAGCGTCACTGCAGTGTGTGAAGGCCAGTACAGGGACCCTTCCTCTGTGCTCCTCCACAGCCACCATGCGGGTTTTGTTGGATGTGTTGATGGAGTGCACGTGGTACCCACTGTCAGGGTGCTCTCTGCAAGTGCCGCACCCCCAAGCGACATTTATTTTGTACTGAAATAACATCTCTAGTGTCTACTATATGAGCTTGTATCTCATATGCTCCCATATATACTTGTTTCACACTTAAAATCTCACATGTAGTAACGGTTGCTTTCAATAAGTACACATGGGCATGATTTCCTGTAAAGGTTAGATAGCTTCTTTGTAAAGTTGCAAGTATTTGTGTACTTTATAAATGCAAGAAACTAAGCTTTACAGGCCTCATTTAAGAAAAATAAAGATTTCTTTATTTGGGAAAAAGGGAAATTTTTTTCTCCTAGAGAATGACTTTCTGTAATAAATATATTTTCCATGGTGATACAGTATATAAATGTGTGTGTCAGTGTGTCAGAAACATACTAGACTTTACTAAGGTGAGGTTGTCAACTTTTCTATTCTATTTTATTAAAAGGATGCTACAGAACTGATTTCATGATCCACTAGTGACTTATGGCCCTCAGTGAGAAAAATGCCATCCTAGAGTAGCCATCCAGGACTGCCCTCCTCACTCGAGCTCACAGTGAAGATCAGGGCAGGTGACTGTGCCATCCACTGATGGATGACGATGATGGCAGTGGTGATGTTATTGCCAGCTGCCATTTACTCACATGTTCTTAACTTGCTATTAAAAAAATTATAAAAACAGATACTTAAAAATAGTAATACAAAGTTATAAAGCATTGACATTTTATAAGAAAAGGTCAAAGAAGGTCACTCATCTTTTGCCCTTTGTCCATTTCACTTTCCTCCTCCCCTCAAGGTAACCAATAGGAGCCGCCTGTTTCTGTTTTCCTCACCTTTCTATGTGCCCACATAGGTCTATGAAAACGTATGAATGTGTGTGGGGTTTTCTTTATTTTCTAAAAAATGGAATTCATTGCAGCACAGTTTTGATTTTTGCACTTAAAAATAAGTCGCGATCATTGCTCCAGAGAGAGATTTCACTCAGTCTCTTTCATGCTGCAGACTCTCCAAGGTGTGGCCGGCCCATGTGAGTGGCCATTGCAGTAGCTGCCCCGCTTATCCTCAGTTTTGCTTTCTACGATTTTACTCACCCACAGGCAGTCAACCATTGTCCAAAAATATTAAACAGAAAATTACAGAAATAAATGCATAAGTTTTAAGTTGTGTGCCATTCTGAGTAGTGTGATGAAATCTTGTACAGTCCTACACGGTCCCTCCTAGGACACAAATCACCCCTTTGCCCGGCATATCCAGACTGTAGATGCCACTTGCCCCGGTTAGTCACTTAGTAACTGTCTTGGTTATCAAATCAACAGATCACAGAAGAAGAAGGGTGAGTACAGTGTGATAGTTTGAGAAAGAGACCCCATTCACAAAACTTTTATTACAGTACATAGTTATGATTGTCCTATTTTATTATAATTGTTAATCTCTTACTGTGGCAAATTTATAAATTAAATTTTATAATGGGTATGTACGTATAGAAGAAAAAACAGTATGTATAATGTATCCCCTGCAACTAAGGGGATACATTACCTTATTGGCAAATGTTCAGGCTGTGGATCACCCTAAACAATGCTGCTGGGTATTTACCTATGGGTGCTTTTATTTCCAAGGATATAAAAGTAGGATATCCTGGCGTCAAAGAGTATGCGTACTTTTAATTGCCAGATTGCTTCTGGAAGGGAACCCCTCTGGATAGATAACGGCAACTTCCACTTCTTGAGTGTGTGTGATGTCCCAGCTCCATGCAGCCCTTTGTACTGATGCCTTTCAGGTCTCAAGTCAGCTCTGTGCTTCATAGCAGCTATCGGCCCATGATTCAGCCGTTCTTTTCCTAACCTTGTGAATTAGTAAATGAATAAATGAACGAATGCACGAATGAGGGCAGGCCTGGCCCCGGAGGGGTTCTTTCTGTGCCCCAGGCCAGCCTCTTAGCCTGCGGCTTCTCGTGTTTCCCTGGCCTTCAGTCACTAACGTGTGAATTCATTTCAATAGCAAATATTTATTTTTATCTTCCTGGACAAAAGAAAAATATCTCCCGCTTTTGCATTTTCCCCAGCATTCAGCCTATACTCTAGGATATTGCTTACGGCATTTTGTTGTGTATTAAAATGGGTTGAAGGTTTCCTTTTTTCACATCCTACCTTTAAGTTCTATGAAGACAAAGACAGTCTTCATCTTGTATTCCCCGCAGAAGTAGTCTGGTGCCAAGTAGCAGAAGCTCAGTAAATGGTTTTGGAATATGCAGAAGAGCACCAGCAGAATCTCTGTCTGTGTCTGTGAACGAAGTCATCTTTTCCTTCTATTTTGTTATAGCCCAGTATTGTGCATAAAGTTCAGGCTGTCTGTCCTGCACTAGAGAGACACAGGCAGCTGCTGGCTGATCTTCAAAAAGGTGTGCAGAGGGCAGAGTTGGGGAGGTGAGGGGAGGACCACTGCCCCGGCCTTTTCACTGGGAGTTTCCTGGATGCTCCTCAGTTTTGCCTTTGTGACTCCTTCAGTCAACATTGATGTGAAACACGCCCTGGTTGAATGCCCAGGCATCAGACCCAAGCTTATGGCCGTGGTGGTGATATACCAGGGAAGCCTTACCTCTCCAAGTTCGAGGCACCCACAGGTGGCTTGACTTCAGGTGCTCTCTTAGTTTTATACCTACTCTCTTTACAGGAGCTCTAATGTCAAAGGAAAATGGATGGACATTTCTCAATCCATGGGACGCGCGTCCCTTTTTCCTGGCTGTGGATCTCGGCCAGGAGGAGCATGGTGGGGTGTATGGGCTTCCCCCGGGAGTGAAACTGTATCACTTCCGCTCACGTTTCATTGGCCACATCTCCTCCCACGGAGACAGAGAAGTCCAGTTCCGCGATGTACCCGGAGGAGCAGGACCTGAGTGTTGACAAACAACTCTAAGGACTACTACCCCGCCAAGTAGGAAAAGGAAAGGAGAGATGGGAAAGGGTGGAGGATTTGGGACAGTAGGTAAGAGAACTGTATCTCTTAAGAGACTTGCTGTCTAACTCTGCCATAGAGACCTTCCAAAAATGCTTTGACTCATGACAACATCATTGTAACACATTTATGGCCTTCCCAGGGTGATTCTTTTGAAGGACAACAGTCACCTCTTTACAGAAAGACATTCTCTAAAGAATGTCAGGAGTCTTGTCAGCTCATACTGGCACCTTTGATACATGGCCTGACCCATGCACTACGACCATCAGCTCAACCTTGGATGAGACGACCAGAGGTGAGAAAGCCTCAGTCCCTCAGCACAGCCACAGAGCAAGAGGGTGGCCATTGCTTCCAGCAGGGGCTGCTGCCCAGATTGACATGTGCACAGCCTGTGAGTTCGGTGTGGCTTTCTTCAAGGCTTCTGGTTCTATCTTGTTTACAACGTAATTTCTCATTTCATAGTTACATAGTGTATTCAGTTCTTAAATGACTGATAAGAGGAAGTCACAGTGCACTTCTAAGAGCTGCTGTCATCATTTGAATGCTGTAGGACCTTTGGCTGAAATGAAAAGACTTGCTATTGGGTATTTGAAATCAAATGAGAGTTTTGACGTCGGGGGTGCGTGTTAATTTCCATATAGGATAACCTTACAAATCAACTTAAAGTGTAATGAACAAGCAAATAAGTAGCTACAACTCATATGGCGTTTGGCCATGATTCAAGCCAAACCCTTGAGGCTTTTGGTGTTGAGAAGGAAGAGTTGGAGGAGTGACCTGTATTCTCTCCAGGAGACAGGGGTTGTGCCTGGTGTGACTTCAGAGTGCAGGGGGAAGCTGCTGGTTTCGATGAGATGGTGGCCTGAAAAAGCTGACAGACTCTCAGAGCCAGTTGAGAGATGCAAAACTGGTCTCTGAGGCTTTCCTTTTTAGGAAGAAATTTACACTGAAATAAGAGCTTGGTGAAGCAAAACTCCTGATTTCTCAGAAAGCATTTATTTTGCTCCAATAGGTTACCAGAAGATTGTGATCACTATAGACCTTAAGGAGCTGCCTTCCCCTTTAGTGATACTATAAAAAATACAAAACAAACAAACAAAAGACCATGGCAGGAATGATGAAGTAAGGTACTGTGTTGTACTACATGACACTGAGTCATATTAAAGATAATTGTATATGCTTTTCTATATTTTTTCTTTTATTTATTCAACAAATATTCACCAAGTGTGTGCCAAGCATTGTTACAGGTGCTACCCAGACTATAGCCTATATAGACACGGAGAGTGTGGCTTACAGGCTTATGATATGAATGTAAATCGTCAATTGGCCTCTTGGCTAGGACCATCAGGTTTGTTCTTTTAAACCTGAGAAAATAGTATTTATTCTCTATAAAATACGCTTGCATTAAGCATATATCTGGCCTCAAGAGTGGTCCTGTTATAACAAAAGCAAATGCAACGTTCACTCTGGGATGGCAGCAGGGCACTTCTCTGTTTCCAAGTGCCACACAGTCTCTGGTGGCCATGCCTCCCCTTATGTAGTTCCTCTTCTCAGCGTCTTTCCTCTTCCTGTGCCTTTTGAAATCTGTTTAGATTCAGGGAGGCTCCATTCTTCTCCTTGAGAAGCATTACCACCCTCTCTTCCATCTGTGCCCTGTACATGGCATTGTGCTTCTGACCTTCGAGGGGCTCAGAGAACATTTTCAGGTCACAGTGGTTTTTAGAGATCATCTGCTCCAACCCTGCCATTTTCATTGATGAGGACACAGAGACTTAGGCTAGATTATGGACCCTCTTCAAGTTTCCCAGCAGTGTCGTATGATTAAGACAAGAGGCCGGTTTTCTGGGTAACAGTCCAGAGCTCTTTCTCTTAAGCCATGCTGCCTCCACAGTCAATGTGTTGTGCGTCAGGAAGCTTCATACTATTCAGTATGCAGGTTCGTTAAATATTTGATTAAACATGTTACTTGTGGTCATATCTTTTTTTAAAAAAATTCAGGGCATGAAATCATCTGGAATGTAATCTAGCAAGCTAAGATTATTTCTAGGGTGAAACCAAATTCAACTTTTATCGCTTTGACTTATGACACCTTTTTGAGGACCGTGAAGTGCTAGGTCTACCTGCACTTCCATTTACATCACTACCATTTAAATAATGTCTCCTTTGTTCTTTCTCAGTCTCGTAGAGACATACTCCCATTTGTTTTGTGTTAAATATCGGTATAAATAAGTTATCAATAATCAATATATTCTCTGACACCTTGTTGTATATTTTATAAATCCCTTTTCTTGCAAGTGAATGTTAGCATTCCTAACTCTTAACATAATTAAATTATGTACTTATCAGTTAAGGAACTGGTTTGCTTTAGTGATGGTGCCAAGAGACAGTAACCATGTTCAATATGTCTATGTTTCTTATTTCATCTTGGGATTAAACCACAGAGATGGTATTTTTTGTTTGTTATGTTGTTTGTATCAACATTTCATACAGATACAATAATTCAGTGTGAAGGAAAATCAGTGTTTTCTTGAGCTGATTTACATATGGATGTCAGATCCAGTTATGCTATTTTTATAGTATTGAGGAAAACAAAATGACCTTTTACTAAGTTTTTGATACTGGAAGATTCTGTGTTTTGAGTTTGGAGGGGAGGAAGCTGCAGAGGAAAAGGAAAGAAGCAACTGTTGATTTATACCATGATGCTAGCAACAGTCAGGCATCTAAGATGCTTTTCAGCTATAATTGTGTCTTTGCTCAAGGCTACTGTAGTTATACTACATTCTATTCCATTGTCCATCAATTCCACCCATTTCAAGGAGCTGAAGCTGATGCTAACCATAGAATAGTCCAGAATATCCTTTATGTTTTTTCTCTTTGCTATAAATGCAGCGTTATTTTATAGACTGGAGATACTGCTTCATAAGATCACATAGTGCCACTCATTTATAAGATGATAGTACAATAATCAGAAGTATGTGTTAAAAATATATTTAGCTGGCTGTCCTCTTTAAGTCCCTGCTTTTTGATATGATTATTTTTCCAAAAAGAAATTGAAAACAATATGTCATCCAGTAAATATGTTCGTGGATAGCATATATCTGAAATGGATAGTTTACCCTTAACGGGAATAGTAAAATACACTACAGAAGCTTTCAGCTGGCTTCTATCAAAATAATTACTTTAGCAATTATCTCTGCCGTTCAGATAACTTTTGCATGCGGGTGGTGTTTCTGTGCCTTTCTGTTCATCAACCTCATGCTTAGCGTTCTCCCAGGAACTATTACACTGACAGATTTTTTTTTTTTTTTTTTTAAGTGTAGGAGAAGGAGAAGAAAGGGAAAGGGCTATTTAAAAGGAATTGCACTCTGATACATAGGTAGTTAGCAACTTAATTCTGAGCCCGAGGTGATTGTGCTGTGAGGTGGAGTTCTTTGGCAGGGTCTCCTGAATCAGAAGCATGATACCTGGGCCAACTGAAGGCCAGCTACTGCGTTCAAGGGAAGGAACTGTGTAGATACGGGATTATGGAAGCGAGTCAGGATAAGCTTATCAGGGTATGCATACTTAAATGTCTTTTTAAAAGTTTATTCTTAAACTTTAGTGTCAAATCTGTTATTTTAGAAGGAATTTTTTGACATTGAGGAGACAAACATTTCTAGTTATGAATTCTAGGCATTTTTTACTCAATTACGCTTTAGGCAAAGATGTACTATCCACAGCTAAAATAAATTTCTACTTTCTGTTTCTTCTCACTTCTCACAAGAGTTCAGCACAAAACAAGTGTTATTAAGAGAGATTTTTTGGCTTAAATTGGTACGTTAAATATGCTTCTGTTTTAAAATATTTTAATTTCATAGAGCAATTTTACATGCAGAATGTGATCCCACTTGTTCAAATCTTGGACCGTGGTAGAGAAATGTTTTGGAAAGCAGCCCACTTTGACCTCTTCTTTCCCTTTTATCTCGACATCTGTGAGTTTTAAAGCAAAAAAAGAAAAAAGACTTTTAAGAGAAATTTGTCTTTGAGTGGAATGTTTTCTTGTAGTTCACTGAGGTGGGATTCCTTTGGCTCGTCATGTATGTGTGCTTGAGTAAGTAGAAACACTTTAAGAAAAGTAAACTGTGCTTTTCTACTGTCATATTTGATTTGGGCTGCGTCCTGATGGTTGTTTGAAGCTAACATGAAATGCGATGCCTGCCTGACCCATTTTAGCAACCCATTATCATAATTTCACTGTCGTATGGCCGCTGAGTTAATGTACTTACAAATGACAGAGAAAGTGTGTTACATGACCTTAGGGTTTTCAAAAATTAAATGACGTCGTAGGTCGTATTTCAAAGAATAGCTAAGGAGAATGGTTTTCTTTGCTGCATAAAGTGTCACTGTGCATAGCAACAGGATATTGTATTTCTTTTTTATTACGCAAAAATGTGAAGCTTTTAAACTCCTAGATTCCCCACATAAAATTTAATATTGGGGTAGAGAATGAAACATCCAGTGGATAAATCTGCTTCTCCCCCATCTCATTCCCTCTCACTTTCTAGACGAGACCCCTTCCAAGCTCAGAAATGCAGAAATGCTTTGTCATTTTCTTGTCCGATGATGAATTTACTATTTCCCCCCCTTACTCGAATCTCATGAATTCCCACCTAAAAGGCAATAAAGTACTTATATTTACTGAAATACACTTTTCTAGGATTGCTTAACAATACACCGTCTTTTTTCTTGTCGGATTTGGGAATCAGTTTACAAAAGTGTTCTTTGGAAAGAACCGAGCCTTCTAGCCTGAGGAAACTCTTAATTAAAGCAAATGGTATCAACATTGTATTACTGCACAGAGACCTGCACTGCTCACCTTTTTTGGTGTCCTGAGCCTAGACCGCAGAGGTCCCCATCCCCGGGTGAGTGATCGATGCTGTCCCGTTGGACAAGGTTTACTAGAAGGGTGACAGACCACAGCCCATGATACACATGTGGTGTGGGAGGAGACTTGCAGCCCGGTGCTAGGGCCTCACCCTGTCCTCACACTTAGCTGTCGAAGTCAACTCATCTGTTCTAGAGTTCTCTTTCCAAGTTAGGAATAGATCAAACAGTAGCTCTTTGAGGAAAGCCTCTGACTTCAATGCAGTGGATTGATCATAGGTTGTAGATAATACTAGGCCTCCAAGTAAAAACAAGAATTCACAGAGTACCCTTTCATTGAGTTCGTGTGCAGATAACATAGGTCCCCATGTAATGAGGCAGGAGATTCGAGGAGGGGTGGGTGTGAGCTCCTTACAGACCTTGGCTAGAATATTCATGAACAGAAATCCAACTTGTATGTAGAAGTAATAGTAATTAATGCAGTCCTCAGGAAGCACAACAGAGGATAGGAAAACAGGTCACAGTCTTATATTCTCTTGAAACATAAGGATGTCTTTTGAAAGCCAAAAAGTGGCACTAAAATTGAACAGCTTAAATTTTCTTTCACCTACCACCTGCAGACTGCAATTGATGGTGCCTGAGTCAAGAACTGTAGTTGTGGGCTCCTATAGATCACCTGCAGGAGCTGGGCGCTGAGTCCTGGCGGGGACTCCCTGGGACTGTGTTCAGTGCAATTTGTAGCCTTACAAATGTCAGATCTTGTTACGCCCCTGGCAGTATTGACATAAAGAATATTATTTAAAGTTTCTAAAATGTGATGAAGCTTCTAAATTTAATCTGCACTGTATTATGCACCAAAATTAAATTGCAGGGAAAAAAGATGTGGTTGCAGTGTGTGCTTAGAAATGACTTGTCATAATGAAATTTCTTTTACCCAAACAATTAAGAGCATTTTCAAAATTTTCTGACATAGCCAAAAAGTTTTTATTTCTGTTATAGACTTAGTAGCTCTGAAAATTGCTTTATTTCCTTGATTTCAATGGACACAAATTGCATGGCTCTATTTTTTCTTAAAATGAATATACACCATGATTACAGAAATACTAAAATGTGTCCTCTGGGGGAAAACCTCATTTTACATTGCAGCTCTGCTCATAATCCTGCGAAAGCTGGTGTGAAGCCGTCTTTTTCCGAGTTGAAGAAATGATGCCAACCAAAAACAGGTTGATGCTGCATCTTGGACACATAGGATAGTCACAGAACAGACAGACCCCATCTCACCCATAGACCGTGGAGTCAGGCAGCCACACTGTGTGTGGGCTTAGTGGTAAGGGTTTCTTCAGAGGTTTGGCATATGGAATAAGAACCAGAGATGGGATTCAAGGAGATGGAACGCTGCTCATTGCTTCCAGAGCGTAAACAGTGGTGGGGCTGCGCCAGTGGGTCCTGAAACACATCACGGGCAATAGGCTTCGAGTGTCTCGAATTAGGAGGAGACATTAGGAGGAGAGAGGATAAAGGAGAGGGAAGGAGTTCAGTTCTTTCCTAAATGGAGTGAATAAGCAGGTACTGTTAAATGATAGCCGTTTCTCACAGAAATGATGCTGGGTATAAGAAATGCTTCTGAAAAGAGGAAGAGAGACCTTTCGTATGCATATTCAGTTCTGACACATGCTTGAGTATGAGAAAGATGGTGAATGTTTTGCACAAGTGGAGATGCATAAAATCGGGCATTCTGAAACAATAGCAGCACAGTATCCTGTATGACATTTTACATCGTCTCCTCGACACAGGGCAGACAGCACTACACCTCATGACTGCAACTTCTAAATGAATCTCAGGGACAAGGTCAGAATTTCCCCTCCCCTCTGAGTCAGCTTCCTTAAGAAGAAGTGGGTTCGAAGGGGGTTATTAACAATATAAATCGCCCTTCCTGTCAGTCAAATGCTCAGAAATGCAGGACATGATACTGGCCGTTTTGGTGACAGAATATAAATCACCAAAGATTAAATTATTAGATAATTTGGAAACTTAACAGTTTGCATTTTGCACTTCCAATTGTTTTGCTGACTTGCACTTTTCTTGGCTGTCCAGGGTTTTATTAACCGTCTTTAAGACATCTATCACCTCCTTCCTCTTCATTTTCCAATGGGCAGATTTTCCCAGGAAGGAGAGTTGCAGCACTGATGCCTGCAGTCGCTGCTCCAGAAAGATTGCTGTATTTTCATTGACATGCCGTGCATTACCATAATTGGCTTTTCTACATGATAGGAGAGAGGAAATAATAATGTCATTTTATTTACAGCCAGAGTGTCGCTTTATGAGACTTCTCCAAGTTTCTGCCATGCTGTGTAGGTCAAATGACATCTTTTGATCAGTCCTGTCCAAAGACATCAAAGCTGAGTGGCATGTAATGGAGACCTAGTGACAAACCAAATCTAGAAAAGAAATAAGACTGCCAGTTTCCCATTAAACTGCCTGCTAAACAGCGCAGCTTCCCCGTGTCGGCTACAAAACCACTCTGACCACCTAAATCAGGGGAATGAAAGGAGGCTGAATTGGACATTAGTACTGCAAATGACTGCGGTGATTGCCACGACTTCCCTCCTCCCCCTCCCCAAAAAATCAGCGAGCAAACCATGCGAGTTACAGTGAGACTGCTCTGTGCCCATTCATTTCCCTCCTGCCATTTGCTGGTTTTCTGATCTGGTTTATTTAGGTTTGACATCAGCCAAATGGTGTAGCGCGATGTCTCTGACAGATATTCTTACTGATTTAAAGGGAGGCACAACTCAGGAAAGATGGATCTTCTGAGACAGGATTTCAGAGTGGCTGTTTTTCCCTTTTCCACCCCATTTTCCTCTCTTTATGATTCCAGTTGATGTGTTGTTCCTATTCACAGTCAAATCATTAGAGCCTTCAGAACTTGGGAAGAACTGTGTTTGATTGACGACAGTGAGGCTTCATGTTGACTGCCACATGGGCTAGGTGGCCAGCATACTGGAAATACGATTTTTAAAAAAGTCTCCTGAAACACGTATTTTATGCTAGAGATTGATAAAAGAAGTATTTCTGCTCTAATACAGCAGGGTTCACCTTCCCAGGTGATTGGGCCACATGGAAATTGACATCACATGTATGGAAAAAAGCCACAGCCTCAGTGCATTTATCTGCATCAGTTTGCTTTGGATTACATGCAGCGTCTGCTCATTCTGTAATTCACTATCCAGCCTGTAGTTATGGAACAGCTACTTTGTTCCAGGCACCATGTTAGCTGCCAGGATCCAAGGTCCACTACGATGTGGTTCTGTGCTCAAGGAGACCTGGCCCAGCAGGAAGACAGATCACTAGACCCGTGGTTACCTCCCCTGTGCTATGATTAAGTGGCTGCAGGGTGTGGGGGAATCATGAGCTGGGGGAAGTTGGGGGAGGGCCCTGAAGGCTGGCAGGTGGCAATGCTGGAGCCTGTTTGTCGAGGGGCAGCTGTCGGGTGGAGCAGAGCTGACTCCACAGAGGGAGCCTGGCTGGTGTGGTTGGAAACAGACGTTTTTGATCCTCTTATTTTTCTATTGTAGTAAAATGTACAAAATTGATACGATATATAAAATTATATTAACTCTTATTAAGCGTACAGTTCAGTGGCATTAAATACATTTGCATTGCTGTGTAGCCATCACCACCCCATCCATTCCCAGAACTTTTTCATCTTCTCAAACTAAACTGAAACTCGGTACCCATTGAACAGTACCCCTCGTTCCCAGCCCCCCTGGCTCCCAGCAGCCACCGTTCTACCTTCTGTCTCTGTGATGAAGCCTGAGTCGACGTGGCTGGAAACAGATTCCGACAGGGCTTTGTAGCCATCCCATAAATGGCAGTCCTGAAAATAGTGTCCTCTGTAGCCTGTCATAGCGGATACATGTGACCAGAACTTTTAGGGAGAACTACCCAAGACCAGTTTTGTTGACTTTCATGTAGACAAGAACCTGATTTTGCAAACAGCCTATTCCGAAATTGGAATCAGTTTTAAACTCATGCCACTTACAGTTGCTGATAGAGATGGCCCATTGCGGCATTATGATTGTGTGTCAGGTTGTGTGTCCACCCCCGGCTGTGGGGTGGACCATCTAGGTAAAGCCCCTGCTCCTTGTCTTACTGATGGCATGGCCTGGGGCACCTCACTTAACCTCTGTGCCTCAGTTTCCTCATATGGGAATAGAGAGTGAAATAGGATTTCCCCTTGTAGTGTCAGTGAGGAGCTAACACAGTTAATACATGTAGAGTACTTACGATGGTGGCTGGTCCAGAGGAAGGGTTCAACAGATATTAACTTGTTATTATTCAATGACATTTTAATGCAAAGCATAACGCTGGTTGAGCAGATATTCTGTGGGTATGAAATGTTTATCCAAGAACAAATAATTTTTTTCTCTCAAATATAGTCCTCCCAAATAAATTACAAGTGTGCTGGGAAAATACCCTTCTCTATCCAGGTGGATCATTATCCAAGAATATATTTGCTTCCTATTTGAGATTAGATTTCAATATTGCCACTGGAAAAAAATTGCTTCTGATGATTGGAGTGGGCTTCTTACCCTTTCTACAGAGAGTATATTTGCATGTGTATACTGTTTTCTTTCAGGCTACTGTCGTGAGTATTTAGGAACTGTTAGCATCAAATATCCTTTTTTCCTACTCTGACTTGACTTTAATAACTTCCACTGTTTAGCCCACTCCCATGGTGTAGTTTAGATTTTTTTAATGTATTTTCTTTTTTTCTGAATCTTTTCTTTCCCCGTCTGTTTTCATTAAGTGAAGCACACTCAACATTGTTCTCCAAGCATTTTCATGAGCAGAACCAAAGGAGGCCGAAGGGAAAGAGAGAACCACGGAAATGAAGTTAAAAGTTGGGAGTTGAGGACCTGTGCTTGCTTCAGCTGGTCTCAGTAAGAGACTTTCCTGCAGAAACAAATGGGATAGAATTTGTTTTGTTTCTTATGCCCCATGAATGCATCATTTATTTTAGAAATTGTGTTACCCAAACCTTGTGCATTCTCCAGGAATCCCACTTATAGTCTGTGTCTAGAGACGTGGTTGCAGCGTGGACTCAGGGACCTCACAGGCAGCCGATCAGAAGAAATAGGAGAAAATATCCTTAGACTAGGAATTGTTTATACTAAATTTTTGAAAATGCAAGTAATGACTAGCATAAGGGCCCTGCGTATCACCTCGTTAAGTGGGCATCCCTCCAGCCTCTCCTTCGGATAGATCAAGGAGGAATACTGTGAAGAATGCTTGAGGCTTGAACCCAGACTAGGACTGAAGCACCTTCTTCCATCTTTTTAGCTGGGAAACTTTATCTCTCGCTTCACTCAAGGATGCAAATGAAGAGTGAAATCCACTCACCTGCAGAATTCACTTCTCTGGGTGCCCCAGGCACCCTGGGCCTGTGTCTTCCTGAGCCCCATCCCTGGTGTGCTCAATAATGCAGCAGGATTTTGCTCCACCAAAGTGTCACCTGTCTAGGTGAGTTGTGCCCGTGCCTATCTGAAGTGACAGCCATCTTTGAGCCCCCGCGTCTCTAACTGACTTCTCTTTTATCATTCATGTTGGGAAGGTAGCATTTTCGACAAGGTTGTTTCCTCTTCCCCCTCTTCTTTTTTCTTGCCGCTCCCCCCTCCCCGCTTCCTGGTCCCCTCCCCACCCCCTTAACGCACCTGATCAAAACATTATCACTGACAAAGGTTTCTCTCTCCAAATTAAATGAGTCCAACTAGCCTGGGAATTTCCACGAAGAAAGAAAGTGAAATGCTGATGTGCGAAGTTAATGAATCTGGTAACAGAGAGAACATTATTGAGCCCGGATAATATGATCTAGCTGCCTTCCTTCTCCGCTCGCTTCCTGTAAAGAATGTATGGAAGTCAGTTATGTGGCGTGATTCTAACATCTGTCCTACCCCATAATGGTAATTTGTATAAGTAATGGAAACAGGTTAAATACTTCCATTCCAATGTTGCCAGCAGGGATGAAAATGAACATTTCAATGAAATCATCTCGACAGAGCAGAGAGGGGAGGGGGCATAGACCGATTCATCTCCACTCCCTTTGGTGATGGGAGCCCTAATGAGAATGCTCGGATGTATAGTTTATCAGATAGAAGAGGAAGAGCACGCAGGTCTGAGAGATGAGAATCCTGCAGAACTGCGCCGGCACGCGAGGCGCCTTGGTCTCCTTTGCAGACCTTTAGCTAATAACGTGCTCTTTTCATTCTAAGGGAGGATGAGAGGGAAAGAGGGGAGGAGGGCCAGGGATCTGTGTGCACCCCTCTGATGGGCTGCCTGCCAGGCTCATCTTCAGCTGGGCAAAACCACAGGGCGATTCTACTAGATTTCTTAGGACTCTGCTAAAACTTAAAGGGAGGAAGGAGAACTGGTATTTTCCTCATTTCTTTGTAATTGGAAATAATCCTCTTTCAGAGTGGCCTTCTCTTTGCCTAGAGAGTCACTTTACTTCTTTAAGTTGTTAATGTGAAGAAGAGCCATTTCACTTGGCTTGCTAGTGCTATTTAAAAAGAATTTAAGTTGGAACTCAATTCCTTGTCACTGTATCCCTATACTTGTACTCTCCTTCTAGAGAGAATATCAGGTCATCTAGCAAGGGGAATACGTGTCCCATAGCGTCGTTGTCAATCCAAGTATGTTAATGTGGGTTGTTCAACATATTTTCATTCTAAAATGCTGCAATTGAACATTGTATTTTCCAGTATTTCTACCTTTCTCCTATGTAGACAGTGTTATTTACTATCCAGATGAGTTAGAAATGGAAACACCTAGTCAGCTGGCCTGTCATATTAAATGCTAATATCCCAATGATTCCAAACATCCAAATTTGGGAACATTGCAAAAGCTGAGCACCTTTTATGAAGGGGACACACCTTCTGCTTTTCATCAGGATATTTTGCCACCGAGGAGGAAGAGATGGGGTACAGGGATGTTCCATAGTGCGTGTGGGTATTTGGGGTGTCTGCTAGATTTTTCAGCATAGATTTGAAGCTGACTTTTAGAAAGCAGAGCATGTTCAGGGAAGCCTTTCTTCTATTGTTGCTTCAGCTCTTTAGCAAAGCACCCACACTTGTTCATCTATCCACAGAGCAGCGATAACAGTGAGGCAGCGTTCTGGGAGTGTTCGCCTCTTATGGAATATAAAACAGGATGGTTTAAGAAAACACCTTTATTTTGTGCATAATTGGGGTACAGATTAAGATGCAAGTTCGAGGAGAAAACAAACCTAATTGCTCAGAGCCAGTGTTATTAAGACTCGAGGGAATTTGCAACTTCACCACATTTAGCCATTAAAAAACAAATACAGCTGTCACTTCTCACCCATCCCTAAAAATGACTGTTGACTAGAGTGAGTCTTGTTTTCTTTAAAGAAACAAAGATGTTTTAAACAATGTTGGGCTACAAATTGAGAAACATAATTTTTATCTGATTTGCTAAAGGTATGATGTTTGTGCCTCATATAATTACAATTTGAGATGAAAATGTTTTTCAGACGGTGTATGTGTGTTTACGTTGTAAACCGTCAGCTCACACATTGTTGGTGTCATATGAGGCTCTAACAGGGACCGTATACATTGCCTTATGTCCACTCACATTAGAACACACAGAATTTCATGTTGCTCAGGATGACAGCATATCTTCAGGCACACATTGGCATCCAGAAGGCACATTTTATGACAACAAATATTAACAAGATTTAATTAAAGAATGAAGTCTAACCATCAGATCCAGTTGTCCCATTTCCATTTTGGGAATGGTAGGGCCTCTATAATTTTAAATGTTTTATTCACACCCATGCACATACACACTCACCTGCACACACTCACACCTGTGTGCGCACACGCGTGCACTCTCGCACACCCACACCCACCCACACATGCATGCGCGTGAAGGCCGGCGGCGCCTCCTCCTGGGCTGCTGGTGCTTGCTGGTTCATACGGTTCCTTGCGGTCTGTAGGGTGCTGTGCGTGTCCCCCCGATGGCAGGACACACTGTACACGCTCACACTGTCACATTCTGCACCATCGTGCTAGGCTCAGGAAGGGTGGGGGAGTGATGGCAAAGCTGTTTTGACACAAAAAGAAATAGCAAAAATGATGATCTGGAGTCTTTGTTTTATTTGATGGGGAAAAATGTCATTTATTTCTATACGTAATTGTAAAAGAAGAATTTCATACTGCAGTTACCATTTTCAAGCTTACTCATTCATCAGATTTTCATGAGGTGGAGGTGGGGTGATGGTGGGGGGCTGGTGACGCCAACGGTGAGGGTGTAGTGGAGAAAATGCAGAGGTGGTGACTATTTTCTGTGATTCAGTGGCCTCTCTTATAAAAATCTTTTAGTCTAAAAGATTGTATTCATTCCCCTGGTAAAGGATATTCTGATAGGTTAATCACTAGAAATAAGCATTTCTACAAATATCATAATATATTCCAGTACATTTGTACCCATAAGAACTAAAGATTGTTAGAAAACTGTAGCTTATAGTGAAAACAAAAGATTTTTGGAAAATTGTAGCTTATAATGAAAACAAAGGATTGTCACAAATAATTAGCTAAACTTGTAAGTTGTTATGTCTCTCTATATCTTTGTCTGTCTGTCTCTCTCTCTGCCAAAGTAATTTTTTTTAAAAACGGCATCTTGTAAAGCAATTATGAGAATTCACTGATAATAGTAAAAATAAACCTAATTATTAAGATAAAGAATTTTATTTTCTGTCATGATAGTGTTGATATAACTTTTGATTCAGACACCAAATATTGTTACTAATAGGATTTAAGTAAAGTCAGGTGTCATGTTACCCTCTGTTTGGTTTCCAGTCAAGTATAGAGACAATTATGCAGGATGTGTTAGCTCATGGTTCATCACACTGATAAATAATTTCTGTCCGTAGCCACTTTTAAAGATAAAAGTTCTCCTAACCCTGTGCTGGATGTTAGTGCTAGTCTCCCATCAGTAGCAGCACAGGTGCCTGGTACACGTCCTTGCCACTTGCCTACATCCATGCCGCGACGGCCTAGAGGCTGGCATTCCCATTTCTCTTCTGTTCCTGTGTGTTTATGGGAATAAGCTACTGGCTTTTAAAATGGAGACATATTCTGAGACATAAGCCCTTTGTGGGTTTTGGAGACTGTGGAAGACCCCTTCACTCCTTGATTTCTCACTCCCATCCTCTGAGACCCTTGGAAAGGCCTGTAGAAGTTCACCTTTTTGGAATAAACTTTGTGTTAAAGTATTGCAAGAGTACAGCGTGCAGTGCTGTGAAGGTAACTGGGTTATCAGGCAGCAGTAGATTTGGCGACGTTTGTTTGTAGTTCTTGGTGATGGCTGGCAGCATGTAGTCAGAGAACGAGCCAGTACTTAATCTGCGTTACGTTTCTTTACACTCATTTCAGCCATTTGAAGAGGTATGCCATGCATAAGTCTCCTCTCTGGATTTCTAAATGTTTCTCATTGGGGCGAGCCCTACCCTGGCTGATGAAAGTCCTTTTTTCGTTTCAGGGGGTCAGATAGTACCAAGTTGGAACCTGGTGTTGGCTAATATTGGGTTTGTAGACCCGGAGTCATCAGACTGCTTCAGGGTAGGATTTATCTTTCCCCAGACGTGGGGGTAAAAACTGAAATCGGCTGATGTTTTGAGTGCAGGTCATTGGGTATGCAGGTCTTGGGGATGACTAGCTTGGTTTCTGGAGTAAGAGAACATTTCCACCATGTGTTAACATGCACTCCAGTAGTCAGCAAACAGCCACGTGCTCTCTCAGGTGCATAGAAGTGTCACTTGCTTTTTGCTGTTCTCACTTTATTTTAACTTCTTTTAATTTTTTAAGATTCTCATATAATGTCCTCTTTTTCTTCCTGACACCACTGAAAATCAAAGTTTTTCATCTTTTACATACGGTTTAAGCTCTGATTTGTGCTACTTGTTAAGTACATTGTTGACAAACTCTAGACAAAAGATTAACACCTAAAGTGCTTATTGGGAACAGCAAGAGGGTCTTAAATTAGTTTTCTTATTCCCCACTTAACTTGAAATTGAATTCAGGGGCAGTGAGAGAAAGAAGAAATTATGTTTGTTTTAAAACAGTTACCTGTGGATTCCTAATTAAAATTAGAATTGGGAAAAGCCATTAGGTCATTTTATTTGCAGACTCTGAAATTCTTAAAAATTGTTTCTATTGTTTTTTTTTTTCTATCATGTCAGAGCAAAAGTAGCCTTTCAGCTTTGCTTGGCAGGGTGTCAGTCTTCCTGCAAGGAATCAGAACGATGTTAGTAAATTAGTGCGTATATTGTATTTTTACCTTCTTTCCTGATGAGGAAGGGCCACACTCTGCCTGGGTCTGCTCTCTGTGCATTTTTTTGTTTCCCAGCGTATTCTAACTTTCATCAAAACCACCTGCTCTCTCCATAACGAAGGTGACGTTACTTTATGAGTGATCAATTATAACTTTGGAAGAAAGTCTGTTTCGTAAGATTCTACAATGAATCGAAGCTGTACATTCATCACTTAGGTGTGGGGAGGCCCCTTTTGTGAATTGGCCCCTTGGAGTAAATGTATTTTGATATAATGGCCATCTGTTCATGGGTATCACATTTGCCAGTCTGCAAAATAGTTTGATTTAGATAAACATGTAATTTGGTAAGATTATATAGTTTCACCAGGTGGCAATACAATAGTGAAATTTGGTATTTACTGTAAGGCAGTCACCAAGCAGGGACTGAAGACCTGCGTTTGTGTTTGTCACTTTTGAACATCCATTCGTCTTTCACAGCCAGCTCTCACTTACGTGTGCTAATGAGGAAAAGAGAGCTTGGGTAGACAGTTTCCTGACCTCATGGCTGTCATTTGTGTCCACCACCTCCTCCGTCAGGCCTCCAAAGAGCTCTTCACAAGGAACAGCATTTCTGCCTGGTGTGGGTTTCCCCACCTCTCTCTTCCTTCCTCTGTTCTTTGGCAGACGCTCTAATCATCAGCAAAGCCTCTGAAAGGCAGGCACGGGGAAAAGAAGAACAAGAAGGGCCCAGCCGGTCCATGGCCCGAATTTCACATCTGACTGTCGGAGCACCATCTACACAACAATTAAGACGGATGCTGGCTCAGCTTCAGTCTTAACTGAAGGGATGGGCTTGGGCTGGGATGGGCATATCATCATTTTGTTCCCATTGTTCCCATTTATTTGAGTGGCATGAAGCTAAGCAGGTTCCCATAGCCACAGGACGATGGCACATCTGTGTGCAGGATGTTTTCTGATTCATTCTGTGAGTCTGTGGGGTGTGAGGAGGAGGAGGAGGAGGAGCAGGCGTCCTCGTTCCTTCAGGCTGTTGTAGCAGAGCACCGTAGACTGTGTGGCTGTGTGTGGACTGTGAGCAACAGACTTGTATTACTCACAGTTCTGGGCTTGGGAGGTGGGAGATCAAGGCAGCAGCAGATCTGGGAGCTGGTGAGGAGGGCCTGCCTCCTGTGTGTACGTAGATGGTGTCATCTCACTGTGTCGTCATGTGGTAGAAGGGGCAAGCCAGCTCTCTGGAGCCTTTTAAAAAATAAGGGCACTCATGCTGTTCTTGAGGGCTCTTTCCTGGTGACCTCCTAAAGGCCCTACCTCCTTCTGCCATTACTGTGGGGGGTTAGATTTCAACAGAGGAATTCGAGGGCGGGGATACAAACATTCAGACCGCAGCAGCTGACAAGCACACAGTTGGGCCACATACTGATGGTGATGATTCTGTCATTGCCATAAATACTTCCTATAACCCCAAAAGACATTGTTCCAATGGGGACAGTGGTTGTTCCAGTGGGGAAACCGAGGTCCCAAGGAGCGAGTGAGTGTATCGGGTCACACTGTGTGTATGTATCTGAGCCTGGGCTCCTACCATGCTCTCCAGACATCAAATCCGTACCTTCCATCTCTCTCTCCTTCTGCCACGCTAAGGGGGTGGGTGGGGGGATCTGTTCTACTAAAGAAACCACAGCAATGGCCACGTTAGTGTAAGCCCCATAGAGGCGAACCACTGGGGTGTCAGTCCCACCCCAGTTTACTCTGTCTTTTCAGGCCCAGGCTCCTGGGGAGCACCCCTTTGGATCACCCCTGCACACATCCAGGGTGGATTAGTGGACCTTGCTGTGTGTGACAGGTATAGCCTGGGGGTGGGTTGGAGGGGGGCTGGCTTCCCAAAGTGATTTGGCACATTCCTCCCTGATACAGACGTAGCAAAATCCAAGCACTCCTTCCTTGCCTAGTACGGAGGCCAAGGTGCTGGGTTGCTCCTGTTTGGAGGCACCTGGGTTCTGGGTTGGAATTTCTCCTATCTCAGGCTTTGTCCCGTGACTCCTGGCCGCCTTCTCCCCAGGTCCTAAACTCTAAATGAAACTCTGTTGATTTTCAGTCCTTCTGAGTGATTCTGGCCCTGGGATCTGGTGCTCTCTGCCTGCTCCCCAGTTTTGGAAGGGTACGGGCCCTTGTTGGGGGCCTGTGGGGGCAGAAGAACCAGAAGACTCAGCGCACCGTGAAAGACCGGGGGTGGAGGGAGGCAGAGGCTGCTTGGAGCCTGGCCTGCTGCTGCCTGGTTGAGCCTTGGGAGGGTCCTTGGCCACTCAGCTGTGACAGGGGAGATCAGAAGCGCAGGTCCTCCAGTGCTGGCTGCTGGAGGTGGTCGTCCGGAGGTGGTGCTGTGGCTCCAGTTACTATTATTATTTGTATTATTATTGAGTCCTTGGAACTAAGCCAGGCCTCGAAGGGTCTTGGAATGATGCGAGGAAGAGGGTAAGGTGAGGCCGGCAGTCAGTCACAGGTTTAATATGGAGTCTTTCATGGGGCGCCCTCCTGCCCACCTCCGTCTGTGGGGTCGTTGAGTCCCTTGCACCCACTAAGTCTGTGGCTGTCCCAAAGACCGTTCCCTTCCATGGTCACAAGAGCTTCAGACAAGAGGCCACTCTGACCAGCACTTCAGCCTCAGGGCCCCTGGCCTGGGGTGGTGGGAGAATGGTGAGGATGTGCTTTATTCGAGGGGGACAGGAGAGCTGCTTGGGGTCAGGAGGGCGGGTTCGGGCTAGTGAGAAATGGTGCCCAGTGATGTGGGGTGGAAGGGAGGCCGTCCTCCCAGCTGTCTTGAAGGTTTATGCTTCCTCGCATCTCTTGTAAGTTAGAGGGGAAAAGTTTAGCTAGTTAAAAAAATAGATATGATGAGCTAAAAGAACATAGTAGAATAGTAAAATAGCTGAAAAATAGAAGATGATCAGGATTCAATAAACTGGAAGAGTATATGATAAAAGTATAAATGCCAGAAGGTTCAGAGGGCAAGGACAGCAGTGAGCAAACCCCATCAGCTAAGGCCTAGCATGGTGACAACTGTGTGTGGGTGAGCCGCCGGCCCTCCTGTTTGTCAGACACTGCAGCCCCTCCCATGGGAAGGCTGGATGGAGAACCCCCTGCAGTGGCTGTGGAATTGAGGAGCTGGAGCAGGAGGACGGTGGGAGGCGGCCACTGTGGTTGGGGACCTGGGGGACCTGGGGCAGAGCAGCCCAGGACAGCCTCTCTGGCAGTGCGGGGCAGGAGCTCACTCATGTTCTCAACCCAGACACCATCTGCATCCCTGATGGTTCCAAATCCCCTTTCATTTTTAACATTAAAACACAGTAACAATTAATAAAGCCTTTCACAACATTCCTGCCCCGGGCTGGGCCCTGCCATTCTCCGTGCTCCCCAGTTCTCGGGATCTGACTGCTGGCTGTGGCTGTGGCTGGTAGACGTTCCGTGAAAGTTTGCTTCTAGCGAATTTATTCCAGTAATGGTGTTCAATGGCTAGTCCATGTTGGCTGAACTGAAAATATTGAAGATTTCAAAAATACAGATATTCGTGAAGAACCACTTCATTCAATGATAAATAACTTGTGTATTTATTATCTAGATAGAAAAACACTGTAACATTCTTTGAAAAGGATTTTCTCTTTGTACTGTGTATAT
Source organism: Homo sapiens (assembly GCF_000001405.40). Lineage (NCBI taxonomy): Eukaryota > Metazoa > Chordata > Mammalia > Primates > Hominidae > Homo > Homo sapiens. The sequence continues at coordinate 75,280,074 of NC_000018.10, forward strand.
AATTTTGTCTTCTGCTTTTTTCATTTAATGATTTTCTCCATGTCATTAAAACATACTTTCTCATGTTTGAAGGATACTGCATCCTGGGAATAAACACTAGTTCATGTAACTACTCCTTATTGTTGAAGATTTAGACCGTGGCAAGTTTTATGTGTGTAAAAGGACATCTTGTATAAGGGACATCTTTGTGCATGAAGCTTTTTCTGCATTTCATATTAACTTCTTAGGCTAACTTCAAAAAATAAAATGATTGGGCTAAAGAGCATCAATGTTTTAACATTTCTCTCCCTTTACTCTTTTTCTTTGAGATTCTCTCATTTATAACACTGTGTCTGGCACATAATGGCTGTTCTAAATACTTAATACAGAGTTACTTTTGGTCATTCATTCATTCAAAAACATTTACTCCATATCTTCTCTGGCATTTAGATGTTAATGAGACAAAAGAAAATAACTTGATCCCGATAGTGGCAAAGGGGAAAGACCAGGGCTGGGAGTCAGTGACTCGCTTTCAAATCATGTTTCCATCATTTGTTTCCTGTGTTACTTTGGGGAAGTCGGTCAACTTCCCCAAGACTCTGTTTTCTTTCCTGTGGAAAAGGTGTTTCAGTGATAACTTAGCTTAAAGGGTTGTGAGATTAAATGAAGCAATGGGATGAAAATACTCAACCCAGAGGCGCAGGAGCCTGTGCCGTGTGAGCTGAGTGAAAGAAGTCACAGCTCTATGAGGAGGACAGACAGGTAACAGCTCCAGATTCTTCCAGGAGTGGTGAATTCCGTGAGGGGATTGAGAGGGTGGCATAAGGAGATGACCTTTGAGCCTCCCTGGAGGGATGAGGGAGGGCCCAGTAGCTCACACCAGGCAGAGAGTCGGGGAGGGCTGGCATCCAGACTGGGCACTCCCCTGCAGGGGAAGGGCTGCCTGGGACCAGATAGATAGAGCGGGCTGGGCACAGAGGGCTGGGCACAGGCGGGGCAGCGGTGAGGGTCCAGACGCCCTGCCTGGGACACGCAGCTTCAGCAAAGGCTTGCACTCAGGGTTGTCGGGAGCACAGCGTCTGCTGGAAGGGAGAATGTCACGGACCAGGAGTGGAGCGAGGTCATCTGGGGACGTTGGAAGGCTCTGGCCACAGCTGGTCATCAGTGCGGGGGGCCAGTTTGGATGCGGGGCCTGAGGACCAGGAGGCTTTGAGGATGGCGCTGCTTTTCTGCCTCGGATACTCTCGTTTGGGGTTATTCGGTAACGTCTGAATCTGGAGATTCAGAAGGAGGAGAAAGTGTGCTGTTGTTTTGAGGAGGAGGGTGCTGGAGAGGGCGGTGGGGTGTCATTTTGTTTGCACACAACGTAGGTGTGATGTGGAGCACCCGTGTCACATTAGATCTGTGGCAGAACAGTGGGGCTCCTTCCACGGGCCCTACATGGGGCCAGGCCCTGAAAGCACCATGGGGGTGGCATGACAGGCGTCCTCCCTGATGGGCCTGTGTCTGGCAGGTGTGCAGGGGTGCTCATGGCTGTGGTCGGCACAGGCCCTGGGGTTGTGGAGAAGGTGAGATTGGCCAGAGAGAGGCTGCAGTAAGAACGGGCAAGAGCAGGAGGCAGACCTGGGGATGCGGCAGCTCAGAACGGGGAGCGGGTAGCGGTCACCGAGGGTCTGGAGACGAGGGAGAGGGCCACATGCTGCTCATGGGTGCAACCGGGTGGGGAGTGAGAAGTTGCCTCCAGATGGCATCTGGAAGGGGGGCATGCTAGGTGCGGGCAGGGAGAGCCCGAACCTGTGGGGGCCCAGCCTTCACCCTGGTCCACACGGGGCTCCCTGCCTTCCAAAAGTGTCCCTCACCTACCCGGTCAGAGGCTGCCTGATCACCCTGCTTTGCTTCTTCCCTGGGACATGAGTCCCCGTCCCTAGGGCAGGGACTTTATGGACCCCCTCCTTCGACGTCCGCACTCCCTGGAGTCCACACAGGGCCGTGGACATCTGCGCAAGGAAATGGCTTGCTGGGAAGATGACTTCTTAGGAGGGCCTTCTCGTTCTGTGGATCTGTGAGGTCCAATCTGTTCTGACACACATTGGCGATGAGATACATTGTAGCTCAGCCTAGGAACTTCCCGGGTGCAGAATGGACTGTCTTGGAGCGTGGTCTGGACAACGCTCTGTGCCTGCTGGGAGCATGAGGGTGCAGCATGGTGTGGGAAGAGGCCATCACCATGTGAGATGCCGGGCCAGGCCCTGAGACGCAGCCCTGACTCCGGACCCTCATCCTTTGTGGGCACCTGCTCCAAGCAAGGGGATGAGGATTGGTCAGTGTTGAACACACCTAGAGGCATGAGAGTAAGTTTCCCATTTCTGTGTTTTCAGTGTTGAGAGGAAAGCCTGCCAAGGACAGAATTGTGTCCCCGTCATTCATATGTGGAAGACCTGACTCCCATTGTGGCTGTATTTGGAGAAGGGGCCTTTAGGAAGTAATTAACATTAAATGCGGTCACAGGGCCGTCGTCCAACAGAGGTGGCCTTAAAAGAAGTGGAAGAGCTCTCTCTTTCCACCTGCTGGAAGGAAGAGCCATTCAGGGAGAGAGCTGCCATCCTCAAGCCAGGGAGAGCCCTCACCAGAAACCAAACCCTGCCAGACCTTAACCTGGGACTTCCAGTCTCCAGGACTGGGAGAAAGGAAGTTCTGTTGGTCAAGCCATATCCGCATACGGTATGTGGATATGGTAGCCCAAGCTGACGAACACAAAGTCACTTATTAGCACACACAGGTTGGCCGCCTGCTGTGGGGTGGGCCATGGGAGGGCTGGTTTAGCCTGTGCAGCAGCCTTCAGGCACCTGTGGCCGGGAGCAGAGGCACACAGAGCAGTGCGCCAGCAGTGACGGGCTCCCCGAACTGAGCAGATCCAAGTCAAGCTAAACGTTTCCTTTGCATTAGTGGCCATGAAACTCCCTTTCACAAAGATGGGTTGACGAAAGCCGTGAGGCCGTTTCCTATAGTCGATCCTGATAGAAGGGCCTCCCGCACACAGTGGGAGGGGCCTGGGGCCAAGGCCAGCACATGCTCAGGCCTGCCGACATCTTAAACCTGGGCCTTCTGCCTCCCCTGGGCGTTGCCCTGCCCAGCACATCCTGCAGCCTTCAGAGTCACCCTCTGAATCCACAGAGGAGCTGCACCTTGTAGCCCAAGCCAACATGGCCCAGGCCAGGCTGGTTCAAAGGTGATGAGTCTGACCAGTGGTTCTTAAAGTGGGGTCCCTGGGTCCTAGCAGTGAACCCTCAGAACTGGGCCATCCTAAACCTTTAATAATTACAGGCTAATGACAATGTGCCTGAACTTGGCAATTATCTTTTAATTTTATGAGCGTTATATTTTACGGGAGAGTCATAGAATCATCTAGAACATTCCCCACATGTTGATGCCCGTAGTTGAGGCCTGGGGTCTTACATGATTGGTTATTTTCCACACTCACAGTACAGTGTGAACAGGATTGTGATTCCTGGCTTTGCTGCTTTTCCACATACCTCCATGAAATGCGTGAACACAGGTGCGCAGATTGTCGTGTGCAGAAAAGGGCAGTGTGTGCAAGCACTCGGGATGGCCTGAACTAGAAGATTCTCCACATGACCGATTCAGTCGTCTCTCATTGTGTGTGTGTGTGTGCGTGTGCTTGTGTGTACACATGTGATTATGCGTGTGCCTGTGAGTGCTGGCTGCTGCTAGAATCTGAAGCCCTGCATTTGCGGGTTTTGAGGCTCTCACACTGCTCCCTGCTGCCCCTGGCATCCTCCCTTTGGGCGGCCAAGATGTTTTCTGTCCCTCCCAGCAGTCCTCCCTGAAAACGTCTGTGCTCCTTGTCGTGTTCCCTCAGGCCCTGGCTCTGATGATGTCATCATGAATGATGATATTTAATGAGACACCCCTCTCAGGTCAGATGAATGCATTTTAATAGGGATTTTCTGCAAAATATCTGAACCCCAAATACCCCAAGTTGTTGATGGAACTGTAGTCCAGCTAGTTGTTGCCTCGAGACGGGAAAAGTAAGTAAAAGTGCCTTGGTCAAAGAAGCTGAGGCAGTGTTCCTTGCAGTAGTCTCCCCTTGGGAGTTAGGAAGGTGTGTTGCATAGTGAAGGATCTGACATGTCCTGCAGTCACAAGTCCAGGTTTCATCTCGGTTTCTCTGCCTTCCAGCCTCATCCATGGGACAACTTCCATATCCTGGAGGCCCCTCTGGGAAACGCTGCCTTCAGCCCATGAAGTCGCTCCGCTGTGCAGTCGTGGGCCTGTAGTAGGCAGCTGGAGCGTGGACCGTTGGGCTTTTGTAATTAAACAGCTTTTATTGTGATAAAATATTTATAATGTATAAGTGACCATTTTAACCATTTTAAGTGCACAGTTTCATGGCGTTAAGAACGTTCATATTGATGTGCAGCCATCACCACCCTCCATCTCCAGAACTTTCTCGTCTTCCCAGATGGAAACTCTGTCCCCATCCCCTCCTTCTCCTGGCACACGCCACCACTCTGCTTTCTTTTTCTATGAATGTGGCAACTCTAGGGCCCTCACGTGAGGTGAGCCATGCAGTACATGTCCTCTTGTGTCTGGCTGCCTTCACCGAGCACTATGCCCTCGAGGTGCGTCCGCGCTGCAGTGCGTGTCAGAACTCCCTTTCCAAGCCTGAGTGTGGACGGGCCACACCGCGTTCATCCCTCCAACTGTCACTGGACCTTTTGGTGCCTTCCAGCTTTTGGCTGCAGTCAATGAGGCTGCTCTGGGCCTTGGTGAACAACCGTGGCTTTTGCCGTCTGGCAGCCCCATGCGGGTGGCGCTTTGCTCTGCCAGGCAGGAGATTGGCGGTGCCATGTTGGTGCTTTTGGTGAAGACCAGAGTGTTTTCATTGCTTGCCATTGAGGAGTGTTTTTACTTATGGAAACGATATACTGTCTGTGAATATCCTGCTCTAAAAATTGATAACCAGGTCCTGCCCGATGGGTGTTTACAAATATTTGCCATATGGAAGTCATGAGGGGACTCCTGGGTCACTTACAGAGGGAACAGCCTATAGGAGGGGTACTTGGCAGGTGGTGGCTGGAGTCCCAAGTTCCTGCCCTTCCCACCAGGCTGCAAGGGTCAAACTGACATCTTTGGGACGAGCACAGGACATCATCCTCCAGCTCAGTCCCCTTTGCTAAAGACACACTCAGGAGGGGACAGCACCTTTTGAAACCTAACTCCTGCAAAGGGGTAGATATGTAAACTTGGGGTAGCCTTGTGTCCTGGGGGCTAGGCTGACAAATATCTTTTTAAAGATCATCTAACTGCTGGGGAGGCTGTCTCTTTGAAGATGATTTACTTCTTCTAACTGGGTTTCATTTTTCTCTCCTAGCTTATGTTCCTGAGGAAGAATTGAAGGCAGCAGAAATAGATGAAGAGCACGTGGAGGATGACGGGCTGTCTTTGGACATTCAGGAAAGTGAGTACATGTGCAATGAAGAGACGGAGATCAAAGAGGCGCAGAGCTACCAGAACTCCCCAGTCAGCTCTGCGACTAACCAGGACGCCGGCTACGGGTCGCCCTTCAGTGAGAGCAGCGACCAGCTAGCCCATTTCAAAGGCTCTTCCTCTCGAGAAGAGAAGGAGGATCCGCAGTGTCCCGACAGCGTCTCGTACCCCCAGGACAGCCTGGCACAGATCAAAGCTGTGTATGCAAACTTGTTCTCCGAGTCCTGCTGGTCCAGCTTAGCTCTGGATTTAAAGAAGTCGGGTTCCACCACCAGCACCAACGATGCCAGCCAGAAGGAGAGCTCCGCCCCCACCCCCACACCCCCCACCTGCCCCGTCAGCACCACTGGCCCCACCACGAGCACGCCCAGCACCAGCTGCAGCTCCAGCACCAGCCACAGCAGTACCACCAGTACCAGCAGCAGCTCCGGGTACGACTGGCACCAGGCTGCACTGGCCAAGACGCTGCAGCAGACGTCCTCGTATGGGCTGCTTCCTGAGCCCAGCCTGTTCAGCACCGTGCAGCTCTACCGCCAGAACAACAAGCTCTACGGCTCCGTCTTCACGGGCGCCAGCAAGTTCCGGTGCAAAGACTGCAGTGCCGCGTACGACACGCTGGTGGAACTGACGGTGCACATGAACGAGACAGGCCACTACCGTGACGACAACAGGGACAAGGACTCCGAGAAGACCAAGAGGTGGTCCAAGCCCAGGAAGCGCTCCCTGATGGAGATGGAGGGGAAGGAGGATGCCCAGAAGGTGCTGAAGTGCATGTACTGTGGACACTCCTTTGAGTCCTTGCAGGACCTCAGCGTCCACATGATCAAAACCAAGCATTACCAGAAAGTGCCTCTGAAGGAGCCAGTGCCAGCCATCACCAAACTGGTCCCCTCCACCAAAAAGCGGGCGCTTCAGGACCTGGCGCCCCCCTGCTCCCCTGAGCCAGCAGGAATGGCCGCAGAGGTGGCCCTGAGTGAGTCAGCCAAGGATCAGAAAGCAGCGAACCCGTACGTCACGCCCAATAACCGCTATGGCTACCAGAATGGCGCCAGCTACACCTGGCAGTTTGAGGCCCGCAAGGCGCAGATCCTCAAGTGCATGGAGTGTGGCAGCTCCCACGACACGCTGCAGCAGCTCACCGCCCACATGATGGTCACCGGGCACTTCCTGAAAGTGACCACCTCGGCTTCTAAGAAGGGCAAGCAGTTGGTGCTGGACCCTGTGGTGGAAGAGAAGATCCAGTCCATCCCACTACCGCCCACCACCCACACGCGGCTGCCGGCCTCCAGCATCAAAAAGCAGCCCGACTCTCCCGCGGGGTCCACGACTTCTGAAGAAAAGAAAGAGCCAGAGAAGGAGAAGCCGCCTGTGGCTGGCGACGCGGAGAAGATCAAGGAGGAGAGTGAGGACAGCTTGGAGAAATTTGAGCCCAGCACCCTGTACCCGTACCTGCGTGAGGAGGACCTGGACGACAGCCCCAAGGGAGGGCTGGACATTCTCAAGTCCCTGGAGAATACCGTCTCCACGGCCATTAGCAAAGCTCAGAATGGTGCGCCCTCATGGGGTGGCTACCCCAGCATCCATGCAGCCTACCAGCTCCCGGGCACCGTGAAGCCACTGCCGGCGGCCGTGCAGAGCGTGCAGGTGCAGCCGTCCTATGCTGGCGGCGTGAAGTCGCTGTCTTCCGCCGAGCACAACGCCCTCCTGCACTCCCCAGGGAGCCTCACGCCCCCACCGCACAAGAGCAACGTGTCTGCCATGGAGGAGCTGGTGGAGAAGGTCACGGGCAAGGTCAACATCAAGAAGGAGGAGAGACCCCCTGAGAAGGAGAAGAGCTCCCTGGCCAAGGCTGCGTCCCCCATAGCAAAAGAGAATAAAGATTTCCCGAAAACGGAGGAAGTCAGCGGCAAACCACAGAAGAAGGGCCCTGAGGCCGAGACTGGGAAGGCCAAAAAGGAGGGACCGCTGGACGTTCACACCCCAAATGGCACAGAGCCTCTCAAAGCAAAGGTCACCAACGGCTGTAACAACCTGGGGATCATCATGGACCACTCACCGGAGCCTTCCTTCATCAACCCGCTGAGCGCTTTGCAGTCCATCATGAACACCCACCTGGGCAAGGTGTCCAAGCCCGTGAGTCCCTCGCTGGACCCGCTGGCGATGCTGTACAAGATCAGCAACAGCATGCTGGACAAGCCGGTGTACCCCGCCACCCCTGTGAAGCAGGCCGATGCCATCGACCGCTACTATTATGAAAACAGCGACCAGCCCATTGACTTAACCAAGTCCAAGAACAAGCCGCTGGTGTCCAGCGTGGCTGATTCGGTGGCATCACCTCTGCGGGAGAGCGCACTCATGGACATCTCCGACATGGTGAAAAACCTCACAGGCCGCCTGACGCCCAAGTCCTCCACGCCCTCCACAGTTTCAGAGAAGTCCGATGCTGATGGCAGCAGCTTTGAGGAGGCGTTGGACGAGCTGTCACCGGTCCACAAGAGGAAGGGCCGGCAGTCCAACTGGAACCCGCAGCACCTTCTCATCCTGCAGGCCCAGTTCGCCTCGAGCTTGCGGGAGACCACAGAGGGCAAGTACATCATGTCGGACTTGGGCCCGCAGGAGAGGGTGCACATCTCGAAGTTTACTGGGCTCTCCATGACCACCATCAGCCACTGGCTGGCCAATGTGAAGTACCAGTTGAGGAGGACAGGGGGAACGAAATTCCTAAAGAACCTGGACACAGGGCATCCTGTTTTCTTTTGCAACGATTGTGCCTCTCAGTTCAGAACTGCTTCTACATACATAAGTCATTTGGAGACACACTTGGGCTTCAGCCTGAAGGATCTCTCCAAGCTGCCACTCAATCAGATTCAAGAACAGCAGAATGTTTCGAAAGTCCTCACCAACAAAACTCTGGGCCCACTGGGGGCCACCGAGGAAGACTTGGGCTCCACATTCCAATGTAAGCTCTGCAACCGGACTTTTGCGAGCAAGCACGCAGTCAAACTGCACCTTAGTAAGACCCACGGCAAGTCTCCCGAGGACCACCTGATCTATGTGACTGAGTTGGAGAAACAGTAGCGTCCAGGTATGCAAGAGACCGCGGAACATTGCACTAAACGTCGTCGAGCTGCACTAGGCCTGGCCTGAGCCTCTGAAATCAGTCTTTCCTTTGTTGCTGGCCCGCCTCTCTGGACCTTGGTTTTCTTACACATATTTTGTATATTTATATGCTCTCTGTCCGATCTGTGCATGTTATTTTTCTTTTTCCGTGAGTCAAAGTCTGACCTTTATTTTCAACATCTGTTCTTGGTGTTAAGCTATCTTTTGTAGGAAATAGTGGGGCACACTACTCAGAGACATTATTTAGCAGTAAAGAAAGACACAAATAACAATGATAAAAAGACATCCTAAAATGGTGAAGTTGCCATGACAATAAAGGTCATAGAACCTGGTAGTGTCAAATTTAACCCTTTGAGGACTGTAATTGCATTTCTGTGCCTTTCACTTGAAAAAAAAAAAAGAAGAAAAAAAGGCTTAAAGGCATTTCATTCAGATCAAAAGCTGTGTCAGACACAAAACTTATTTAATAATTAAAAAATGAGCTTTTATATGCAGAACTGGTTTGTGAGGAAACATGCATGCAGCTGTGGGAAGATAGAAAGCTGTCTAGGACTCACGGGGTTCGGAAGCCACACCTCTACATGTCTAAAACAAAAAACAACAACAACAGATACCCCACTCGCCACTATGCCCAAACCCTCTGGATGCTGAAAAATGCCACTTTCGGCAAAAAAAAAAGTATGCAAGCTATTATTTAAAAATGTGTAAAAATGCTATTTCTTTTTTCCTGTAAAATATTGCAGTTTATAGTTATTTACAAATGTAAGCTTTGGTACAAGCTGACCTTTCTATAGCGTGCTGCATTGGTAAATGAAAAAAAATGGGGCAAACGTTGGAGTCCTTTCCTTGTAAATTGCCAGCATCAGCTTAAAAACTCCTGTATGTTACATATCGTACCATTTTAATCTCTTCAACTTTCTTTGTACCTTCTGGCTGTATGCTTTCTCTTTTAACTTTTTATATTGTCATTTTATATTAAATTTCTGTGTATATAATGTAAAACCACAATTTTTGAATAAAATTTAGTTCCTGCAGCTTGATTTAAATAGAGGACTTTTACTGGCACCTGCATCTCTCCAGATGCATGTACTCAGAGGGACTGTCAGACAAAAATAAATACATAAAAACAAAGCAAGCAATGCACTATTAATTATACATTTTGATGTTCTATCATTAATATTGTACAGTACATTTTGGTTCACACAATTAAATCCACTGTTTTCTCAGATGTAAAATAAACCCACATGCAGTTCTTGATTTACACGGATTGTCATGTCGTCATTATTTTGCCTTTGAGATGTTATTTCAGCAACAAGAGGTATTGCTTATGCAATCAACCAACAAAAATTCTATTCAGAATCATCATTTCATGATTTGTGTGCTGACATGTTTCATTCAAATGATAAGTATTGCGTTTTAAAAAATGATAATTAAAATTTTTAACTCCACTGGGTGCCAAGGATTGCCGAGTTTAGCCATTGAGTGATGGCTGTTTTGTACTTAGATGGGCTGAGATGCGTCCTTCAGAGAATCCTTTGCAAAATTTAAAAATATGTATAATTAACCTGTGTGTCTATCCAGATATTTAATGATGGGAGTAGAGGGGTAGGGCTTACTCCACCAGCAAAGACCCCAAGGACCCTGGAATTAGTTCTGTGTTACTCCAAAGAGGAAAACCTGATTTCTGAGCTTTTAAAAATCTACAATTTTAAAAAGAAAACTGGCTGCTGTTGTATTCAGTGTTTGAGATGAGGCTTCTTTCTGCAGATTAGAGCACGGCGGGCTCTACTGAGAATGTCAGGACCCTTGCCATGAAAACGCCCATCCTCCAGGGTGACCCCCATCCCTGAAAGCCCAGGACTCACTGCCCAGTCTGTATTGAGGGAAGCATTGACATTGAGGCCCCCTGGCTTCTCCCCCCAGCCCCAGAAGCACTTAATGATACGACCAGGAAAATTTACTTTTCTGCCTTTTGCTTAAATTTTCATAAAATTATATCCTGAGAAAGGTTAGAGCTTACACCGCTCTGTTCAGAAACAGCTAAGCAATTGTGATATTTTAATTATTTCTCTCACATTGCCCCGTGACAGCAAGGATTGTTCTGTTTCCATTAATGATTTGAGGAGGAGGAGCAGGTCCAGGTGGGTCATATTTACACAGTCTTTTGTACTAACGCAGCAGAGCGCCAGGGAGGTTTGCTAAATTTTTCTGACTTTTTTCATTGGTAAATAGCTATGTCCTTTAGGAGCCTCAGCCATTTAGACATTTCAGTTCAATTACTGGGTGATTATGTACTTTGGGCTCAAGGGGTGACAGAGAAGAATAACAATTAGGCTTATGGCAGTGGTGTGGGGGCTTTGCATAATAATCCTTTGAAGTTATGTTTATTTTACCACAAAACTGCAAACATACGATTATGTGATTTCACCCTTATAGCAAGAGTGTTAGCAGCAGCAGGTGAAGTGGTACAAAGGGAGGTGAGCGCTCCCCAGAACGGGGTCGCTGGGCCCAGTCCCAGTGTGCAGCTAAGCACTGAGTCATTTTAAAGCAGCTTGCAACTTGAGTTCCGATCACTGGGGATAGACATAGAATTGGGGTTTTCCTTTAAATTTTTTTCTTCCTAACTCACCAACTGTATTGCTACGTTGTCATTGACCCTAATTTCCCAACCAATGCATAGGAGACTAGGTTATCTTAATCATACCACTGATAGTGATAATGAACGTGGCGACCCCGACTAGTATTTGTCGAGTGCTTCCTCTGTGCCCAGGACTAATTCGAAGTACTTCCCACCTATGAACTCATTCATTCCTCACAACTGTATGCGGTGGGTTCTGTTAGTTTCATGCTCGGTTTACAGGTGAGGAGCCAGGCACAGCAGGGTTGAGGAATGGACCCAAGGCCACATGGCTTACGAACGACTAAGTGACTAAACATGGGCTTCGAGCCCAAAAAGCTGTTGCTGCAGAACCACACTCTGAACACCTCCTTACAGGCCTTGGGATCTGCCCCAGGTGGGGATCTCTGCTGTCACTCAGAGGCAGGGTGTCTCCTACGGGGTGGGGAGCTAGAGGCAAGGCTTCAGGATGGTGCTGCGCGGCCAGGGCTGCTCATCACCTCCCACTGCAGCCCTTGTGGATGGCAAAATGTAACCACCCCATGGTCTGCTGGATTTGAGAAAATAAGTTGAAAGATGTTTTTATGATTCTGTAGCAACTTCAATTGAATACGGGTATACTTAGTAACACAGAAACTCAATTTGTAAGGATACAAATGGATTGACTAATCCGGGGAAGGATTGGGATACCTACAATCTGAAGATTTGCTTGACACGTTTCCCCTTCCTTCATTGATGTCCGAGGAAACGTGTCCACCCTTCACTTCGTGTAGTTTTGTGTGTCCCAGCAAATGAACTCCACACATGGCATTGGGGCCCCTCGGCCTCCTAAGTCGGTCCCAGGGAACAGATCTTCATCTTCTGTGGTGTGGGGACAAGATGGCCCTAGGCACTTGGAGAGAGTCGGCCACCTGTCCCAGCCTGTGGGACGCTGGCAAGGAGGCCAGGGAGAGGGCAAGTGGCTTCTCAGTCCAGCAGTCTGGTTTGGCTTGGTCGTCGTGCACCTGCAGGCGTCACCCTGATTTGCACTCATGTTTGCAGTTTGAGACTTGGAGTTAATAACTAATCATGTATTTTTTTCCTTCAAATGTAGAATTTTTTAAAGTTTATGGTATTCCCCAAAATGTGTGTTGGGTGAGGATGTTGCTTTATAGGTAGTCAGTTTTTAAAGAGAGAGAAAACCTGTGAAATAATGACAGACAATGGTTTATGTAAGTGAAACAAACTTTTTTAGGCAGTGTATGCAAAAAGGTGATTAAAAATTCTAAGGTTTCTGATTCGACATTTCTATAGTTGACAGCCTTTGAAAAACTGTTAACTTTAAAGCATGTCTAATCTATTTCCAAATGTTCAGAAACCTGTACATGCAAATAAAGGTTTCTACTTTTTTCTGAGGGAAAATTTCTTATTATTTTATTATAATTTATCTGAAGATAGCGGATACCATTGAAAGCTAATTATTGAATTGTTAGCTTAAAAGATACCAAAAAGTAAAATCTCTTTTGGTGACAATTTGTGCTTTTTACATAACTTTTATTCTTATGACAAAAGTGATACATAGTCATTGTAGAAAACTTGGAAAATAACCATGAAGTTAATAAAAAGTATTGTTTTCATCTAGAGAAAAATCACTGTTACTATTTTAGTGCTAACATCTTTTTTCCATATTTCTACAAACTAGAGATCATGTTCAACATACTTTTTGTACCTTGCTTCTTCTTTACCTGACAGTAGATAATGTCTGTTTTCTCATTTCATTACATATGGAGGATTTTTAAATCTTATTGAGCTGTACTGTAATTTATTTAATCAATTCCTTATTACAATTTTAAAAGCAACATTTAGATTTTTCAAGTTTTCTCAGTTAGAAATATTGAGTACAAAAAATTCTACTCAATATTATTGTGAATATTTTTGATTATTTCCTTACAACAAATACCTAGAATTGAAGTCGCTGCATCGTAATGTGATTTGATGCACATGGCCAAATCACCCACAGGAAGACTTGTACTGGTTTACACACTTATTTGCATGAGAATGACTTTCTACACACCTTTGCCGTGTGAATACAAGGGTTTGATGTTTTTAAGTTTTTGGCCATTTTCACTAATTAACCAATTTAATCTTGATGTTTTCATGTATAATATTTTTTAACGCTGGTTGTTCACTTACGTTATTTAAAAAAGAATCATTCAAGGACATGTATGATTTTCGGAGTACTTTTACATTAATTATGATTTTATTTATTTATTTATTTTAAATCAGGGTCTTACTCTGTTGCCCAGGCTGGAGTGCAGTGACATGATCTGGGCTCACTGCAGCCTTGACCTCACTGACTCAAGCAATCCTCCCACCTCAGCCTCCCAAGTATCTGGGACCACAGTTACACACCACCATGCCTGGCTAATTTTTGTAATTTTTTTTTAGAGATAAGGTTTCACCGTGTTGCCCGGGCTGGTCTCAAACTCCTGAGCTCAAGTGATCCGTCCGCCACGGCCTCCCGAATTGTTGGGAGTACAGGCGTGAGTCAGCCTGCCCAGACTTCATGATTCATTTAAACTCAAGTGGTCACAGACAACAACAGCAAAGAGGAGAGAAAGAGCTGAACTGAGACCCTGTGGCTCCTCTGTGGATGCGGGACTAGAACAGGGTAGTTATTTTCCAGGTCTGTTCCCCCTTGTTCGTCCACAAAGCTATGTCTCATTAAAGGGTCCCCAGTGACTTCAAGTGCATAATGTACTTTTGTACTCTCTTCAGATTTCCCAACTTGCTCACAGGGAGAGGAGTTTCCAATTTTATGAGTTCTGTTGCTGATCTGCAATTAGTATTGATTAGCAAAACAAAAATAATCTCAAAATAGAGTGGTCACCACCCTAGTAGGATGAGATTTGATCACTTAGAGTAACTCCATAAAAAAAAAAACACTTGGATTAGACCTAGAAGTCAAGAGACTGGGACTACTTTTAAATCTGTATCAGAATATCTCCCACAGGTGAGTTTGTTCCAGAGCTGAAATTCAAGGGTCCTGCTAAGCCCTTGATATCTTTGACCCAGATTCTTGATAGCCACACGCAGAGGCCAACAAGCAAAGGGTGAGGACGATGAGGAAGCATGTTACCTTGAATAAGACCAGGATGCGCTGAAGAGTACGTGGGATTCATTTTCTTTCTTAAACATCAATAGTGTTTCACCAAAAGTGTTTAGATGACCTGTAACTAGTCAGTCATTATTTTTCTTACATCACCCAAAAATATTTACAATTTGATCTGACTGGTATAAAGTCTGTCTTATGATGTGTAGAGTGTATTTTACTTTGAACAGAGAGTAGAAACAGTGGGCCCACATATTTGATCATATTTTGTTGAAATACTTCAGATATGGCACACATCATATTTAAATAGTAGCTAAAAATGTAGTTTTCTGGTTAGAATGCAGTGCTTAAAGATGAATTTAAAAGGAGGTCTTTAAGACTGAAGCATTCTGAACAAAGCTGAACTTGCAGGGATATTTTTCCTTGAAAGCTTTTTTGACCAAAAGTACATTAGCGGCAAGGAACTGGGGACAGATACATTGGGAACACCAGTTTCTAAAGTATGTAAATAATAAGGAAAAGCCCATTTTGTGTAACTGTAACCGTTTGCCAAATTCATCCAATCAATTCATACACAACTGGGTTTCCTATGGGCTGTTACAAAACCCCAACTGGTCCTAAGACTAATACATTTTTCTCCTTTCAGTAAATGTTTCTTCTTTATATACATTTTAATGTATTTATGCATGTTTTCGAGTAATTTTTCCAATTTTCTCCAACAAACTAAACTAAAATTTTCCTTTTCTCATTGTAGAACAGCAGAGTATGTGGATGTGTGGTAAGCACGGTGTGATAACAAAACCAAAAAGGATGGGCATTTGGGAATAATTTATTATCATGTAGTTTAAAATTATATATTCAATCGTATTTCTAAGCCATAGCTTTCATGTCATTATGACCAATTGATTAATGATTGGGCATTAATTGATTAATATTAATTAATGATTGATTAAACATACCCATTTCAACTTTTGACTCTTTTATGTCATTAAAATTTTAGAAAGCAGTATTTAGTTCTGTTTTGATTTGTTAAGTTTAAGAGACAGTAATGCCCTAAATACTTGCGTTTCGTTTGTAATATGTTTATTTACAAATTAGAAAAATCTAATTTCCATTTTTAAAGCAATTAATTTTCCTCCCAGATATCCCCATCCTTATTGTTTTAGAGTTGTGAAATTCACACATCATTCACTTGGATACACAAGATTCCAGGATGGGGAGCTCAATTATTGGTCCTATTTAGTGGAACCATGGGTTTTTGCATTGTTGAATGGGTAATAAATGACCACATCTCAAAATTGGACTCTGGACATATTGATTAGGACACATTCCATTTTCCATAATTTTTTTCATCAATTAGTGGAAACTAATAGCATTAAACTCTAAAATAATCTGCAAGCAGAAATCTGATGGAAAGGGCTTTGTCCAAACTTCAGATTATGATGAAAAATATTTTTTTAAATAGGGAATTTAAAACAATCTTTTGCATGGTGACTGTTTTCTTAAATGTAACGTGAATATTTGTCTTTAAGTTCTGGTTAGATAGTTGGAGCCTCACACTATGTAATATCTTATTTGTTGTCATGGAAGCTTTGTAATATCACAAAATTCTCCTAAGGAAGCCAGGAAAGCTGCAGAGAGGCAACACCAGTTCTTGTCACTAAAACTTTGCAGAGAAAAACAACAGATTTATGAAAAAGGAGTCACAAAGTTTCTATGTCTGGATGACCTCTCGCTTTTCTTAAAATTTCAGTTTTGATCACAGCGTTAAAGATGAATTTGGTGCTTCTTTTGGAAATGCTCCAACTAGTGTATTCCTACATTCCTGCTTCTGGTGGCTTACCTTTTTAAGACTGGAATCCCACATCAGAAATAGAAAGTCTGGGGTTTCAGAGACTGGTTTGGATATCATTCCTTGTGCCAATGGTTTCCATGCTAATTGCATTGCTTTGACATGAATAACGGCCTTTTTTTTTTTTTTAAGTGAAATTGGTGATGCACTTGCTCCATGCACTCCTGGCAGGTAGCACCCTGACTGCTTTCACTCTCTCCACAGTGAGGTATCATCACGTCTCTTCCCAAGGCTGGATTTGTCATTTCTTAAGCCTGAACTCCTCAAAAACAAGATAAACACATTTATCCTGTAGCAATAATATTTAGTGTTCTTATTCACTCTCCAAATGTTTTCTTCTTGAAACTCCCCACTTTACAGAACGCTTCATGTTAGCCAAGCGCTTTAGCATTGTAGAGAAGGCAGGAGAACAGAACCATGGGAGAGCAGGTAAGAGCCTCTGCAGTCTGTCTCTGTCCGTATGGCCTCACCTGTGTGTGCAGAGCAGGGGGACGGGGACACTGTCTCCTTATGTCTCAGGATGAAGAACAGCGGGAGGAGAGCTGAGACTTGGAAGGAGAGGGGCAGGCCCTGTGACAGGCTGGAGAACCATTTTGGGTGGCACTGGGTTTGTGGTTTCCATTGTGATTCTCAAAGATTGTGGCCCTTCTGTCACCTGTATTAGGAATGAGGGAAGAGCAGATAGATCCACCTGCAGGAGAAATGCTCCAAGCACAGCCTCTGCCTCAGGGCTGGAGCTCTTTAGGGCTGTGCACTAGCAGTGGACATCACAGACCATGCCTCGCACGTGGACCCAACTAAAACCAAGCAGGTGGAATCAGTAAATGCGCAGGAATGAAGGTGACAGGAGGGTGGGAAGCCCAGTGACCACAATCGTAGATCGAAGATTTCGTTCAGTAAGGAATAAAAAAATCACAGAAAGAGCATGGGAGTGTGGCCTTTCTAGGGTTAAAGATCCTTAAGCTGTAGAGAGAATGTATAAAAGGAATTTTCTCTCTGAAATAATTTATGGAAATGCCGTGCTCCCTTTGAAGGCTCCATGTCACCGTGTGGCACTGCGCAATGTTCTCTTTCTTCACCTGTCAGGCAAAGACCACCTCGAAGAGTCTCACTGCTGATTACTAGTTAATTGTCATTAATAAGTGACAACTGACATTATGGGGGCTTAATGCAGAGAGAACAGAAAAGAGCCACAGATATTCTAATGAGCTGACTCCTACGTGCCCTCTTTTGTTGTCGAAAATGAGGAGCTGTCGTCATTGTTCAGGAGATGGGCTTCAATTGCTCTGGAAAATATTCTCTTTTAATTTCTTTATGCATAGATAATTCCTGGTACTCTGTACTTCTCTCTCCCACCCCTCTCCTTTGAGCATGCACACACACACACACACACACCACACTTCCTCACTGTCTCCTATGAGCGTGCTAAAAGCTCCCAACTTAGGAAGAATCGTAAGTTATTCCTAGACAAGGAAGTAGTGCGCTCTTCAAAGCTTGTACTTACAGAGAAGATAGAAGAGGAAGGCCGCTGAGTGTCATAGTTTTAGTTGCCTTGGATGGGAACAGAGGTGGAAAGGTTCAGCACTGAGGAACGAAGGGTGGGAGGCAGGAGAAGGGGAGGAATTGATGTAACAAGAAAAGATCCACCAGTCACAGGCGGGAAGCTGAAAGTGATGATCAAGAACATATGAACACATGTCACAGCCAATCTGCCTGAGAGAAACGTTACTCTTCCCAGCCCTCGGAGCTTTAAAACAATTACGACAACAAAAAATCCCCACAGAATATTCCAGAAGAGAAGCCAGGAATGAGGGGAAATGATTCAATAGATATTAAACTTTGAGCTGCGTCCGTTGCCATTTGCTTTTGGTAAACTTTACCCAAACAGAATTTGCATGTTAGAAATTCTCACTCATCAGGACAATTGAGCACAGACTCCGAGTTCCTTCTTGGGGTGTGTGTGTGTGTGTGTGTGTGTGTGTGTGTGTGTGTGTGTGTATGCACAGGAACAGTGCTGTATTCAAATATTAGAGTAGAAAATAAATCCAAAAACATACAGTCTCTCCCCTTTACCTGTCTACCCCCTTTCCTTGCCCAGCTCCTGGTAACCATCATTCTACTGTCTGCTTCTATGAGTCTAACTTTTTAAAAATTCCACGTATCAGTGAGATCATGCAACACTTATCCCTCTGTGACTGGCTTAATTTACTTAGCATAATGTCCTCTAGGTTCATCCCTGTTGTTACAAATGGCAGGATATCCTGCTTCTTGAAGGCTGAATAGTATTTCATTGTGTACATATACCACATTAAAAAATAGGTGATGGAGAGGTTGATTAGCCTGATTTGATCATTCCACAATATATACACATAATGAAACATCACATCGTACCCAGAAAATATACACAATTATCTGTCAGCTAAAAATAAAATGAAATTTAAGAAAGGAAAATGTATAGCAAATAGTTTCTGTGTCTGCTCAAGCCGCTTAACAGAATGCTGTGTCTGTCTGTAAGGAAAGGGCAGCTGTTAGGGTGCATTTTCTCTCACTATCCGCTCAATACTGAAGATTTCCAAATAGGACCACGGCAGAATATCCTTGGAGTAAGCGTGGGCTGAAGCCAACAGGAACAAGATGTGTTGTTTTTCAAGTGCCAACACCTCCTAACAACAATTTTTCGTGCTATCAGATCATTTCACACCGTGCCATTCCACCTTCTCTCAAGTCTTATCACACAAATGCAGTTTCAAGCTTGATATTTGATGCCTGTACTGCTAAAGGGAGATATCCTGTCTTGTTCCTTAAAACACTGCTGTGGCAGTCATTTCTGTATGCACTGGTAAACCCTTTGCCCACGTTCATTTCTGTTCAGTGACAGGGTTTGGGAGAGGGGCAATACTTTGAATTGCAGTGAGCAGCTGGGTCTGGTCTCCTCCCACTTTGGGGTCAACCTTGACTTCCAGATGATGGTCCTAACAGGACAGAAAGAGAGGGTAAGAAATGACCATCCTGCCCTTCAAATCAGCTAATGGGCATCCGCGTCACACTGTTGACACATGGCGGGTTCTCCACTAGAGGTGTTTAAGTTTCGGATGCGTGTGCTGGTGTTGAACCCCATCGGGAGAATCACACACTTGTGTTGCTGAGTTTTGGCACCTCAGTTCTCAAGCTTTACATTTAGATTCGGTTTGTTTTATTTGAAAATGCTGGAGATGGGTCCCAGCTTGGTATCATTTGTAATGACACCAATATCCTTACCTAAGTTTTGCACAGAAGTATGGAAAAGGGCATGGTGAGCTTGCACCAGTCACTAGATAGCTGCCCCCCAGTGGACGGTGATCCATCGTTAAAGGACATGGTGAGCTTGCACCAGGCACTAGATAGCTGCCCCGCAGTGGACGGTGATCCATCGTTAAAGGACATGGTGAGCTTGCACCAGGCACTAGATAGCTGCCCCGCAGTGGACGGTGATCCATCGTTAAAGGACATGGTGAGCTTGCACCAGGCACTAGATAGCTGCCCCGCAGTGGACGGTGATCCATCGTTAAAGGACATGGTGAGCTTGCACCAGGCACTAGATAGCTGCCCCGCAGTGGACGGTGATCCATCGTTAAAGGACATGGTGAGCTTGCACCAGGCACTAGATAGCTGCCCCGCAGTGGACGGTGATCCATCGTTAAAGGACATGGTGAGCTTGCACCAGGCACTAGATAGCTGCCCCGCAGTGGACGGTGATCCATCGTTAATCTGTACTGTTTTGGCATCACGCTGTTGTGGAGACAACCTGAGATTCAGAGGCTGAAGGCTGGACTATTGCGTGAACCTCAGTTTCTTTGTGCATCAAAATTATAAAAGCACATGGGATGTTCCTCCCTCCATGCTCAATATGTGGAAGGGGCCTAATAAACTGCATTGTCATTAGACTTGCTCGATCAAGTACAAACACACCTTATTAGACAGCTCTCCTCTCTCATCTCTTGCTCACAAAAATATGAAGAAAGGCATTTTCAAATGTCTCTTTTAAGTTGATACGTCAGCAAATGCACTGGTGGATACCTGAGATCAATCATACGTTTGAGTTGGAATAATAACATATTAGTTGCCTCACGGGGTTCAATTATATTGGGGTGTCTTCCATTACCACCAATTTTCAGCTCCATGGCAAGAGAATGTAAGGGTCTAGACAAGAGGAAAGTAAGTCATGAAAGGTTTGGATTGACTGTCCAAGGTAGAAACAAATAGATATCTGGCTGGAATCCAGAATTGCTATGTCCTTCACCCGCTCACAGCACAGATTTCTGAAAAAGATGTGCAGAGAGGTTACTTGGCCAATGAACAGTTTTTCTTACCATACTGTTCTAATCACGGGCCTCACTGGGCTGGCCAGGGCAGCTAGATTAGAGTGTACGAGGGTCAAGAGGATTCCTTTGGCCTTGAGGAAGCAGGTGGAAACCCTATATCTTTCACCAGGAACCCAAACAGATTCCTTCTTAGGCTCCCTGGGACAGGTACTCCTCAGAGAACCAGAAGCTAGGGGCTGTTTCCTCCATTCATCAAAAGTCTCACTGAAACCACGTTATTATGTGTGGCCCTGACCCGAATCCTAGCTCCTCTCTTTGGGTTGGAATGAGGATGTGGAGAGCAAGTCCATGACTACCTCTTGAGTTTAGAAGGCAGATCCAACAGGTGGCAGATCCAGCAGGCTTCAGTCTTCATTCTGCCATGTTGAAATCAAAAGGATTTCAGTAGGCCCCCTAATCTGGATAATCAAGGAGACATCAGGTCATATTCTGGGACTGTTGTGATTGTTTTGTGTTTGGTGTATTGGTGATGTTCAGTTCATGTTCCAGACTGTGTATCCTTTACTTATTCAATTTGGTATCTACTTTAGGACTAAACATCTACTTCACCCTGCCTTCATCATCACCAGCTATGTGCACTTCCATGTTTTCAGCTGTTTGAGTCTTTGCTTGTCTTAACTTAAATCTTGACTTAGTTCACCCTTCTTTCTTTTAGCTCCACCAGCCTCAGTCAATGAGGTTGGTTGGTGAACACAGGCTCACAAAATGAGGGTCCCGCATGTGGCAGGTGGTGGGCTAGGAGCCCAATATCATTTACAGTGATGATGACAGACATGTTCTCTGGCCTCCTGCAGCTTCCAGTGAACTCATTGTTTGTGTTCAATTTCCAGGTACCTAGAAGCAAAGACATAGTTTTCCTCCTGAAATCTCATCCATGCATACATTCATTCATTGAACCAACATTTGCTGCTAGATGTTTGGTATTTTCGTAAATATTATAAAACAACATGAAGACTACAGTTACAGGTTAAATTCTGCAAATTGACTAAACATAGAGTCATGGGGGCTGTAGTGGGGATCACACGAGAGGCCAGGACACCAGGAGCTTTCAAGCTCTAGGAAAGGTTTCCTAAGGGAGATGATTGTCACATATTTTGGTTACAATTCTTTTCATTAAAATGAGTCTAGATTGAATTCATTGCAAAATCAGCTTTAATATCAATATTTCATGAAATGAGCTTCATACCCCAAATGACACTCCTCTCACTTCCGGGGAGGGGTGCTGCGAGTTGCTGCAGGCTGGGTAGTGCCACCTCAGTGGCATCGGTGTGAGCTTGAACTGCACAGCGTTTCTTTGTTCACAGACCCCCTCACCCTTTTCTATTGCTTCTTTATTTTTCTTGATGACCTTACGTATTTCTTTTCCATTGCTACGTAACAAATTAATCCCAAATTTACTCCAGTAAATGGTGACCTGTTAATCTCAGGTTCTGTGGTTAGGAAGTCTAGGGTTCTCTGTTCAGGGGCTCGCAGGGCTGAAATCAAGGCGGTGGTCCTTGCTGTGATCATTCCAGGGGCTCAAGCTCTGAGGTTGGCTGAATCCGATTGTTTGTGTGGTGGAACTGACACCCTCAAAAACAAGAGGCTGCCCCTGTTGTTTTTGCTGCCTGCCTTGGGGCCCCTCCACCACACGACCATTTGCTTCTTCAAGGCCAGCAGAACATCTCTGTGGCTTCCAGTCTCTTTTAAGGGCTCACCTGATTACATGGGGCCTACGAATGATGGTTTCCTTTGATGAACTCAAAGCCTGTTGTTGGAGGGCCTTGATCACACTTGTAGCATCCCTTCACCTTGGCCAAGTAAGGTAACCAGATCACTACTATACTGCTGATTCTCTGGCAGTTAGCACAAAGCAAAAAACGAAATGAACTTGTTCAATGTTGATTGTTTCATAGATGATGGTTTCAGGGGGAACCCTGGACAGTGGGGGCCCTTGGTGAGCCTGCACACCCACTTTGCTCTGTCTGCCCATGATAGGCTCTTCACACGTGAGCTGACCCTTGGCCAGGCGGGGCGACATCACAAGCACACCCACCTGGTCGTCTGTTTTGGAATCTTATAAATACCTTGAGCATCTCTCCCAGCAGGCTGTGTCTCTCCTCCTCAGTTGACTGAGAGGTCCTGGTGGAGGGGAGATGCTTCTCCATCCCTGGGCCATGTGGAGGGCTCGGCCCAAATGTGCTGAGCACACGTCTGTGCGTGCATCAGGATGGAAGGCAGCTTTGGTGACACTTAAGAGTGCTAACCTTGGAGCCAGGTCAATCCTGTGCTGAATCTGACTTACCTGTGTGATTAGACACGTGACCTGGCCATTCTGTAACCTCTTTGAGACTCAGTTTCCTCATCTGACATTTGAGGCTGACAATAGCACGTCCTTCCTCAAGGAGCTGATGTGAGGATTAAATGAGATAATCTACATAAAGTGCTTAGTGCAGACTCTGGCCTGGGGTATGTGCTCAATAAATGGGAGCTGTACTTATTTGCAAAAATTAAGCTGACCTGTGTTGACATCACTGATAATTTGTAGATAAACATATTCCATCTAAAATTTTAGTTATTAAATGGTGAGACGGGGCACAGGTCAGGTCAGGGAGCAAAAAAGAGAGCTGCGCGTGGGCAGTATTTAAGGCTTAAAAATCAGAATTAGGAAAAAAGTCACTTAACAGTGTCACCTCCGCGGCTGAGAGGACAGAACCTCCGCATGATAAAGGATCCGTGCGCCACGGTGATTTGAAGATGAGGGGAGGGTAGCGCGTTTTTAAAATAGGCCCCAGCAATGCAGTTAATCAGTTCATATTTGTCCAAAAATATTATGCAATTCTTTTAGTATATGGCTTGATCATATCTTTTTTTTTTTTTTTTTTTTTTTTTTTTTTGAGACAGAATCTCTGTCACCCAGGCTGGAGTGCAGTGGCACGATCTTGGCTCACTGCAACCTCCGCCTCCTGGGTTCAAGCGATTCTCCTGCCTTCCAAGTAGCTGGGGTTACAGGCACGCACCACCGCATCTGGCTAATTTTTGTATTTTTAGTAGAGACGGGGTTTCCTCATGTTGGACAGGCTGGTCTCAAACTACCGACCTTGCGTGATCCACCCACCTCGGCCTCCTCTGGGATTACAGGCATGAGCCACCACGCCCACCCGATAATATCAAAGTTACACATACATCTTTCGTACTGGTAATTGTTTCATGGAGCATTTATAATTACAACGTAAGTACATTTTAGATAAATAAATGTAAGACGATCGTGAAATCTGAGATCAGTTAAAACAAATTTGGTGAGCGACATGACGAAGTTGTACCACATGCACGTTTCCGTGGTGGCCTTGACAGTGTAGGCGGGGCTAAATGGAACCTGCGGCTTAGATGCAAACGCCACCTTCGAGCTCATCACCCCAGATTCACCTGGCACAAAGAGTGCACCTGAGCGAAGGTGAGCAAAGCCTAGATGGTGTTAAATACCCCTGAAAGAGTACGGCAGAGGTGACCTGTAGGGACTGCGCCGCCGGAGTTCCCCAAGACAGATGGCTAACAGGCCCACACCAAAAGACGTTATTTGGTCAAGGTTGTCATTTCTGCCGGTGGAGAATGGGAAATAATACGTTTTTGTTTTTGTTTTTGTTTTCTTTGTGGAGATGATGACTTTTGTCAAGACATTTTAGAAAGTGTTCATTTGGAAAGAGATTGAGGTGGGAAACTGTGCAAGATGTAACCATTCCGCGTGGGAAGAATAGCAGAGCAGGAGCTTCCTTTGGCTTCTTCCCATTCAGTGGCTGGTGTTTTGATTAGCCTGTACGTTAGGCTATCATTAGCGTCTTTTGAGGAAAAGTATTCCATCCATAAATATGAAAATAAGCCCATAATTGACCCTTGGACTGAATTTGTTTCCATTGGATTTTGCCATTGAAAAGGCACCTATTTGGAGAGTGCTGTGAGTGGGGTAAGCTGGGTGCACCCCATGTTTGATGACAAAGATGGGCCCTTGCAAGGCAATGCACCCAGGAAGGGAGGAGAGAGGGAGGGGAAGAGAGGGAAGAGCAGGTGATTTTTTGTTTGTTTGTTGGTTTGTTTGTTTTCCTCCCCAGCTGTAAGCACAATTAGGTATAACTCAGAAGTGGCCGCCAAGTATGTGCCCTCAGTGCTCATTAATTGGACAGCTATTGAAGAGCTGCTTATAAGCGCCAATCGCCATGTCCTGCCAGGTGTCGTGAGGGTCCAGGGTAGACACACGTGGGGCAGGTAGGGAAGGTCAACGTGTTGGGGTCCATTAGAGATGAAAGATGCAAAGTAACAAAACAGGAAGTGCAGAGGGCCCATCGGCCTGCAGGCTTTACTGAGACTGCAAATCCCAGGGGCCTTCTCTGTGGAACAGAGACCTGCGTGCCGATGTGTGCCATTCATTCCTCAGCCTTCCGAGAAGGGCTCCAAGCTGCTGCCTGGCCCGGCCTGGGGTGCGGTATCCGGTTGTTGTCTCAGCTTGCAGCCACAGCTGTAGAGTTGTGCTGCACAACCGAAAGGGTCCCTTCCCCCATTTTTAATTTTGCTTTTTCAGGAATTCCCACCACTGACTGAAAACAACATACGGCATTGCGATTGCATTAGGATCATTTGTGCATTTCGCCAGAATGGGGCTCACAGTGAGGAAGGAGTGATCACTCCAAAGCCTGGGGGGCAGGAGGTTTGAGGCCCCGAGTTCACACCCTTCCCAGAAACAGAGCAACTACGGGTTCCGAATCGGCGGGGAAGCCACTTTGAGATGATGGAACCCTCGGGAATCTGAACTCCTGAGTGTGTTAGGGGCTTGTGCGTGCTGCCCCTCCCGAGATCATCTGGCTGTAAGTCACACCGATTGCCATCTCCAGCCACCCCAAACACGCTTTTGCATTGCCACTTCTCCTTTGCTACTGTAAGAAGTGCTGGGCATGACTTCTGCTTTATACTTCATGGCATAGATTTTCCTCCATGTTTTGTCAGCCAGGAAAAAAAAAAATACAGGAATGGTGACTTCTTTAGGAGAGGAGGGACTTCTCTGTTTTTCCTCCAAAACCAATCCCCCTTTCTTTCTTCTCTTGGGATCTTCAGAACCATCTTTACATGCAAATGTTTTGTTCTGCTTCAAAAATACTGCCCTAATAAACTCTTTAATTTGACTGCGTGCATCAGGTTAGCAGTGACTTCAACCCTCTGTGCTGTAAAATCTCCTGAGATCCTCTTCTGAAACTGGAATCCCTCTGACCACTGCCCACGTGCAGAAATAAACAGACCAATAATGGTTCCCTGCTCAAGTGTCTTTGAGAAACACTGGGCTAAATACGGCTAAATGGAGTTCTTTATGACAAGATTCAATACACATTGTGACTTTCCAAGATTGACATGGTCTATAGCATTGCACAACATATTTGTTCATTTTGAGATAAAATACACATAACATAAAATGTATCATTGAACAATTTTTAAGTATGCAGTTCGGTAGTGTTAAGCACATTCACACTATTGCTACCACACAGAATTTTTCATCTTCCCAAACAGAAACTCTCTGCTCATTAAACAACACTTCCTCATTTGTCCCGCCCCCTAGCCCCGGCAACCACTCATTCTTCCTTCTATCTCTATGAATGTGATGACCCTAGGGACTAATGTAATGGAATCCTACAGTATTTGTCTTTTTGTGACTGGCCTATTTCACTTAGCGTAATGCCCTCAGGGTTCATCTGTGCTGTTGTGTGTGTCAGAATTCCCTTCCTTTTTAAGGCTGAATGATATTCCATTGTGTGCACACACCACCTTTGTTTATCCATTAAGCCACTGATGGATTGTTTCCACCTTTTGGTTATTTTGAATAATTCATGCAGCTGTGAACATTGATGTCCAAGTGTCTGTGTGATCCTTTCTTTCAACTCTTTTTGGAATATACCTAGAAGTGGAATTGCTAGATTATATGGCCATTCTATGTTTAACTTTCTGAGGACCCATCAAACTGTTTTCCACAGTGGTTGTACCATTTTGTATTCCCATAAGCAAAGATCCCAGTGTCTTCACATCCTCATAAATACTTGTTATTTTCCACTACTTTTGATAATAGCCATCCTAATGGGTGTGAAGTGGTGTCTTATTGTGGTTTTGATTTGCATTTCCCTGATGACTGGTGATGTTGAGAGTCTTTTCATGTTTATTGCCCATTTGTATATCTTCTTTAAAGAAAGTCTATTCATGTTCTTTGCCCATTTTTGAATTGAGTTGTTTTTTGTTGTTGCACTGTAGGAGTTCCTAATATACTCTGTATATTAATTCCTTATCAGATATAATTTGCAAATATTTTCTCCCATTCTGTGGATTGCCTTTTTACTCGCTTGATAGTGTTCACTGATGCACAAAAGTTCTTAATTTTGATGAAGTCAAATTTATCTAGTTTTTCTTTTGTTACCTGTGCATTTGGCATAATATCAAAACAATCATTGCTAAACCCAATGCCATAAAACTTTTCCTGTATGCGTTATCCTAAGAGTTTTTCGTTAAGTTCTTATGTTTAGTTTTGTGATTCATTTTGAGTAAATTTTTATATATGGTGTGAGATAAGGGTTCAATTTATTAATTTGCATGTGGATATCTACTGGTCCCAGTGCCATTAGTTGAAGAGACTGTCCTTTCCTCATTGGATGGTCCTGGCACCTTTGTCAAAAATGATTTGGTGGCTGGGCATGGTGGCTCACACCTGTAATTCAGCACTTTGGGAGGCTGAGGCAGGTGGATCACTGAGGTCATGAGCTTGAGATCAGCCTGGCCAACATGGCAAAACTCCGTCTCTACTAACAATGCAAGAATTAGCTGGGTGTGGTGGTGCACCTGTAATCCCAGCTACTCGGGAGGCTGAGGCAGGAAAATGGCTTGAACCCAGGAGGCGGAGGTTGCAGAGAGCCAAGATCATGCCACTGCAGTCCACCTAGGTGACAGAGCAAGACTCCATCTCAAAAAAAAAAAATGATTTGGCCACATATATGAGAGTTTATTTTTGGGCTCTACTAAATTCCATTGGCCCACAGATGTGTCCTTATGCCAGTACTACACTGTTTTGATGACTGTAGCTCTGTCATAAGCTTTGAAATCCAGAAGTGAGAGTTCCCCCAACTTTGTTCTTCTTCTTTCAAGATGGTTTTGGCTATCTCCCAATTTTTTTTATTATCAAGCACTTCCTTTTTTTTCCTGGACTTGTTAACATTTCTTAGATAAATAATTCATAGAACCGCAGTTCGAGCAACTTACTTCAAAAGTATATTTTTGTCAGCTTAGGTAAAATTAGTCTTTCCAACATTCTTATGAAAGCTGTTCACCTGTTTTTGTTCAAGATTGACATAAGAAAGTGATGGTCCAGACTGGTAAAAAAAAAAAGTAGATAAGTTGAATTTTATTCTTGTCCCTGAAACCTCACTGCTATAAAAGAAGCTGAGCCTTCTTGCCATCTTTTGGGTCCAGTGATGTCAATTCTCCTTGCCTCACTTTCTCTCTTCCCCATTTGTAAGCCTGGATGGCAGCTCAGGATGTTGTGACAATTAATGAAATGGAATCTGCAAAGTGCTTTGAATACTTTGAAAGAAAAGTGTCATGCACATTCAAGGAAAAGAACTAGCACAACTCCTGAATCAGTGCAAACAGAAATGTTCCCAGATCATGTTATGGAATATTACAGGTGGCACGTTCCCTTTTCTGGAAATCCTGAGATTATCTGAAATCTAGGGCAAGCACTGTAAGTTACATTATGAAATTTTGTTATGAAAAAATACTGTTTAAAGCAAATCAAACATGAATTACTTCCACTGCAATTTAGACATTGAACATTCCAGGACAATTTCAGGCTGCTGTGCTAAAGTATGGAGGAGTATTTGCCAGTTTTTAAGTCCACTTGGATACCCAGCTGTCTTCTTAATACTGTATTAGTCTGTTTTCACACTGCTAATAAGACATACCTGAGACTGGGTAATTTATACCAGAAAAAGGCTTAATGGACTCACAGTTCCACATGGCTGGGGAGACCTCACAATTTTGGCAGAAGTCAAGGAGGAGCAAGTCACGTCATACATGGATGGCAGTGGGCAAAGAGAGCTTGTGCAAGAAAACTCCTCCTTATAAAACCATCAGGTCTCATGAGAATTATTCACAATCACAAAAACAGAATGGGATAGACCTGCCCCCATGATTCAGTTACCTCCCACCAGGTCCCTCTCACAACATGTGGGAATTCAAGATGAGATTTGGGAGGGAACACAGCCAAACCATATCCATATACATAATTTTAAAAGGTAAATAGTTCCATAAGGCTTATTATGGGGGAAAAAGGCTGTCCCTCAATTACCCCTCCAGTTTCCTCATCCTAATGACAATTATTTTATTTCAAGGTCTAGATATTACATGACTTTCTACTATGGAGAGAAACATTGCCACCTTACACCTGCCTCTCTCTCCTCTCTCCACCTCATTTGTATATCTCTTGCCAGTATTCTCCCAATTGACCTACATGGTACCTTTTTGGTTTGATCAATAGTCCACTTTTACACTACCAAGACTTTGAAAATATATCATTTAGAGCTGAACCATATAGTGTACTAGGATTGAATTTCCCTTCTTGTGCAATTTTTTATTTTCCTGATGTGTGTGTGGTTTGGTTTATATTTCTATATTCCTGTTACTGATTCAACTTGAAAGGATTTGGCAAACTTAATTATTTCCATTTCCTTGATACATTTTCTGCACTTGGCTTCCAAGACACCCACCTCTTGCCTTCCTTTGCTTTTCTTGGTGTCCTTGCTGGTTCCTCCTTTCTCCCTGCCACTCAGCCCCAAGGTGTTCTAAGGCTTGGTGCTGGGCCCTTTTCCATCTTGTCCTACACCCCATTCCCTTGGCGCTCTCATTCTGTGTTTGGCTTTATATATCGTCCTTGTGCTAAAAATTCCCAGGTTTATGTCTCAGTGCAGACCTTGCTCCTGACTCCAGCCTCTTATGCCCCACTTCCTAAGTAGCACACCCACGCAGATGGTGTCTGGTTTCCCAGAGCTGCCCCAAAAGAGTACCACGAGCTGGTGGCTTAAACAACAGCAATGGACTCTCACACAGCGCTGGAGGCCAACAGTCCAAGGTCAAGGTGTCGGTAGGCCCGTGCTCCCTCTGCAGGATCTAGGGGGGATACTTCTGCCTTTCCAGCTTCTGGTGGCTCCTGGCAACACTTGGCATTCCTTGGTCTGCAGCTGTGTCCTCCGGCCTCTGCCGGTCTCCCTGTGGCTTTCTCCCTGTGTGTCCCTGCCACACATTTTCTCCTTTGATATCTACGGCAGGCCATATTGAATTTGGACCCACCCTGAAGACCTATTCTCAACATGATTACATCTGCCAAGACCCCCTATTTCCAAATGTGGTCATACGCACAGGCATGTGGGTTAGGACTTCATCATATCTTTTGGGGAATATAATTCAACTCATAATAGCTACCTACTGAGCGTTTCAACCGTAATTTGTCTAAAACCGAACATCTGATTGCCGCCACCCCACCACCACCACACATGCTACACCCACAGTGAAAACCTTGGTGGTGTCCTTGGAACCTCTCTTTATCTCTCGACCATGTCCAGTCAATAAAGAAAGCTGGTAGTTTCCACTGGCAGAATAGCCTAGAGGTCTTCTCCTTCCCTCTCTTCTCCCTGTTCCACTCCCCCCTTCATCTGGTCCACTCCCAACACAGCAGTTAGATTAGTTCTTTACAAACCTAAATCAGACCACATCGGCTGCCAGTCCAAAGCCCTCACAAAGGCCTTCCAGGCCCGTGTGACTCGGACCTTTGCCTTTTCTCTTGCTCCTCCACCTCCCACTCTGTCTTCTCAGCAATGTCAGCCTCCTTCTGTTTCTCGGGTTTGCCTGGTGTGGTCCAGCCTCATGGCCTCTGCCCTGGCAGTTCCTGCTGTCTGCACCAGCCTTCTCCAGGCACCTGCCCCACCAGCTGCCCTACCCGACAGTTCTGCCTGAGATGCCAGCTCCCACATGCTGCCTCCAAACCCCACCCCTGGAAGTCCAATTACCTTTATTGCTTCATAAGTAATTTTTACTGTTGATCTGATTGATTCTGTAATCTGCATTCAAATAAAATCCATACACTGCAGTTGATTAATATGTCCCTTAAATATCTTTTAATCTCTAAATTGTCTTCTCCCCCTGCACCTCTTTGTTTTCTTTGTGATGTGTTTGATGAGGAAGCTGGGTAGTCTGTCCTAGAGTTCAGTGCTGTCTGGGCTTTGCTGATGGCAGCCCCCTGGTGTCCTCTGACATGTGACATTGTCCCCTGTATTTCCTGTTGTTGGGTAGTTATATTTAGCATCTGGGTAAGATGGAAGCCTTTTTTTATGCCTATGGAAGTGAGTATTTAGTCTTTCTTTTTCCCTTTGCACATAAAAATATGTACTTGCTTCTTCAACAGACTTTCAAGTAATTGTCCTTATTTCAGATCTCTTTTCACCCCCACCTCCAGGGGTTGCAGGAGCTGCCAGCTCCTGAGCTTTGGTGGGAGGCTCTGGCCACACATCAGCCTCCTCTGGGCTGTTCCATGCTCCTGGCTCACTTCAGCGCTTTTGGGTCTGCTAAGACGATTGCTGTTGTTCCATCTGCTTTACAGCTTCCCACATTTTGCTGCTGACATCTCTCCCCTTCTCTTTGTCCTCATGGGTTTATGGTCCCCCCTCTTGTTTTTTCATTGCTCTCCTCTCACATTAGAGTGGTTTCAGCAGGGAGCCAACGTGAACATGTGGGCTTAATCCACCATCTTTAGCAGGAAGCTGCTCCCTCCTTCTTTCCCCATCAGCTTTCGGTGAGCAAATGGTACTCAGCACCTCCTGGAAGCCACCAAGAGCACCTCTCATACCTGTGCACACAAGGCCAGCCCCACCGCCTGCTGCTCAGGCCGCGGTTCCCTCCGTTCCTTCCAGAAACTCATGCAGGCACCTGGGAGAAGCTGCCTTCAATGCTGCCTGCTCTGTTGAAGGAGAATTCCATTTTCTCTTTCGTGGCTACTGTCTTATCTCAGGTCCCTTTGCCCAAGTCTCTAGTTCCTTTTTTTCTTCCAGCCAGTCATTTAAAGTTTATGGACCTTTTCCTGGCAAATCCATAGATTTTTTTTCCCCCTATCTAATCATGACCCTAATTTTAAATCTGACCTAAGCAGGGCACCTGCTGTGGTCCTCCCATTTACAGTTCTCTTGAGCATTTCATTCATTTATTCATCTGCCATTCTCTACTCTAGAAGTCTCTAGTAGCCTTTGTGCTTAATCATTATATTGATGTTGATTTTGAGGACTGTGAAATATTTTATGATCTCAACGTGTCTCATCAAAGCAATTGTTTCATGCTTTTCAGGTGCAGAGTTTGGAGGTCTGGTAATAGGTGCTCCAACCAATCTGAAGTTCTCATTTCATATACTGTTAATTTCCTTTAGAATTCATACTCTCAAAGCACTTATAGAATGTATTATTTACCTTGCTGGTAATTTGTATTTCCTTCTACCTCAATTATGCAATCTTAGCAAGACTACTCAAGCATTTGTCATTGTAACATTTCTATAAGATTCTTCTGCTGCATGTTCTTCCAAGATTTAGAAAGTAAACACACTGTCAGCTGGTGTCAGAAAACCTCACACTCTCATTTGAAAAAGACAGCTATGGAGTCCTCTTCTCTACACTGTAGTGTTATATAATAATTATAATATGAATAAGGTTATAGCTTGACCTTAGCTTTTCAGTACTTTTCCTCCTTTTCTTTTAAAAGATTGATTTAAAAAGTATCAGTGGGGAAAAAACTTATAGAAATACGACTTGAGAAATAGAAGTAGGTTTGCATGTATCAATTTTTTTCTATTGTCAGAGATGGGGCAGTTAGAGATATTAGGGTACACACACACACACACACACACACACACATACACACACATGATTTATTCTCAACAAGGGGCACAGAGTGAGCCGTTAACGCACAATTTCTATTAACAATAATGATAATTGTGTAAGTGAGTCTCCATTCATGCCTCTGGAAATTTACCCCTTACGGTCCACATAAATTTGAGCTGTTGACCATGTGAAATGTTATTTTATGGGCAATAAGGGCACTCAGAAGCAGCTGCATGTTTTCCTAAACCTGGCCACCTACCAGTATATGTCTGCATAATTCTTCCATTTTTCTTCCTGGAATCCAAATATAGTATACACCTTGCTGGTAAGATATAGGCAATCCTATACTTCTCCATCTCCCTGCAGTGATCATGGAACAGCTGCATCTTTTGTTGTGAAATCAGACAGTGGCCTATAATTCCTCCTTTCCGGTGTTTTGATTAGAAATCTTCAAGCTAATGTAGATCAGTGAGCTCTATTTCTTTATTTCTGTACTTCAGGCAGTATTTGTAGGATAGTATTTGAAAATGAAGCCTCTCACCACAAACAGGTTCTTTTCTACCCACACTCAACCCCAACACAAACACACAAACACACACACAGAAACATACACACACAAACACAAATACACACAAACACACACACAGACACACACACAGACACAAACACACACACAGACACACACGCTGGACAACTGCTGGGTAGAGTGTTAATCATATGGAATTTTGTCCTTTCTTTGAGTTATGTAAACACGGAACACTATACCATATAGTTTCTGAAATATATATACACAATGGAATACTATTCACTCATAAAAAGAATGAATCCTCTCATTTCTAACATGGATGAGCCTGGAGGTCATTGAAATTGGTCAGGTACAGAAAGACAAACACTACATGATCTCACTCATATGTGGAATCTAAAGAAGTCAGTTTCATAGAAGTAGAGAGTAGATTTCGAACATGGTGAAACTCCGTCTCTACTAAAAATTAAAAAAAATTAGCCGGGTGTGGTGGCTTATGCCAGTAGTCCTAGCTACTTGGGAGGCTGAGACACGAGAATTGCTTGAACCCGGGAGGCAGAGGTTGGAGTGAGCTAAGATCGTGCCAATGCACTCCAGCCTGGGTGACAGAGTGAGATTCCATCTCCAAATAATAAGAATAATAATAAAGAAGTAGAGAGTAGAATAATGGTCATCAGGGTCTGGGGAGGTGAGGAGGAAGAGAGGGTTGGGGAGAGATTGGTCAAAGAGTACAAAGCTACAGTAGGATGGCAGGAATAAGTTCTGTCACTCTATTGTACAGTAGGATGACTATGGTTAATAATATTGTATTATATATTTCAAAATAGCTAAGGGAAAGGATTTTGAACGTTCTCACCACAAAGAAATGATAAATGTACAAGTGATGGATATATTAAATAGACGTATTTGAGTTTTACACAGTGTATACATATATTGAAACACCACACTGTACCCCATAAATATACGAACAATTATGTGTTAATAAAAGCAAAATTTAAAAAAGACAAAAATATCTAAAAATGAAAGTATCACAAATAGGCAGCAGTCTGACTGTTTGCCAGCTCACTAAAGCATCACATTCACAATGCCCCAGATTACCTACTGCTCGGGTTTAAATGTGTCTTCCAAAGTTCATGTGTTGGAAACTTAATCCCTAATGAAACAGTGTTACGAGGTAGGGCCTAATGAGAGGTGTTTAGGTTGGACGAATGGATAAACGCCACTGTAAAGAGGGCATGCAGGAGTAGGTTTCCTCTCTTTTGCTCTCCTGCCACAGGAGGGCACAGTGTCCCTCCCCTCTGGAGGATACAGCATTCAAGGCACCATCTTGGAAGTGGGGGGCAGCCCTCATCAGCCAACCAAACCTGCCAGCACCTTGATCTTGGACCCCCCCAGCTGCCAGAGGGGCGAGAAATAAATTTCAGTTGATTTCAAATTATCTACTCTTTGGTACTCTGTTATATAGCAGCACCAAATGGAATAAGACATCTACACAATTCAGGGTGATTCAACCCAAAGCGGAGGTCACCCACACGTAGCGCTTCACTTTGGCTGTGAAGACTCATTCAGCAGATGATTAGTAATCCACAGATACTAGTATTAATTATTAGTGTTTTGGTATTTCTTCTGTTTTTGTAAGTATGTGTAATCAGTGTCTCCCACCCCACAGTTTGTGACGTCCATGCAGGCAGGGGCCATGATTATTCACACACCATGTGTCTGGCCCATGGTAGGTCCTGTGTATGTGTTTTTGAGTGATGCAGGCATGGCCACTGTCACCCATATCACTGTGTTCTGAAAGCCCAGGACCAAAGGGCAAGTTGATATTGGCCCTACCTCCCATTTCAACTGATTTCTTGGTGACATGAGTTTTCACACATAAATGGAGTGTTGTTCATTTGCCTGTCCCTGTGCCTGCAAGTCTTCAAGCAATAAGTGAGTGTCCAACATGTGCTTGGGCTTGGGATCTTCACCTTAAATAGAACGATTCCTCCATCACTCTCCCCTACAGCCTCTGTAGAGAGAGAGAAAGGCTGTTGGCTTTTGTACCTTCACTTAACTTTACATAAAGACTTCAGGGCTTCAAACTGAGTTTGGCTTAATTCCAGTTTAAGGTCTTTTATATTATTTGCTTGGTTTAATTCAATTTTTAGATTCTATCTTTAAAAAAAGAAGGAAAGAAAGAAAAGTAATCGACTTTTGCAAATTGATGCCCTTAGCTTCTGATTTTTGTTTCGGTCTGATATGATATTTTTGTTGTATTTGTCATAGATGTGAGGAAGTGAGATCTGGGGGTGAAGGTGGACATGCCACCATGCCACCCAGACCCACAGAGGGTGGTGCTTGGAGACCAAGACCTCCAGCATGTCCCTGCACACTAGCAGATGTCTTACTTTCTGATGATAACATTTCTTCCCACCCTGCTCTGTGGCCTAGAAACAGAAGGTCTTGTCCTTGGAGTTCTTGAAATAAAACAAACAAACAAATTTAAGATGGAAGACAAGAGGCTGTTTCTCCTCACTTTTAGGGGTCAGGCCTTACCTATATTCAGTGGGAAAAAGGGCCTCCTCCCCTTCCTTCCCCTTCTCACCTCTCTTATGTCTGCCCAGCAAGGCCAGAGGAAGCCTCCAAGCCGGGGCCAGGGGGACACTGGGCATATCCAACAAGTTTACAAACTTTTTAAGGCAGGATTTTATTTACGTATTCCTTTTTAAAAGCTGTATTGAGGCATAAATGAAACAGGAAAACAACTGCACGTATTTAATGTGTGCTTGGTAAGTCTGGACAGATTCGGACCTCCATGACACCATCACCAGTCTCGGTAACTGACACACCCACAGCCCCGGGTTCCCTGGAACTTTCCTTCCTCTTTCTCGCTCTCTCTTTTTTTCTGGTGGTAAGAACACTTCACATGAGATCAACCCTCTCCGTGTATGTTGAAGCACCTGATACCCGATTTTATCAGCCTCTGGTAGGCCCGCAAGCAGACTTCATTTTCTGAAATATGTTTTTGCAATAATTTGATTAATATTAGTAGAGAATAGAAGACTCTGTAGGGTTTATGGAGGGAAATAAATCTTCCAGCTCGCATCTTCCAGCTATTTGGTTACCCTGAGGAGGCAGCCCCTTAGAATCACCTAAAATAGGCTCCTAGCGATTCTTGTGACTTCCTTATTTCCTTAGCAGGCCAGAGATGCCTTCTACCTACTCACACGGACACCTTCCTGCGCCCGGCTGAGAACAGTTTTGGAGTAGGAGGCTGGTCCTCAGCAGTCCTGGTTTCTCATGAATGGGCTGATAAGCAAGTCATACATCACCACGTCTACAGACAGCCTCCTGCATGCCCCACGCTGTGCTCAGCCACCGAGAGGCATGAACTCATTTAATTCCCTAAAGAGCCTTGGGAGCCAACTAATACTGTACAGCTCACTACAGATGAGGACAAAGCAGAGGCCCTCGGTTATTCTAGCCGGGGAAAGTGACTTCTCTGGGGTCTCACAGCCAGGATGTGGCATGGTCAGGTCACTTCTGATGCTGATTCCAGACCCACGCTCCTGACCCCTGAGCACGTGATGTCCTTGACTAGAAGCCTTGACCTCTTTGGTTTTCCAGCTGCACATTCTAGGTTCATATCCAAAACTTCTGGAAAAAAGTGTTCCCCAGCAGGCTGAATGTCTGATGTCACCTGCTCCCACGTGTCTTTGCCGATCCTGGACTGAGAGTGATTCCTTCCTAGCCGCCCTGCGTGTCATGTGACGCGCCTAAGGAAGGAATTATGCACTAAGTGTGACTCTCTCTTCCACACACGAGGGAGCCTCCTGGCCTGGAGTATAGGT
This sequence comes from Homo sapiens, assembly GCF_000001405.40. Taxonomy (NCBI): domain Eukaryota; kingdom Metazoa; phylum Chordata; class Mammalia; order Primates; family Hominidae; genus Homo; species Homo sapiens. The sequence goes on from NC_000018.10 coordinate 75,316,879, forward strand.
CCCAGAGTTGGGTACAGTGTCTCAGGAGCCAGTGACGAATTTGTAGATGGGGCAGAATGTGGCTAGCCATGGCAAGTTCATGAGCCACATTGGTCGGTCTGAGAGCCCTCTCCAGGGAAGGCCTTGAAAGCCACGCCAGAGGACAGACTAGCGATGGCCCATCTCAAAGCCCTGCGTAGATGTGGGGCAATCAGGTTGAAACTAGAATTGAGGGCACGGAAGTGGCAGGAAGAATGGTCTCACCCCTGTGACACAGGGTGCCATGGTCTCTGGAGTGGGGCCCTTAGCCGTGCTGGGGAGAGAATTAATGACCTCTACCCAGCCCTGGCCCCAAGTGCTTCCACCATGAAGACTGTAGGAGCCACAGAGCAAATTGTATGGCAAATGCCAGCTGGTATCACCAGCGCCTGTGTGGACTGTGGCTTTGAAGTAATCCTTCTATTTTGACTGGAAAAAAATTTCATATTAATGTGACATCTTATATTCATGGTCTAGCTCCGCATTGAGCTTTAAGACTTAATTGAATTGGAGGTCTCTGAAGAAATCGCCAATCGCAGAGTGTGAGCCCAATTATAGGGAAGTGATAGTTCCAGCGGACGGCAGCTGAAGTGCAGTGAAAACGTGGTCTGCCGCGTTCGGCGTGCATTTCACTCGGGGCGTGGGGTGACGATGGCGCGGGGCACAGATGTGCCACTTCTGTGCCTGTAATGCCGTTATTGATACACTCCGGTTGCCCTCTGACCTGTCCCATGCCTGTGTAATGAGAATGGGAGAATTTCTCATTATTTGGCTTAAGTTCAAACAAAATGCTCATATCTATTATTGGAACCGAGACCGATTTGGCTATATGACTCTCCGTGAGTGTGGAGACTTACTGGCTTGGTGTGAAGATAGCAGGTTTTTATGGATAATTTAAGTCCCACTCCCTGCCAGAACTCTCTACAAACAAGTCCAAGTGGTATCAGCTCCACAAATCAGCTACAGACTACGCTGTGTTCTTCGATGTGATGTTCTATAAGTGGAACGGGGTCTTTTAGGGACTTTTCTGAAGTGCACCAAGTTAGTTCAGTATGAGGAACTGCGAGTCATTTTTCAAAGAGCCGGTAGGTGCTGCATCGGAGCCCTTTAGTGATTGATAGAGGCATCACGTCTCCTCTAATTCTGCTGGAGTATTTCATTTTTGAGTTGGGTGTTGGACTAGTGCGTTATAAAGGTATTCATCCATCCATCCACTCATCCATCCATTTAGCCATCCTTCCATTCATTATAATTAAATAATTGCATGGATATATGGGTAACAATCTGAGTGACAAATTTACCAAGGAGAGAGGCAAGCATTGCTGTCATGGGAACCAACAATAGGGAACTCTGTGAGGTTTCCCTGAAGAAGTGACAATTTAGCTGAGATTTTTAGGTTGAGAGGTAGATAACAAACCTCTTCCAATATGTTTACTTTTCTTCCCTGACTCCACACTTGTCTGAATGCAATCGAAGGGTGGCCATTGTCTGAGGCACTGTCCCCAACCCTCAATGGCTCCTACTAACAGCAAAGGCCACGTTCTGGGGCGCTGGGATCCTTCTGGCTCACCAGAAGGGCTGCACACAGCTCTGCTCCAGGTTCAGGAGAGGAGAGATGTGAACTCCAGGAGAGCCCTCTATCACACCGGGGACAGGAGTGGTGTGTCTGTGAGCCTGTGTGAGTGCATGTGTGCCTGTGGAGTGCAATGTTGATTTGCTCCATGTGCCTTCATTCTTATGACAGTGGCTACCATTTATTTAATTTACTTCCTATTCTTTCTGTTTTCATGGAATTCTTTCCCATTACTTCACTTAGTTAATTCCTTCTCACGCTTTAAGCCTGAGTTTAGGCACCAAATGCCTCTAGAAGACTTGCAAGCATGGTGAGAGACACAGCCTGGACGTCTAGCAGATCCCGTGCACCTGTCCAGGTCTCCTTAGGAGAAGGCATGGTGGCTCTCCAGTGCTGTGTGGGCTGGAGCCTGCTTCAGGTGCACTGTGAACATTTATTCCACCATGAATGCATGATATGAGTTTGGCATAGGGAACATGCTGGTCCATGCTCCCTCTGAAGCCTCTAGGGGAGGATTCCTCCCACCTCTTGCAGCTGCTGTGGCTTCCGGCAGTCCTCGGCCCTTTGGTTGGTGGACATATCACTCCACCCCGCCTCTGTCTTTGCATGGCGTTCTCCCTGTGTGTCCCTGTCTCTGTGTCTTCTCTACTATAAGAACACTGGTCATAATTCGGAGGGTGGCAGGGCTTTATTCTTGGGCTGCAGGGGCTGAGCATTCAGGTAGAGACGGTCCGGGGACCCCAACGCGGGAGACAGCCGGGAGCCTGGCATGGCCAGAGAAGGTTTCTGTGTCTCATTTGCATGGTCCCTTCAGAGGCCCTGGGAGCACTGTCTTCATGTGGCTGTCTGATTTGTTTTGAACAATATTATATTTCTCTTAAAGAAGCTCTCCTAATAATATTAACATAGAAGGCCCCAAAACTCATCTTGGGCACTTGGCAGGGCTAATGGCTGAGTTGTTTGGTGATGGAGGTTCACAGACAAAGAGACACAGAATAACGAAGCAAAAACACAAAACCAGCTTTTGGAGATCTGCTACCTTGCTAATTTCCTCCCTGCATTAGGCATGGCTGTGACTTGCTTTGGCCAATAGAATGTGTGAGGAATTATTGTGAGTTACTCCCAGGTAAAAGCCTTTGAGAGTGACTGCATGATTTGATTAGTTTCCGGTGGCTGCCATAATGAAGTACCACAAACTAGGTGTCTTAACACAGCAGACACGTATTGTCTCACAGTTCTGGAGGCTTTAACTCTGGAGTCAAGGTGTCAGCTGGCCCATGCTCCCTCTAAAGCCTCTAGGGGAGGATCCCTTCCACCTCTTGCAGCTGCTGTGGCTTCCAGCAGTCCTCGGCCCTTCGGTTGGTGGACATATCACTCCACCCCGACTCTGTCTTTGCATGTTCTCCCTGTGTGTCCGTGTCTCTGTGGCTTCTCTACTAATAAGGGCACTGGTCGTATTAGATGTAGGACCCACCCTCGTCCAGTACGACCTCATCTTAATTAGGTATCTGCGACAACCCCATTTCCAAATAAGGTCGCGCTCTGCTGCACTGGGAGTTAGTTCTTCAAGATATCTTCTGAAGGACACAATTTGACCTCTAACCATTATTTCCTGTTATTTATTTTCCCTTGCTACAATGACCAGGTCTGCCGGCCTGCGGCCCCGACTCAGGACAATGTGAGCAGAGCCCCAAGTTGAGCATGCAGCCTGAACAAGGACAAAATCTTAAAAAAAACTTTTAAGCCAGTGAGGTTTTTTGATTATTTATTAACAAGAAAACTTAGCCTGTCCTGACTGACAGACCAATGTAAATCTTAATACTCCACTTTTGTATTTGTGTTGTTGTTTATAGCTTTGTAGAATATCTATTCACTCACTGCATGAATTCTGTTCCTCCCCCAGCACGTTTCAGGCGCAGCTCGATGTGGCCCTGTGATTGGATCTGGCCACCAGGATGTGAGAAGCAAAAATGTGAAATTTCTGGGTCATATCCTTGAAAAGAAACTGCTTGTCCTTCCCCTTCCCCCGCATCAGATGGGCTGGAGGGGCAGCCAGGTGGCACCCAACAGAGGGCAGCAGGGTGGGAATGACTGGGCAGGGCGGGGAAGGGTCCTGGCTCCAGGAGGACCTCTTGGAGAAACAGCCCTTCCTGCCCTGAGTTACCCACCAACCTTAGAAGGGAGGAAAGAGCAGTTCTCTCGCTCCAGCCATCACCATTGCACGTCTCCTTAATACAGCCGCGTGGATGGCGCCCAGGTGGGTGTGCATTCCCGTGTGAAATGTGAGGACTGAATGTGCCCCACCAACTTCCTCCTCTTGGCCAATTCACAGTGCCTGGCATTGCTATTATTTATTTATTTATTTGGAGAGGGAGTCTCGCTCTGTCACCCACGCTGGAGTGCAGTGGCACAATCTTGGCTCACTGCAACCTCCACCTCCCATGTTCAAGCAATTCTCATGCCCCAGCCTCCCTAGCAGTTGGGATTCCATGTGTCCGCCACCATGCCTGGCTAATTTTTGTATTTTTAGTAGAGATGGGGTTTTACCATATTGGTCAGGCTGGTCTCAAACTCCTGACCTCAGGTGATCCACCTTCCTCTGCCTCCCAAAGTGCTGAGATTACAGGTGTGAGCCACTGCGCTTGGCCTGCTATTATTATTTTTAGTTTTTCTTATGGTTGCCTTTGTGACTTTAAAGAAAACGCCCTTAAACTTCGATTTCTTGCTCCCTCAGCTCGACTCCCTCATTTATAAGATGAGGATATTAACACTCCAACCTTTTCTTCCACATCCTGCTTTCTGTCAGCTGCAGTTTTACAAGGTTGTTAACATTTACATTATGTCCTACAACCACAAACAAATTTGTTCAGGTGCATTCCCAAAGTTTAAAACGAAAAGGCTGTGTTTATGTGCTGTATAAATAGCGCTCAGCGAGGGCCAAGTCAAGTAGGTAGACGGCTTCTTGCTCTAAGCCCATTGAAACTAAGGTGAGTCCCGGATTCTTCTGTGGTGGCAGTACCCGAAAACCAAGTTCATTCACCCCTCACCTGATGTGTGAAGTGCCTGTGGTGGACCTGCACTTTCTAGGGCCTGCATACACAAACGTGAACAAATCAGTCCCAGATCCTTGCCCTGGTGGAGTTTCTAGTCCATCCTGGAGAGACAGGAATTAACCGAGGTGCACAGGGCATACAGGGGACCAGGGAAGCCAGCAAGGCGGCAGGCAGGCTGTGTGTGGGTGTCAAGGCCAGACAGGGTTGCAGAAGAACCTCGCTGAGAGGATGATATTGGAGTAAAGGCCAGAAGGAGACAAGAGAACCCAAGCTGCAACACTCTGGGGAGGAGCATTGCACAGAGAGGGCCAATGAGTCCGGGGACAATGGTAGGCCGAAGTGTCCCCCCCACGGAGCCCAGCGAGGACTGGGGTCTCAGAGCTGCAGAGTGGGTGCTGGAAGGTCACCTGCAAGGTCACGGCTCTCTCCTCGCTGCAGAGGGAGGGTTGCAGCTGGGGGCACAGTGGCTGCCTGCGGAGCTGACCCACCCAGGGCGTGGTTCAGAGCTCAGTGCTGGTTAGGAATGGAGGGGACAGAAAGGACATCATCCCCTGTCAAGCCTGAGGGCAGCCGGAAAAACCCAGCTGAGCCAGAGGGGAGGAGGCTTCCGGACAGGTGGACAGAGACAAGGCTAGGAGTGAGGCGGAGAAGACCAGGTCTGCTGGTTCCTGAGAGAGGGTCCTGGTGGCCACTGTGGGGGACGGGTGGCCTGCCAAGCTTCCTGGGGTGGGAATTTGGGGCAGGGCCTTGAGGTGACTGCTGGGAACTGGGAGGGGCCTAGTCTGGCAGTGTGAGGAGGGTGGCTGCCTGGGGGGCACTGGCAAGGGTCCCCTGAGCGTACCCCGTGGGAGTGGCCTGGAGTCCCCAGGAAGCGCTTCAAGGCTGTCGGTGCCGGGCTCGTCCTCAGTCCAACTCCCAGACTCCCTTCTCCATGCATGAAGGCACAGTCGGGTCACTCACCTCGACATGCTACCACCAAGGACATGTGAGCCAGGCGTACAGTGAGCCTGGCCTACAGTGAGACGGGCACACACATTCACTGTGGCTTCTTTGAGAGGAGGACAGGGCATGTGCCTGGGGCCTGCCCTGCACCCACGGCTAGTCCAGCCTGACCCGGACTGGCTGGCGTTTGCTCCCAGCTGTATTTAGTCTGGTTTCTCCTTTTATGTTATACTGATTCAATGAAATATGTTGTAAATGCGTTATATATAAGTGTGGAAAATAAGCATTGCTTCCACTAAATTTAGGTTTACTCCTTTGAAAGACTGACAATAGCAGGTTGCTAAAAACTGTATTGCTGCCAAACTAGGTGTGAGAAAACAGCTGACAAAATTATTAAATCTGGAAGAATCCCACTTGTCACCTCTTCCCACCCCATCTTCCTTTTTATTCTGCTCTTCTGTACTTTCTTCCCCTTAGGGCCGCGGGCCAGGAGACCCCCGCCATGTGGCCTCGTCTGCCTTCCTGACCTGAAATCCCCCTCTCCTCCTCCCACTGTTCTGAGCTCTGGGCGTTGGTCCTGAGGCTGTCTCAGCAGGATGGAGGTGACAGCGGGAAAAGGTGAAGAGAGCCGCCGTGGCATCAGTGGACCTGGGTTCCCATGCCAGCCATGTCTGTTACATGGCAATCTCCCCAGCACTTCTGAGCCTCAGGGAATTATCAGAAACATTGGTGTGATAATAATTCACCTTTCAGGGCGGGAGAGAGGACAACAGCAGCGTTAGTCAGGAAAGCTGTGGCTTTGGAGGCCGACTCTCCTTTGAATCCTGGAGCTTCCTCCTTTTGGCTGTGTGACTTTGACAAGACACTCACCCAGTGCGTTTTCATTTCCTCAAGAGCAAAATATTTGAGACAACATCACGTCCATGAAACACTTTGCACTGTGTGTGACACACGTAAATGCTGGTGGTACCAGTGTGGTCATATTTACACATGGAAGAAAGGCCGGAAGGAAAATTCCAGATACTGTGGTGGTGTTATGGCAAGTTTCACTTAATTGCTTTAACAATGATGCTCACCATAAATGTATACAAACTCTATTTTTCAATTAAAAAAAGATGTGAATAAAATTTTTCCCAAATTTTATATAATGAATAAATGAATATATGTATGTATATATAAAACATTACTTTGAAACACAAGGAAAAATGTTATAAAATAACAACAGCAACCAGCCGTGCCTGCACATCCATCCCACAAAGCTTACCTGAGCCCTCCCTTTCCTCTAAAACCTTTGCTTATTATTAATGCAGTGATAAAGTGGTGAGGTATGTAGGAATTTACTTTTTTTTCCAACCTAAAAAATGATTAAGTTAGGCACATTTGTAAGCTGCAAAATATTAGATTGAAAATTAAACAGAATGTTTACAATACTTAAGTGGCCACGCTGCGTTAGAAAGAAGTTTGGCAAGAAGACATTTCTGTTCATAAAAAGGCTTCCAGATACCTCATACTGGCCTAATCGACTCTCCCTGGATGGGATCACTATTCAAATCTGCCAGAAACATCAGCAGACTCTTTCTAGAGCTATTCATTTTGTAAATGGGAAGTTAGTTCTGTCTAAAAATATGCAAAATACATTAGAAGGTAATTGCAAGACATTCAGGATTTGAGAAACTTGCTTTGATGACTTTTAATGGCAAAATGTACTATCATCCATTGGGCATGAGTTTATTTTGTTAGTAATGTTAATTGTTCAAACAGCCTTAAATGGCTTAAAAAACCTGGCAAACACTTGTCTAATACCTCGAAGCAGATGGACAAATTTCTAATTAAATCTAAATTTATTCTTGATCTCTAACTTCCTTCAGTAAAAGACAAGGATCTTAGTGCACTTTGACTTTGCCGTGAACCCCTCCCGCTCAGCCTCCCCCTCTTGCTGCTTGGAGAGCAGTACTTCCCAAACTCTCCAAGGGGGAGGATCGACCTCATTACTTTTTACACATGTCCCAATCGGATTGGGAATAGCACTGATTTAGAACTTCTGCTTCAGCATTTTAAAAGTCCACAAACTTTAGTCTTTTCATTAGTTTCTTCTTTTTAAAAATTTATTTAAAAATTAGCAGTTAGATTTATCAACTTTTTTTTTCTTTTACTGATTTCTTGGCTTGCTGTTATACTATACTCTCCCCTTTCCTTCTGGGTTTACTTTCCTTCTTGCTAAGCACATATTTTTGGTAGTTTTTTCTTCCCTCCAAGGGAGGGTTCTTAGTTAGTAAATTCTCAGTTTTCATAAGCCTGGAAATTTCTTTATTCTATCTTTATTATCAAGTGATCCTGTGTCTGGATACAGAATTGTAAATTGATAGTGTATTTTCTTCAACATTCCAATGATATTACTTCATCGTGTGCTGGCATCTTTTATATCTGATTTGAAATCTGCCATCACTCTAATTGCATGTAATCTTTCTTTCTAGTAATGTGTAAGATTTTCTCTTTATTCTTGATGTTTGGTCCAGGTGCTTTCCCTACTTGTTCCCACCCTAGCACATATGATGCTCTCTACATAAATGAGTTTTCAGCAGCCCCTATTTGTGGCTGGGAGAGCTCAATCTCAGCTCCTGAAATGAGAATGGCTTCCACTCCTTGTACTGGTGGGTGCTTCGGACCTGTTGCTGCATGGGAACCTGGACTCTTAATTGCTTCTGAGTGTTTCTGGATGGTAAACCTTCTCTAGATACACTCATTTCCATGTGGCTTTTTTCCTTCCTGTTTAAGGAAGGGGGGACATAGATGTGCACATTATACTTGAGCTTGGCTAGACTTTTCAATCATAGATTTATATCTGTTTTGGTGGCTGTTTTCATTTCGAGGCAGAGTAGACACCCTTTTCCTCCCACTAAGTAAACTAAGGTCCCTAGTCATTATGTAGGAAACAAATATAAGGAGACTCTGAATAACAGAGAGAAGAAAGTAGATGCCCAGAGATGTTGGGAACCAAGGAATGACACAATGGTACATTCTATGGGTTTTCTTTTTGCCTCATATATACTAGACATGGAGCTGAAAAAGCTGACAACCCAGAAATGCCAGTTGGCACAGACAGAAAGCCCTCTCGCTATAGGACCAGGAGAAGAGCAACCTAACAAAACAGAAAACTTTACAATAACTTCTCTTCTCTAGCAAAAGATGACAAAAAAGAAAGAAAAGACATAAACCTACAAATTCCAGAAGCTGCATGAACCTCAAGCAGAATAAACCCAAGTAAATTTACACCAAGACATAGCATCATCAAATTTCTAAAAACTAAAGATAAAAAAATATTGAAAGCAACAAAAAAGAAGTGGACCTTACCTAGAGGAAAGAAACAATTTTGATGACTTTGGATTTTTTTTTTTATGAGAACCCATAGAATGTTTTTCAAGTGCTGAAAGGAAAGAACTGTCAACCCAGAATCATATATTCAGTGAAAATATTCTTTAGAAATAAAAAGGAAATCTAAACAGTGTCAGATGAATGAAAACTAAAATAATTTGTCTCCAGCAGACCTACTCAAAAAGAATGGCTAAAGGAGTTCTCTTAAGAGGAAGGAAATAATAAAAGGGAATCTTGGACCATCATAAAACAAAGAAGAACAAGGTAAGCAAAAATATTGGTAAATATAATAGAATTTTTTCTCCTCTTGACTTTTCTAAATCATGTTTAATGGTTGAAACAAGAATTAAATCACTTTCTGATAAAGTTCTAAATATATGAACAGGATATATTAAAGATAATTATGAGGGGAAGTAAGGAATGTAAAAGGAGGTAAGGTTTTTATATTTGATTTGAACTGGTAAAATGATGAAACCAATAGACAGTGTTACACTAAGAAGGATTACAGATAAAATCAAATTCTAAAAAATGTTCAAGTAATCCACAGGAAGGCATGAAAAAGAACAGAGAGGAACAAAAAAACAGCAAGAACAAGCAGGAAAAAAAAAGTCATTCATGAGACCTAACATATCAATGATTACATTAAATGTAAATTGTCTAAATACATCAATTAAAAGACAGAGATTGGCAGAATAAATTAGAAAGCACGACATAACTATAAACGTTCAACAAGAAACTTACTTTAAATATAACAATACAGCAAAATTGAAAGGATAGAAAAAGATACATCATGCAAACACTAATCAAAGGAAAGCAGTAGTGGGTACATGAGTATGATTATGATAAGAAAAGTATCAAATCAATAATATAAGCTCCCACCTCAAGAATCTAGAAAAAAGGTAAAATAAATGCAAAGCAAGCAGCAGGAAGGAAATAAGAGCAGAAGTCAATAAAATTGAAAACAGAAAAACAATACAGAAATATCAATGAAACAAAAAGCTGTTTTTTTGAATAGACCAATCAAATTGACAAACCTCTAGCAAGGCTGGCAAAGAAAAAAAAAAGAAAAAACAAAAGTTACTGATACTAGGAATGAAAATAGGGTCTTACAAACCTCACAGGCATTTCAAAATGATAAGGGAATTCTGGGAACAATTATACATCCATAAAAATGGCAACTTAGATGAAATGAACTAATTCTTTGAAAAACAGAAACTGTCACAACACATCTAATATAAAAATGAATACAAGGAATAGCTCTATATCTATTAAGGAAATTTAATTCATAGTTTAAAATTTGTCATAAATTAAATCTCCAAGCCCAGATGGTTTCACTGGAGATTTCCACCAAATGCTTAAAGAATTATTTTCACATTTACACAATCTATTATAGAAAATGAAAGAGAAGGGGAACATTTTCTAATATTTTATGAAGTGATTATTACTTTGATGCCAACACTAGACAGTACAAAAAAAGAAAACTATAAGCCAGTGTCCTTCATGAATATAGATGTGAGAATTCTTTACAAAAAAATTAGCAAATAAAATTCATCAATGTATGGAAAATTATACACCCTGACCAAATAGGGTTTGTTTCAGGGATATAAACTGGCTCAATATTCAAAAATCAATTAACATAATTAATTATTTTAACAGGCTAAAGAAATCACATACTCATATCAATCAATACAGAAAAATCACTTAACAAAATTCAACATCCATTCAAGTTAAAAAAAAAAAAACCTCAGAGAAACAGAAATAGATGGCAACTTTTCAACTTGACAAAGGGCATCTGCACAAATCCTCCAGCTAACATTGTATTTAGTAGTGAAACACTGAATGCTTTTTCCCTAAGATTGGAAAAAAAGCAAAGATGTCTGTTCTCATTACTCTTATTCGACATTGTGCTGGAAATTTGAGCCAGTGTAATAAGGCAAGAAAATAAAATACAAGGCATATAGATCAGAATGAGAACGTACAATTCTCCCTATTAGATAACATGGTGGTCTGTACAGACAATCCCAAGGAATCTTTCAAAAAACTCCTAGAACTAATAAATGAGTTAAGCAAGGTGGCAATATGCAAGATAAACATATAAAAACTTCTATATACTGGCAATGAACACATTGAAACTGACATTAAAAATACAACTACCATTTCCAACCACCCCCAAAAATGAAATACTTAAGTGTAAATCTAACAAAACATATATAGGATGCATACCCAAAATATTGATGAAAGAATCAAAGAATATTTAAATAAATGAAGGGTTATACTAAGATCATGAATTGGCAGATTCAGCATTTTGAATATATTGTTTCTCCCTAAATATTAATAGACATAAAGGTTTAACACAATTCCTTTCAAAATTCCAGCAAGGTTTTTTGTAGACATATACAAGATTATTGTAAAATTATATTGAAATGCAAGGGAACTAAATTAGCTAAAATAATTTTCAAAAAGGAGGTTAAAATGGGAGCAGTCTATTGAATTTCAGACTTATTATGTAACTGCAGTAATCAAGGCTGCATGGCATTGGTAGAAGGCTAGCTGTGTAGATCAGTGCAAAAGAATAGATAACCCAGATATATACCTCACACAAATACAGACAACTTACTTTTGAAAAAGGTGCGAAAGCAATTTAATGGAAGAAAGACAGCCTTTTTTTTTTTTTATATCTAATGGTGCTGGAGTAATTTGACATTCCTATGTCCAAAACAAAACAAAAACAAATCCTGCAACCTGAACCTCATATCCTATACAAAAATTAATACAAAATGGATACAAGATGGTAAAATGTAAAACTGTTAAAGTTTTAGAGAAAACATAGAGAACATTTTCTAACCTAGGGCCATCTAAAGAGTTCTTAGATTCTAGACCAAAAGTATGAGCCACAAAAGAAAAATTTGATAAATTGGATTTCATAAAAATAAAAAACTTCTGGCTGGATGCGGTGGCTCACGCCTGTAATCCCAGCACTTTGGGAGGCCGAGGTGGGCAGATCACAAGGTCAGGAGATCGAGACCATCGTGGCTAACACGGTGAAACCCCATCTCTACTAAAAATACAAAAAATTAGCCAGGTGTGGTGGTGGGCGCCTGTAGTCCCAGCTACTTGGGAGGCTTAGGCAGGAGAATGGCGTGAACCCGGGAGGCAGAGCTTGCAGTGAGCCGAGGTCGCGCCACTGCACTCCAGAGCGACAGAGCGAGACTCCATCTCAAAAAATAAAATAAAATAAAATAAAAATAAATAAAAAACTTCTGCTCCATGATAGACCTTGTCAGGAGGATGACAAGATAATTTACAGAAATTGAGAATGTATTTGCAAACTACATATCTGAAAATGATTAGTATCTAGAATATATAAGAAGTTTTCAAAATCTAACAGTAAAAGAGCAAACAATCCAATTAGAGAATTCACATAAGACGTAGAGAGACATTTCATCTAAGAGGACATACAGATGGCAAATAAGCACATAAAAATATGCTCAATATCATTAGCCATTAGGGGAATGCAAATTAAAATTGCAATGAGATATTATACATCTATCAGAATGGCTAAAATAAAAAATAATGACAACACCAAGGCCTGGTGAGAATGAGGAGAAACTGGGTCACTCAAACCTCTCTTGTGAAATGTAAAATGGTATAGCCATTTTGTAAAACAGTTTGACGGTTTCTTAAAAAACTAACCCTGCAACTACCATATGACCCAATAATTTCACTCCCAGGCATTTTTTCCAGATAAATAAAATCATATGCCCACAAAAAAACCTATGTATGACTATATACAAAAGTTTTGTTGTTTATTTATTTTTATTTATTTATTTTTTTGAGACAGAGTTTCCCACTGTCACCCAGGCTGGAGTACAGTGGTGTGATCTCAGCTGACTGCAACCTCTGCTTCTCAGGTTCAAGCAATACTCATGCCTCAGCCTCTCCAGCAGCAGGGATTACAGGTGCACGCCACTATGCCTGGCTAATTTTTGTATTTTTGTATTTTTTTTAGTAGAGATGGGGTTTCACCATGTTGGCCAGGCTGGCCTCAAACTCCTGACCTCAAGTGATTCACCTGCCTTGCCCTCCTAAAGTGCTGGGATTACAGGTGTGAGTCACCATGCCCAGACAGCAGTTTCATTTGTAATAGGCCTAAGCTAGAAACAACCTAGATGTCCTTCATCAGTGAATGGTTAGGCAAATTCTGGTACACTCATGCTGTGGAACTCTACTCTGCTAATAGGAAGGAGTGGATTATCAATGTGTGTAATACCTTGGATAGATCTTCAGGGATTTATGCTGTGTGGAAAAGAGCGCATTTGTATAACATCATTGAAATGACAAACTATTGAAATAGAGAACAGATTAGTGGTTTGCAGAGGCTAAAGATGGAGTGGCAGCAGGAGGAATGATGAGAAGGAGAGAGGGGCGATCCTGTGTGGCTGTATTGTTCGGTATCTTGCCTGTCTCTGGGTCAACATCCTGGGGTGTTGTTGTACTGTAGTTTTGAAAGATGTTGCCACAGAGGAACCGGTAAAGGGTAGATGGGATCCCTTTCTATTATTTCTTACAACTGCAAGGGAATCTCAAAATGAAAAGTTTAAAGACATTTTATTTATACTGGGGGATTTAGAGCAGAATGAAGAGATCAAGGTGTGAGTTTACAAGGTCACGTGACTAGAAGCAAACAAACATATTGGTAAAATATTATAGTAAATCAAATTATTGCCTTGAAAATGTGTATAACACGAGGACCAGCCTATCAGTGGTAGAAGGAAGATGCTTGACCTCTAAGTGAATTATTGCTAAATTATCTGCTGTTGGCTAAGTGACATCTATGAAACAATTATGGAACAAAAGTCTAGAAATATTTGATTAACAATCACAGTCTTTCCTATATAACTTATAAAAGTTGTGAGATAAAAGAATGAAATAAAAAAATGAGTTGAGCCATCTGAGACTTTTTCTTTAAAGAACCTAGGCTCTTTAATGGTGGGATTCCACTTTCCAGTTAGGCAAATGACATGCTGACTTGTCTCAATAAGTATTTTTTCTACTGGACAGTGATTTTCAGGTTGGCCTACTCACCATCTCCAGGCGTCTCCCTGTGAAATTCAGCACACCAACAAAATCTCCCTTCTTTCTTCTCCTCTTTCTATTTTTAATGCAAAGAATATTATATTTTATAATGAACCCAAGAAGGCTGTAAAACAGATTAAAATCTGTTTCATGTTAATTCCAATGCTTAGCACTGCTTCTCTTCAGCTATATTTCCTATTACAATCAGAATTTAAATATTCTAATCAATTTGTTGTAGAAACTCCTATGGCTCCCTGGGCCATTTGCAGGAAAAACCTCATCAGTTTTTCCTTTTATTTCTCCTCTGCCTCCTGGTTTTTCCCCTTCTACTTCTTCATCTTCTTCTTTCTCTCCTTCTCCCCCTCTTTCCCTTCCCTTCTCTTCCTCCTCCTCCTCTTTCTTTTTTCTGTAGATGGAGAATTCATTGTGCTTGGGGTGACTGATTGAATTTTACCTGAGCTAAATTATAGCTGCACATTCTAGTAATTGCAGGGGGCCACACAGAGAAACAAAGCGTTGACTGCTGTTGTACTGGGATTTCCCAGATGTATAATTTCAAATTGATATGGAAAAAAGCCTTGCAATGCATTAATAATAGCGTAAAATGTAACTTAGTTGGCCAAGGGTGAGCAGAGGCTTTATTTTCTTAGCTACAAAACAAGCTATAGACCTCAGGTGACTAGCATTTATTGTTAGAATGGGTTTTCTATTGCATACCTTCTGAAACACAAAATAGGAAAAGATTTATACCAAATCCTGCGCTCATTCATGGCACCCTGCACTGCATACCCAGAGAGCATATGTGAAATGTAAAAGCTCTGGGTTGTGGTTATTTTTTCCCTTTTTACTCAGTAGTTCAAAAAGCAGAGGTTTTTCTGTAATTCAAAAGCACCCATCCACATCTCGAGGAAGGAACAGGTCACCCAGGCTATTTCTTTTATACAGTGTCATTATTCTCTACCTAGCACCTGACAAATATCACTCTTGTGACGTCAAAAAAAAAAAAAAAAAAAAAGGAAAGGAAAGAAGAAAAAAAGAAATCAGAGGGAAGTTATATAGTTTCCTTAATATCTGACGGCCCTGGGCCATGAAAGCTTTCTTTATTTTAGAATATTGGCACATGTGTGTGCCGGGCCATGTACTTACAGGACAAAGAGAAGGCAAGTGTGTGTTTCTAAATCAAGCCCAAGTTACAGGAATGAAGAAATTTTGCACAATTATGTACTAGACCCAAACTCAAAGGGTATTTTTTAAAGTGTGGCAGAAAATGTATTTTGGTGTCATCTGTGTCTTTTTACCAACACATGGACTACTTGGGCTGTCCAGGTGGAAGTCACCAGAGAGTCTGACAGAATGAGCTGTCGGTTGAAGCCAACAGCTGGTTACCATCACAGTATTTAGGTAGTGTTTCATGAAAATCATTTCTTTGGCTCTTCCCAACAACTGGGGAGTAGCTTTATTTTTCCTGCTTCATGGTAGATGAACCTGAGATGCTGAGAGGTTGAAATTCTAAGAAGGTGCAGAGGCTGGAGGAAGCGCTGGGTGTGTCTGATTCTAGAGACGGGTCCTCTACCTTCATGATGCTTGCATCTGAATGGCTCCATCCAATGGCTGGGCCAGCTCTGTGGTTTGCTTCTGTTGATCAGGTGCTGGGAGACAGTGCAGGCCCCTCCTCACCATGACAATGGCGTGGCCTTGTGTTCAGGAACCTCCCCACCCTGGTTATCTGCCCTTAGATGAGACATGCAAAAAGGCAGCAGGGATCCCCAAGGGCACTTCTCTGTTCAACGTTGGGCCACGCTTTTCTCCCGTGGTTTGCACAAGCTCAGGACTTCTTGTAGGGTGGAATGCCAGAGGGTGCTCTGCAAAGAAGGGGCTCAGTGTTCTTCCTGTCTCCCAGGAAAGCTGGTGTGGGCATTTATTTTTATCAAGCTTCACATCCTAGGGAATGGTGCTGACTTTTCCTTGGAGATGAAATGTAGTAACAGGGGTTGGGGAGCCACTCGGACCCTAGCGTGCCTTCCTGATGTGCTATGTGGGGGCCTGGGAGTGGGCCAGCCAGCTGGGGGAGGCACTTCTGTTCCTCTTGGCTGTGTAACCCTGTCTGGGATGGGGTTGGATGTCCACCTCCCAGGGCTCCTTGAAGACAGGACCGCGGCAGTCTCCTCCCAGCATCCAGTGCCGTCTGCCCCACACACTCTCTAGTGACCTCATTTAACCAATTCTCTTCCCTGGTTCCACGGCCGTCATCTGAACGTGACCTCTCTCAAGACACAGGGCGAGGACCACGTCTCTGCTGAATCCCAGCCCAGAGGAGCTTCTGGCAGAGAGCTGACATGCGGCAGGTATTGGAGAGAATGGGCGCAATCCTTTGCCACCCTGAAAACATGGCTGCCAGCACTCTTCTTATGCACTTGGTCTTTCTAACTCTTAGTTCCTTTATTTAGATTCTACCTTAGAGCTGTTTGAGGGATTACATACATATTTGAAACAATTGATGGTTAGCAAGTGCTCAGTAAATACTAGTTCCCACCCCACCTGAGACTGTGCAAGTGGGTGCCGCGGGGGACGCTGCTGTGCCTCAAGGAGACAGTGACAGCTCTTCGCCATGGCTGTTGGAGGGCATTTGGGATCTCACCTCTTGGGATCAGGAAAACAGGATCTCTACACCACTACCTCCAAGATCCCTCTTCATTAACTGTTCCAAACCCAGCTCAAAGGTCAACACAGAACTTGTGCAAATGTCACCCATGTAACATTTTCCTGATCACACAGGTTAACCGATTAGCAATAACCCGATTCTACTGGACAGGGTAGACCAGGGTCTCTGGGGGTCCCCAGGGGATATTTAGGGGATCTGTAAGATCAAAATTGTTTTATTTTTTATTTTATTTATTTTGTTTTTTGAGATGGAGTCTCGCTCTGTCACCCAGGCTGGAGTGCAGTGGCGCGATCTTGGCTCACTACAGCCTCTGCCTCCTGGGTTCAAGTGATTCTCCTGCCTCAGCCTCCCAAGTAGCTGGGATTACAGTCATGCGCCACCATACCTGGCTAATTTTTGTATTTTTACTAGAGACAGGGTTTCACCATGTTGGTCAGGCTGGTCTCGAACTCCTGACCTCAGGTGATCTGCCCTCCTGGGCCTACCAAAGTGCTGAGATTACAGGCACTTTGTTTTAATAATAATATTGTTGTTATTAAATTGCTTTAATAACAATATTATTATTAAATTGTTTTAATAATAAAATTGAGATGTTCTTCTCCCTTTCTCTCACAAATGAATTCTAGAGGTAACATGATGTGTGCTATGACAACAGGCCAAATGTGGAAGGAGAGACTGATGATCCGCTGTCTTCTCTGAAGCCAGGCTTTAAAAAGACCTGCACAAAGCTGAAGCAATGCCACTCTTCTCACTGTTTGTTTTTATTTTGGAAAAACAGTTATTTTGAATTAAAAACAAGGTAATGTGTAATGAGTTTTCTATTGTTAATTTTCAATGAATTAATACATTTCTCAGTTTTATTTATTTATTTTTTTGAGATGGAGTCTTGCTGTCTCTCCCAGGCTGGAGTGCAGTGGTGCTATCTTGGCTCACTGCAACCTCCACCTCCTGGCTTCAAGCAATTCTGCTGCCTCAGCCTCCTGAGTAGCTGGGATTACAGGCATGTGCCACCACGCCTGACTAATTTTTTTGTATTTTTAGTAGAGATGGCATTTCACCATATTGGCCAGGCTGGTCTTGAACTTCTGACCTTGTGATCTGCTCACCTCAGCCTCCCAAAGTGCTGGAATTACAGGCGTGAGTCACTGCGCCTGGCCTATCAGTAGTTATAACCAGACAAACTGAAGCTCCATAGTTAGATGTAAAAGACTGCTGAGACCCAAATGCTTGAGACCCACTGTGGTAGAAGATTCCAGAAAAATTTCTTGGGGGCCACCTGATACTCACAGTCATTGCCTCTCTCACTCCCTCCTGCTGAGGTGACATTTGTGTCATTATTCACCACAGATGCTCCTGACGCCAAAATTACCACAGCCCCAGGCCAGGGGAGCAGAGACCACCCTGCCTTTCAGGCCCCAGGAGCCTCACCCTCCCATGTCCTGGAGGTTACGGGGTGTACAGTGTGGCCAGGGTGACATCCTGTTTCAGCCTCTTCAAGGAGTAGCTGCTAACATGGCCTCTCACCCTGCCAGCACCCTGCAGAGGGTCTGCCCACAGCTGGCGCCCTTCATGACCACGGGCCCAGCAGCCCCAGGCTCCTGCAGTCATGCCAATGGTGCAGGTGCTGGGCAGGGGCTCCTGTGAGGGACGTCCCTGTCACAACAATCTCCTTGGAGCTTCTCCTCCTCCCACTCGCCTCCCTGATGCCATCGACCTCAGGCCACATTCCCACATTTCCCTCTCCCGTGGTTCCAGGAGGCTCTGCCACATCTCCAGGCGATGGATTCTGCCCTGGGATTCCCGCCAGCTCCTGAGATGTGTGACTCCCAGGTGAGGAGGTGAGACAAAAGCGGACCCACCACTGGAATGTCGACTGTGTGCATTGTGTAATTGTGTGTGCACTCACACATGTGTACTCACGTATACTTGTGTGTGCATGTGTGTTGTGTGTTCATGTATGCACTTGCACATGTGTATCTGTGTGTGCTGTGTGCTCATGTGTGTACCCATATGTGTGCACTCATTTCTGTGCATGTATGTTGTTTACTTGTGTGTGTGTATGTGTTGTGTAATTGTGTGTGCACTTGTATATATGCACTTGTGTGTGTGTTGTCGTGTGTGCAGTCTTGCACGTGTACTCACGTGTGTAATGTCCTTGCATGCACTCATTGTTATGTGCTCGAGTGTGTGTATGAGCACTCATGTGCACCTTTCCCTGTGACCCCGTGTCCTCTCCCACTGCCCACTCACTGCACTGATGGCAGGGAGGGCCTTGCTCTGAAGGCACCGGAGTCTTCATGGATGGCCACAGAGGTGGCATTAAGTGGGCTGTGGGTCTACACGTTCCGGACGTGTTGCTCCATCCAGTTGTGAAGTGTGTGGAGCGTGCACAGCTTTATCCTTTTGTGCTATTTATCCTCCTCTGAGCTCATGCTCTTTTCTCAAGACCTTCCGAGAAAATACGTGTTACCTACTATTTGCACCCATGTAAGGTTATGTTTTGTATTATAAATATTTATTTAATTAAGAAATGAAATAAAAGGCTCTATTTTCTCAAAAAAAAAAAAAAAAGAACAATGGGTTTTGAAGCATGGGTGTGACTTGTTACACAGGGGAGAGGGATGCCTTTTCGTCATTTTACTGTAATTTGTAGTGACTTACCCGCGCACAGATGACTGAGCTAGAGCACTTGGGTTTTATCCTTCCTGTCCTTCACCCCCAAATAAAAAGAAGACTGTATCTGAGAATAACAATAAAGATCTTCATTTTGTGGAGAAGGGGTTGCAAAATACAGCTTTCTCTAGGAGATGCACCCGCAACTTGGAGCTATCAAACCAGAAATGGCCAATTAAAGTCTTCTCCCTGCCCCCTTCCTGGCGTCCTGCTTCTGCGGCCTGTCCCCTGGGGGGTGCCTGCCCATCCGGAGTCTGGCAGCCTGGTGTCCGCTGACCCGGGAGCACCCTTCAATCTCTACTTTCTGTGATTCTAAGCCTGAGTTCATTATCTAGGAAAGCACATTAAAAATAATGGCGAGAAAAGCACTTCAACACCTCTCACAAATTATAGCTGTCGGATGCAATTTGGATTAGATAAAATATATATGTATTTTACGGAACAAACATGCAGACAATAAAATTTTGTTTAATGGTAACCATATTATTCAGTGACTCAGTAATGGAATTCAAAACTTTATTATTGAATATTCCTTTTGAGGTCACATAACTGAACCAATGTCTTTCCCCAGTTGTGTTTAGAGCTATTCCCCTTTACCCCTGATCATCGATTCGGGTGATTTTAGAGGGTCACTTGCCAGCACGGACGGGCATCAGGACATTGAACTAGAGGGAATATGTGCTCTCCAGACTGAACTCCTCTGGCCGTGCCCTGGGGCCGGGCCAGGCCTGGGAATGGCTTGGGGGCTGAGGGTGCTCTAGTTGCCCTCTCTGATGGGACAGTCCCCAGCAGGGTTGCTGGTGCATAAACAGTGAGGGCTGGAGGCCCCAGACAGCTGGAGGGTTGAGTGTCTGCTTCATTCAGGTGCAAGTCACAGGACATCTGGATGCAGCCTGACTCCAAGCTTGGAGGCAGATTCTTTTTGCCCTGAATCCTGCCAGCCAGACGTCTAGCCATTGCACATCCCAGTAAGGGTCTTGTGTCCTTTTTCAGAATGAGAAAAACTTTCCCCGAACTCTCCTTTCTCCTCCAGGTCTTATTGGCCAGAATTATGCTGCAGGTCCAGACCTACGCCAGTCACTCAGCTTTGGATAATTACAATCCCCCTTTGGGATGGGGAATGTTACTCACCCCTGAAGGATGGGGCCACTGGCAGGAGAGAGGACAAAATTCTTCTGTTAGGAAGGAAAAAGGGTGGGGGCCGAGGGGCACAGGGATGGCTAATGAGTGGGTGACCTAAAGCGTCTGTCATGATGTCTAAAAGAAAACCAACCAGGGTCCAGCCTGCTGCTGGGAAGATGAGAGAACGGTGGAGGTCAGAGCCAGGTTAACCCAACATGGGGCTGCAGGTGGGGCCAAGGCAGGCGGGAAGAGGACGATGGAATTAAGGCGACAAAGAGTGCTCATAAAGTGCAAGAGGCTGTCTTCCAGTTTCAGTCTCAAGACTGTTTTGTTGGTCACTTACTTTAACAAGATCATAAAGCTGTGGGATCCACGTTGTCCTGTGAGGTTCTTGGTCTTTTCTGCTCTGCTGAGGTTGGAAACTTGAGGTAGCCCCAGTGTCTTCTCACCATGCATGTCTGAGGAGCAGCCACGCGTGAACATTTGGTGCTATAAGGAGGTGCTGCTGGGCCTTATGGCATCATAAGAGGAAAATGAACATTAAGAAACAGTGTTGTAATTACTAAAGACATCACTTTGTCTTTGGGACACTCAAGCTAGGGCAGGATGAAAGCCCATCTGCTACCTCTGCTGGGTCTTTTGTTTAAAGTCTGGGTGAGGCGACGCTGGTGGATGGTGTCTGCAGTATCTTTAGATCTTTTTTGAGTGCACAAAATTCCCAAACAGTCTAGATCGGTCCCATTCAGATCAATCTCCATTTCTTGTTAATTTATAAACTGTGTAACTGGCACCAGGTTCTCCTGACAGTGGCCTTTTCTTGTAAACACTCTAACACTCAGCTCAAACACACAGGTGGTCCCGTGACCATCAGCGATAGTCCTTGTCCCTGGCATGTCAGAAGCCAACGTGGCATCTTTCAGCAGTTAAAACACAAATATTCAGATTTTGTACTTTTTTGCCCAGTGAGGTGATAGTGAAAATTTCTATTATAAAAGGTTTGGGAAACAGAGTAAGCCTGAAAATACTTGTTACATACAATACAATTATCTTGGTTAGACGGATTTCTATAATGAACGTGGTCGAGTTTCTCCCACGTGGTGGGAAACGCTGATGTACTGAAGGGCAATTAGCTGAGGCCTTGTTGAATCTTGTGGCTACAGAAAGTCGAATTGCCTCTGGCGACTATCTCTTTAAGAAGGGAGAAAACAAAACAGAAAGAGAAAAAAATCACTTTATGAGGGTCAATGTTGAAACCTAACTCTTTGTCAGGTGAATTTGCTAAACCCTTAAGTAAAATAATCCGGGGGTGGGCGGGGAGAAGGGCTGTTTATCTGGGACTATAATTGAGCAGATCCATTGAATCAGGCTTTAATAATTAGCCAAAGAAGACAGGCCTGTGATGAGATGTCCCAGACATACAGATTAATTACATTGAGCGCATAAATTCTCGTAGGAATCGTTTCTGTTTCCAGACATGGGACGTTACTCTTTATGATTTTTATGATGCAGAACTCCTGGGGATGTAACACACATTCCGAGCACGGTGCCTGCATCAGGAAGCAGCCCTCGACGGACTGTTCACCCTCCAGGAGGGCTGTACCTGTACCTGCGAGCAGACCCGGCTACCCTCCCCACTTCATAAAACAGCTCGCAGTTCTCCTTTCTTTCCAAACAGGGCTGCAGGAAGATGGGAAGTGTCCGCAGAACAGGAAGGAGAGAGGCAGATGGATGCCCAAGTCCATAAAGAATGGAATGGCCTCCCTTCAATAATGATGTATCTATAAAAATAATAAAGAAGATACAGGGCCACAGTTTTATGGCATTTATGTCACGTGCTGCTGAACACTCACTCCCTAGAAGTGGGTCTCACTGCTTGGAAGCCTGAGCCTGTCCCGCCAGGTGCAGCCCTGTCCCGGCTGTGTTCTGTGCGTAGACAACCTGCACTGTCGTGACCTGTGCCCCTGGGTCTCTGCCATCCATATTCTGCTCATATCTGTATTGAATTCCTCAGGCTTGTTGAATTTCCTGACATTTGCAACAACGCTGCTAAATTAACTTTTCTAACATAAGTAGCTGCAAATATGTTCATTAGGAACTTTTCGGGGCTCCTGTTCAGTGGAAGTGACAAAATGTTCTTGGGTGGAGCTTGTGTTGAAAGCAAGAACAAAGTGCCGTTTGTTGTCCTTGGTGGGATTATTCACCTCCAGGTTAACTCTACACCGAGACCGTATTCCATCGTGCCTCTCTTCCCTTCAACGTGTCGGGGGAACGGATGTGAAGTTTCTCTACACATGAGCATCAACGATTGGCTTAATGTTTGTGCAGAGAGAGCTGTGTGCTGACTCTACAACTGCCCACCGAGCAGTGGCCCTGGAGGTCTCCAGGCCAGGGACGACCTGATCCCATTCCGCATTTCTCCCACGGCCAATGTCTTCTCGGTTGCCAATGAAAGAATCTCCCGGTACTGGCCTAGCTGAGGCTGGCAGCTCAGTAAGATCAAACTTCTGGCTTTAATTCCTTTTACATCCACATTCTTATAGGGTTGGTGGCCACATTTAGAATTTCACCCAATTCTTAAAAAATGCCTCCAAACACCTACTTAAATAGTTGAACATGATAATATTGATAACATTGGCTAGTCATTTTCTTCCTTTTTGTGTGTATAATTTTCTGCAGCCGGCCCAGCCACGTCTTTTGTGAGTGCTAAGGCAGCCATCTCCTGGGAGACAACAACCTCATCCCTCCGGTTCTCCCGGCTTGGAGCCTTGCCCATCGCTCGCTGTGCCTCTTTTAAGATCTGAACTGACTTGGCCATGGAAAAACGCAGCTCTTTGACAACAAAACAATCCCCCATAACACCGCTGATTTAGTAAGCAAAGGTTTACAAATAAAAAATGGAAATGCGTCCCCTGAAGGGAGCCGGGTGTGAAGGGTGCTCAGGCTCTGAGCCGGAATGTGGAGTGGCGTCTCCCAGTGCCACCGCCGCGCCAGGCTGCAGGCCCACCACAGTGAGGCTTTCCAACCATGTGAACTGGGAGGATGGACGGCGGAGGGAACACACGACCAGAACCTTTGAGACCGGAGCACTGGATCCGTTGATGTGTCCTGATATACATATTCATAACCTGGCGGTTCTAGGAGCCTGGGTAGGCAGGAGGGACTGATGAGGAAAAAGTTGATTTATGATGATCTCAAAAACATGGTCTCCAAAGATGTATTCTGCAGCTCTGAGACCTTAGGTTTAAGCTCTATTAATTTTCCAGAGCTGTCTGGGACTACCCATCTGTTTAAAGGTTAACTGTCTTCACACTTATGAAATGGGTATTTCTGTTTTGGTTCTTACTTTGTTCATGTTAATGATTTATAAAATACAAAATGCATAGCTAGTGAAATAGCTTTAAATCCTTAGTAGGAAACATCCACCTGACCGAATTTTTGAGAGACATAAAGTATGATTCAAGGTCTTTGCAGTGATAACTTGGAAATTCTGCTATTTTACACATCTCATTATGAATAAAGCGAAAGAAAAGTATCAACCTTGCAAAATCACGCATTTTAGAAAGGAAAATACATGTGGGCGAATATCGTATATTGTATGTGTGTGGCCATTTCAAGTTTCTTCTTGAATTCTCTTTTCATATTTTCTCTACATAGAATATTATCCAAATATATGCTTCTCAGTTTCTGAACATCATTATGTTCTGACATGAAATTCTGTTACATTTCTGGGATTTCATTTGCTCATAAAAGAACCCATTTTTTTTTTCTTGGTAGTTTTGAAAGTATGAGAACTTGCTTTGTAAATTTGGTTTTGAAGATTACATGTTGAAAATTCTGTGACCTCAGACAATTTATTAGTCCCTCATTTAGCTTTCGATACGTTAATAGGATCAACTCATGGTGATAATTATGCGTATTTCTTTAGCTACAAAGCATTCCACCGATGTGGAGTGACAGCCACCCCACCTGAGGACCTGATGCCTCCAGATGCTCAAGGCCAGCCCTGCGATGATGTGAAGAGCCAGGGTGCACTCGGGGTGGACACGGGTCTGCCGGGCTCTGTCCACCTTCTCCTCCCTGTCTCCCTGTTGAGTTGCTAAGCTTTTGCCAGACAGTTGGCCACGGATTAGCGTTACCATGGTTACCTGAGAGTAGCCCCACGGGGTAGACTAAACTCTAGCACTGTGCTTGATTCCAAACTTTTTTGATTGCATAATCCTATCAGTGAAAGATTTCTGAGCACTTCTCTCTATGCATGTTTACTCTTTGCTAAAGTAGGTATACATGCTAATAATTTAAATGCGTTGTGAGACATACATGACAGAGAAATTAAATGATCATATGTGAGTGATAAAATATTTTAAGCTATTATTTTATTTACTAATTGTACAAAAATATTTTTGCTTTCAGTTCATAGAGGTTTGCATTCATGTTCTGGATGCTTAGTTGCAAAATGTCTTGTTAGTTCTAATGACTTCCTACTATCATTAACTAATATCTTCATGTGTAAGATGAGCTCAAGGTGGGGTCTCTCATTAACAATGGAGGATGGGTTAGATTTGCTTTGTTTTTGTTTATTGATTTGGCCGAACAGAGGGGGACCATGGCTGCTTTTCTTGTTGCTAGTCTGGGCATTATTAGTACCATCTTCAAGTCCCAGACTCTTTGTACAAATCTTTTCGTAAGCCGCCTGCTCATTCTGTGAGGGTAAAACTAAGCCACACCATCTGTAAGTCCACTTAGCTAGTCACAGGTAAATGTGGCCACTTGCCAGCTTGCCCTCTGCTCTGAGCATGTCTGCATCCCCAGGGGTTATGTCACTGGGGTGTGTGCCTTCCACTCGGTCGTTACTGTTTCAGCCAGGAACACAGCACATTCGAGGATAATTTAACATTGGCAGCCTGTTTTCACTGATTGCAGAGCACAATTACTACATCACAAGTCCAGGTTGAAAAACACTGACCATTTACTAGCCCCGTAACCTTGAGCAGGTCGTGTAAACTGTGAGTACTTCAGTGTCCTCATCTGTAAAATGGGTATAATAATAATATTCACCTCTTCAGGTTTATGAGGATTAAATGAGTCAAAGCATGGAAAATAATGTCTGGTGTATGGTGTGTGCTATGAAGTGCTAGCTATTATTACCATCATTATGATGATCTAATTACCAATCAATATTTCATATTAAACTTGAATCTAAATGATTGTGCCAAAATAAAACAGATTAGAATATAAGCCAAGGGTATTTAATCTAAAATGTCAGGACTTGGTTATAATTCATGTGTGTGCTTTGGGCACAAAACATCCATAGTTTCAAACTAAATACACAAATGGAAGACTTAGTGCTTCCACCCTCTCCCTCCCACTCTTCCCTTCGCCTTTACCCATGCCCCTCCAGAATCCTGCCTAATGAATGCTTCAATTCAGCACAATGAAAAAAGGTCTTCCTTGCTTGCCCATGCTAAATATTATATTCAAGATATAGTTGTATTCCTAGAGCACCTCCTTGATATCCTAACCTCTGATTTTTTTATTCTTAAAACTCAGTAACAAGATGCTCTTAAAAAAAAAAAAAGAGCTCTGTTTTTGAATAAAGTAAAAGGCAGGGTAATTTTTGATTAACAGTGCTGACAACACAAAATGCTATTCTGCCTTACCTTGCTAGTCTAACTGTGGCTTAGCGAGAGCATAGCTGTAGGTATAGTAATTAATAACACACCATCTGAAGACTTCAGACTTCTTTAGACAAGGGAGGCTGATGATTACTTTTGTGTCTATCTCCGTCTTTCTCCCTCGCTCTGTTCTTTAAAAGTTGCCTTCTGCAAATGTTCTCCAGCTGTTGAGAAATTGTTTTTCATCTGGAGCAGCAATTGTTTTTAAGAGATTGATTCAAATGCATAAGGAGTCCCAGGGACTAGTATTTGCATTTGCAACAATAATTATTAGATGCTAAAACTGTGGCTACATAAGGCAAGAATTTCTAATTATTCTTTATTATTTAGGCCCTAACTTCTCCAGCTCTCTTGCATCCGCTCAAGCTGCTAAGCACAGACCAGGAGACACAGGCGTGGTGTGTCTGGCCCAGTGGCCACTGTGCGGGTGTCCCCAGAATGCCCCTGAGTTGACCCCAAATTTGTTTTGGTTCATTCAAGATCCCAAGGACAGACACCACCTCAAAGCGCTGCTGAATGGTGACATGACCTCCGCTGTCCTTTTGCCCTTTGCAAGACATTCGGGAGAGCTGGGCTGGGGGAGGGCTGTCCTGTGCTGCTTCCCAGAATGGGCTAAGAGCAGCCACTTGGCTGAAATGGTCACAGCAGTTGTCCAGGGGGCTCAGTTTCAATGGCTGTGTCTGGTGGCCTTTCTGGTGACACCAGGGCATAGGCAAGAGGACTGTGTGAATTTCTCCAGGGCAAAACTGTCATTCAGAAGGGACAACGTTGGAATATTGGTTGTTTTAGTGATATAGTATGACCCTGGCTATTGATGAGAACTATGTAAAAATAAAATATAAATTGATATAATTTTATTATAGCTATATAAATATTCACATAAACACAAACAAAATAAATATTACATATGAACATAAAATAAACACAATTTTAAAGAGGTTATGCATCATGGGCTTTTAAAATAATAACAGCAGAGCAACATAAACAGTCTCCTCTCTTTTTTTATGTATCTTCTTTGAGATCCACCCTTTGAAGTTTCACTTGAGCAGAAGGCTGATTCGTGCATACATTCTAAAGCAAAGATTTCCTCTGAGACTTACAGGTAGAGTTGCTTGTGTTCACATGATCTGAGACAGAGGAGAAAACAAGGTCCCATCCAGTTTTATTCCACGTTGCCACACATAAACAACCCTCAGAGAGAGCAGAATCAATCATGCCAATCATGAAGACCTAAAAGCAAGTCTAGGGCAAGGTGTCCCTGGGAGACACTGACATCCGGTTCTTAAGGAAGCAGGAGAGGCGCTGCAGAGCAGAGAGCAGAGGCTGAGGGGCGCTAGTGGTCTGCACTGCTGGCCTCTGATGCTGCCCTGAGTTTGCGTTCTTATTTTTTGTTTTGTTTTGTGACGGAGTCTTGCTTTGTGGCTCAGGCTGGAGAGCAGTGGCATGATCTTGGCTCACTGCAACCTCTGCCTCCCGGGCTCAAGCAATTCTCGTGCCTCAGCCTCCCAAGTAGCTGAGATCACAGGCATGCACCACCACACCCAGCTAATTTTTGTATTTTTAGTAGAGATGGGCTTTCATCATGTTGCCCAAGCTGGTCTCCAACTCCTGACCTCAAGTTATCTGCCTACCTCAGCCTCGCAAAGTGCTGGGATTACAGGCATGAGCCACCACACCCAGCCTGAGTTTGCAGTTTGCCTTTGAATGGAAGGAGCCAGCGTCCGAGGTGGGCACTGAGTGAAGGAGAGTCCGATGAGGCCCTGAGGCTGGGAAGGCTGCGGGGAGACCAAGTCCTGGCCCCGGCCACCTCTGGTCCTCCCCAGGCTTCCTGCCTTCCCATCCTTGGTGCTCAGGAATCTGCAGGCCTGAGTGCTCTGTCCATGCTAAGATGGAAATCCTATTCAGTTGTCTGGAATTTAGTTGGGGGTCGTATTTCTTTTAAACAAGGTTGGGATGAGGGAGGCACAGGCTGTGAGGAAGGATCTAAACTCTCAATACCTGAACTCAGGGAGGTTTTGCCTTCATTCCCAGTTCACTCCAACCTCTACCTTTGGGTCTGAAGATACATTTCAGTTATCCTCTGCAAGAGCATAACATTACAGCCCAACCAACGAGTTTGCCACAGTTCATTTCCTTGCCCAGGGCATGCAGCCGTGACATGGAGGAGTAGTAACCACCAGGGGAGATGACTTAGGATGCATGTAGGGGGCTACAGTCACCTCGCCCCCCAGCACAGGCGGGGCTGCAGCTTCCTTATGTCAATAAAAATGGCACTAGGAAACGCAATACCAAAGGCCAAAATGCAAAGCATCAGGTGATTGTTAAAAGTGAACAGGGCAATGTCTACTTATATTCAACACCAAAAGCCATTTTTGCTCATGCACGACAGGATCTTTTCTTCTGTTTGTGTTCCCCTCCCAGACTCTTCCTCACTAGCACATCTCTGTCTTCCACTGTCAAGCATTTTAAAATTATTGTCAAGAAGGTTTTGTAACAGTGTAAATGTCTCTAATTGTGAACCTGTTGGAGAAAAGACAAAAAATAGTGCAAGTCAAGGGTTGCCAAATAGAAAGCAGTCTTTCCCAGATTACCTGGTTGAGTACAGCATTAATTTAGGCTCTAACCCCGAGTTTCAATCATAAGGCAAATAATTGTTACCTGGAAGACTTATTCCTAGGAAAGAAAAGGTTTCTTCTTTAATTTGGTTTAGGGTCAAATATCTCTGCTCCTCCCCTAGGAAAAGAAAAAATAAACTGATTACTATTTATACAGCAAAGTGGATATTAACAAGGGACAAAAATATTGCCTAAATAAGAGAATCAGAACTAGGTCTGATCGTTCCAGCCTACTGGGAAAATCACAATTGTTGTAGCTTCTAAAACATGTGTATATGAGAAAGGCATTGGTAGGGATTACTAGAAAGACTGCTTATGATTTTCAGAGGGCAGCTCTTAGCCAAGTAATCATTACAAAAGATTTATAATTCAGTCTTCATTTATGCAGTATCTGCCACATTGCAATTTTGCTACTGTGATTAGTCATTACAATGCCCAGC
Source organism: Homo sapiens (assembly GCF_000001405.40). Classification (NCBI taxonomy): domain Eukaryota; kingdom Metazoa; phylum Chordata; class Mammalia; order Primates; family Hominidae; genus Homo; species Homo sapiens. Next base: position 75,346,097 of record NC_000018.10, read on the forward strand.
AAAGGGGATACTGGGAAACTGAGATGGAGACGGGTCGGGAAGCTTCTTCAGAGCCATATAACAAATAACAAATAAGGACTTGATTTTCATTCCTAATCTCCCCACCTGGCCCCTAGGATGGCACCACCGGCTGGCATGTCATGGAAGCCTTGAGAAGAGGCATCTGCTTCATTCCAGCATTCAGAAATTCTCATGCAACCCAAAATATATTTTCATTTGCTTTTAAAATAAGAGAACTCTAAAAAAAAGATAAATAAAACAAAATGGTCCCAGTTCCCTTTTAAATTCCTTTGCAAGTAGGAGAGGTGCTAAGATTTTCAAACTCATTTTAACCCAATTCTGAGAAACACAAAGGAATTTTTTTTTTAACCTGAGAATTATTTAGTGGGAAATCTGTATATAATTGTTCTCATTTTTAAAAAAATATGGGGTGAAATTACGGTGAGTTTTATTTTCTCCTCTTTTGTCCTGTTTGTGTTTTTATTAATTTTTTGCAATAAACATCTATGGGTTTGTAATAAAGAAAACAAGCGTTTTTTAATCAAGCCGAAAAAGTGCTGCAGTATGTTAGATAGGATGGGTGAAAACTCAACCTGCTGCAGTGATTTCTTTTTATAGGACCTCCTATGACCCCTCATGACCCCAGCAAATGTATCTGTTGAAGAGACTCCAGGCAGGGGGCTGTAGGATCCATTTCCAGCCTTCTTGGAAGGATGAGACCCAGGCCACAAGAGCCACGTGTGCGTTGACTCATCTACGTCTGAGAGTCCCGGGACAATGCCTGGGGCTCCTCGTCTGGAAAAGGAAAGTCTTAATGGTGGGATAATGAGTCCTCTGTGCGATGCTGACCTGTCCAACTCAGAGAGGGGCTTTGGGTTCTTCACAGCAAGACAGAGATGGCCACAGAGAGGCTCAAGCTCAGGAGGGACCACTCTCAGCCATTTATAAAAATGTTTATAGAACATTTAAATATGTGCAAGATGGCTGGGCGCGGTGGCTCATGCCTGTAATCCCAGCACTTTGGGAAGCTGAGGCAGGCAGATCATTTGAGGTCGGGAGTTCGAGACCAGCCTGGCCAACATGGTGAAAACCTGTCTCCACTACGAAAAAAAAAAAAAATACAAAAAATTAGCTGGGCATGGTAGTGCACACCTGTAACCCCAGCTACTTGGGAGATTGAGGCATGAGAATCACTTGAACCCTTGAGGCGGAGGTTGCACTGAGCCTAGAATGAATCACTGCACTCCAGCCTGGACGACAGAGACAGACTCTATCTGAAAAAAAAAAAAAAATATATATATATATATATATATATATATATATACACACACACACACACACACGTACATATGTATATATATACACACACACACACATATGTACAAGAGTAGAGAGAACAGTACAGTGAATCCTAGCTACCTGCCACCCAGCTCCAGTGATGATCAGCCTCTCCCCCCCAGTCGTGGTCTGTTTGCACTGCTGTGAAGAAATCCCTGAGGCTGGGTAATTTATAAAGAAAGCAGGTTTATTTGGCTCACGATTCTGCAGCCTGTACAAGAAGCATGGCATAGCTTCCATGTCTAGTGGGACCTCAGGCTGTTTCTCCTCATGGCAGAAGGCGAAGGGGACCAGGCATCACATGGTAAAAGAAGAATGAAGAGAGGGAGGGAGGGAGGTGCCAGGCTCCTAAAATAGAGCAAGAATTTACTCATTCCCTGGAAAACAGCACTAAGCCACTCGTGAGGGACGCACCCCCGTGACCCCAACATCCCCCTTTAGGCCCCACTTCCAACGTTGAAGGTCAAAGTTCCACGAGATTTGGAGGAGACAAATGTCCAAATTATGCCACTCCCCCAAAGGGCTATTAAAAACAAGTCACAGATATTGTACTATTATATTCATAAGTATTTCAGGTGTTTTTTTAAAATCAAGGGCCTTTAAAAAAAACCCAAAACATGAGCACAATGCCAGTATCACACCTCAAGCTTAACAGTGGCTTCTTAAAATCATTGAATATCCAGCTAATATTCTCTTAGGTTGTTTTAGGTATATCTCAATTTTTTTTTTCCAAATCCAGGTCTAAACAAGGTCCGTACATTGTATTTTGTTGATACGTCTATGTCTCTTAAGGGTCCTAATCTACAGATTTACCTCCCTCTGCTTTCCTGACATTTGTATCTTGAAAAAATGAACCATTTGTCCTATAGAATTTCCCACATCCTTGACTTTGCCTGATTGCTTCTCTTGTGTTGTTTCATAAGTTCTTTTATCCCTTGTATTTTCTGTAAACTATTAGTTACGTCTAGATTACCTTCAATTATTTTTCAAGAATAATTCATAGCCCACTGATACTGGTCCAAAGAAAGTCTGGACTTGTGAAAACTCTGAAACTCTTTTAAGATGCTTCTATGCCGATTATTTCAAATAACAATACTTTCATGCATGTTGATTTGCTCCAAAAATGTGGGCATTATTCTTTCGGCGAACTAATCTTTCATCAGGCAGTAGGTTCCTTCCTGAAGATTTTTCCTGTTCTTTCTGAATGGTGTGTTAAACCCAGACAGAGTCTGATGTAGTTCTCAATAAATAAATAAAGAACTTTACGGGAGCTTCTCACAGGCACTTTTCAGAATTTCAGAGGCAGTGGCAGTTTCCTACCTAGCAGTGGGAGGGGCAAGGTATCCATTTCTTTTCTCCTTAGCAAGTAAGGAGACACTTGGTGTCCCTCCCAATGGAAGGATATAACTATTGAAACAGGCAGGGACGACTTGGACTGTGTAGACACAATTTGGGTAAAAAATTTTTTTTTTTTTTGAGACAGAGTCTCACTCTGTTGCCCAGGCTGGGGTGCAGAGGCGTGATCTTGGCTCACTGCAACCTCTGCCTCACAGATTCAAGCAATTCTCCTACCTCAGCTTCCCAAGTAGCTGGGATTACAGGTGCCCACCACCACATCCAGCTAATTGTTGTGTTTTTTGTTTTTTTTGTTTTCTTTTTTTTGTATTTTTAGTAGAGATGGGGTTTTGCCATGTTGGCTAGCCTGGTCTCGAACTCCTGACCTCAGGAGATCCACCCACCTCAGCCTCCCAAAGTGCTGGGATTGCAGGCGTGAGCCACCACGCCTTGCTGATTTGTGTAAATTTTTTCTAATGATGAGTTAGTTGACCTGTGGTTGTTACAGTGCCTTCTACACATGGCATTTCTCTTTTTACCAAAACCGTCCATTTGTTGGCTCCCAAAGGAAGGAGACAGGCAAATCTGCCCAACTGTCTCAGTCCCCCACCAACCCATACCCCTGGTTTGCCACTGGACTGACCACAGGCATGCTGATGGGATGGCATTAATGGATATGTAAACAACTGTTTGAATACAAATTTGAGGTAGGCATGCCCTAGCTACATGGCCCTCCTAGAGTTATTTGTCTCCAATCATGGACTGCCTTGGAGAAGCTCTTCTAAAGACCATAGAATGCTTAATTGCAAATAGTTTTCATCAAAATGAATTTGAGCTGTTCCTATAGGCACACTCCTGAGTTGGACCAGAGGTTGATAAGGCCCCCGACCCCAGCTCCAAATTGTTACCCTTTCTAAGCTTCTGAGAGAAGCGAAGGAGACTAGAGTATAGACTTGTTGGTACCAAGACAACAGGCAATTTGAAGTGAGGCTTTTCAGAGGAGGGGGCTCCCTGCTCCCAGGCATTGATCACACGGCGGTGCCCCCCAGCAGGAGCAGCAGCGAGCCTCCGGCGTGTTGGGCTGTGAATAGGTTGTCCTACACTGTCCCTCGATTTTATTCCCAGTTGCTTTTATGTGTCTGTGCTGACTGTCAAGGACTTGGGTGCCCCACGTCCATGTGTGGGAATCCTTCAACGAATCTTCCCTCTTACTGGGCCTGTTTTGCCTGGAAGCAGGTGGTAGAATTCAAAAGGCAAGTGTCCAGAGACTTTTTGTTGCTGTGATTAATTTCCCCGCCTCACTCGGGCTGGCAGGGCCTGCATCTTGACACAGTCGTGGCAGAGTGACCATTCGCTCACCATCCTCTGTTGATCAGATCGGTTCAGAAGTGGGGGCAGGAGATGAATATTTTCTCCTCCTGGATGCCTCTCTCTTCTGGGCTAGGATGATTCGTTTCTCCTCCACAGACAAATGCTGCCTCATTTAAAACTACTTTAATTAATCTTTTTGGAGAAGGAGGTGTTTTGAAAATGTGACAGGCACTCATGAGAGAGATAATGGATGGATGGTGGGCACGTGAGGGGCCCCAGCATGCTCCTCGTGGCGAGGTGGGGTGTGTGCTACATAATTTGGGTAGGATCAAGCCCTCCAGGACAAAAAATGAAAGAGGCATTTAATTGGAACACTTAGCAATCACAAAACCAAGACAGAGGTTAAATTGTTTTGAGCAAGAGAAATTAATACATTAAAGGTTACATTTCCAACTGTGAGGCAGTGAGCTGGGCTCTTCCGCAGTGTCAGAATTACATAAGGCAGGAGAAATGGCTCTGAAATGATTGTGGAATCATTAACAAAAGGCAAGGCAGAGTAAGACACTTCCCAGCAGGAGGGTGCGGAGAAGAATAAAGACATGGAGGGAGCTCATTAAGAATGAATTGCAGACCATAAACATTTGAAACCACTCAGTGTGGAGTTCTATCTGTTATCTAATGACTCAGAAATTATAAAACTCGCAATGACTTTCAGAAAAGGAGTTGACTTTGCAGGAGGTTGTTTGCCATTACACATGCAAAAAGGTATTTTTTTTCAGTTGGGGGAAGATTCTCTTATCTTTGTAAATCAGCACAATTTAAGCAACTTCAGCTATCCTCTGACAGATTTTTCTTCTGTATAATTACACATTGTCTCTGATTTCGTTATAAGCGTATTGAAAAGAATGCGCTGGGCGAGGGAGGGGAAGCAACGGAGGCAGGGGGAGGAGCGGGAGGAGACAGAAGTCCACACCTTGATGTCTCACTACAAATTGACTCTCCACTTTATCTTCAGAAAGATCTGGAAAGCTCCATCCAGAAAGCCTGGCCAGTAAATCCTCTAACATGGATTCATGCTTTGTTTTGATTGAGTAAGGCTCCGTTTGTGCTACTGTTAATTGCATGGTTTGATAGACGAAGAGTCAGGATAAATGAAATGAGATAATCCATCCGTGGTGTTCACTCTCCCAAACCCTTTGCACACCCTCCTCCCCAAAATAAAAAGGAACACTTGAAACTCGGATGATTTAAGACTCCAAACGCTGGCCATGTGTGAACTCTTTAATTTTCCAGAACATTCAGTGCTGTGCTTCTACATGCTCTTTATTTGTAGTTCACCCAAGTCAAAAATGGTAGAAAAACATCAAATCACATGAACAGGCATCACACCCAGGGCTCTAAAGTGCCTTTTGGGAAAATAGATGATGGTCCAGTAATGCGATATCCTTCCGGAAAGAGCAGGGTTCAGAGAAGCTGTGGGAAGCTTTGTAAGGAGCGAACAAGGCTTTCACCAGTCAGTGAGACGCCCAGCCAGCCCTAGTGCTCAGACGGGAGGCATGTGTGTGGACAGCCCTGTGATCAGCTAGCACCATTTCATCTTGTAAGGGCCCCACAAGAAAAGTAGAAGTGGACAAGGCCTGTGTGGCCCTTTCTCAATGCCTTCTGGTCTTGGTTGTTTATCTTTTAAAGTACATAGTAGGGTTAGGCCAGCTTCCTCATCTATCTGGAGCAACCAATGAAAGGGAACAGGATTAAAGTGAATAACGTGATATTTGAATAACTCATTATGTGAAGAATTCACAAGTGCACATGTTCATCACAAAAGTAGGGCTATTAGGATGGAATTAGTGCCTTTATAAGAAAAAAAGAGACCAATGATCTCTTTTTCCATCACATGAGGACACAGAGAGAAGGTGGCCATCTGCAAATGAGAAAGAGAGCCCTAACCAGCCACGGAAGCTGCTGGCACTTTGGACTTCCCAGACTCCAGAACTGTGAAAAAATCCCTATCTGTTGTTCATGCCACCCAGTCCATGGTACTTTGTAATGGAAGTCCCAGCAGATTCATATGGCCCATGAGGTAGGTGAGGGCAAGGTGGCACTCTCCAAAGCAGAGGGCACATCAGCAGTGACAAGTGACATTCAGAGTTTTGTCATTTATGTATGCTGATATGGTTTGGTTGTGTCCCCACCCAAATCTCATCTTGAATTGTAGTTCCCATAATCCCAGGTATTGCAGGAGGAACTATTACCTCTGGAGGGAGGTAATTGAATCATGAAGGTGGTTACCTCCATGCTGTTCTTGTGATAGTGAGTGAGTTCTCATGAGATCTGATGGTTTTATAAGGGGCTTTTCCACCCCTCTACTCTGCACTTCTCCTTGCTGATGCCATGTGAAGAAGAAAGTGTTTGCTTCCTCTTCCACCATGATTGTAAGTTTCCTGAGGCCTCCCCAGCCCGCCCTGCAGAACTGTGAGTCAATTAAACCTCTTTCTTTTATAAATTACCTAGTCTTGGATATTTCTTCACAGCAGCATGAGAACAAATGAATACAGTAAATTGGTACCACAGAGAGTAGGATGCTGCTGTAAAGATACCTGAAAATGTGGAAGCGACTTTGGAACTGGGTAACAGGAAGAGGTTGGAACAGTTTAGCAGGCTCAAAAGAAGACAGGAAAATGTGGGAAAGTTTGAGACTTCCTAGAGACTTGGAGGGCTCAGAAGACAGAAAGATGTGGGAAAGTTTGGAACTTCCTAGAGATTTGTTGAATGGCTTTGACCAAAGTGCTGATAGTAATATGGACAATGAAGTCCAGGCTGAGGTGGTCTCAGATGGAGATGAGGAACTTGCTGGGGACTGGAGCAAAGGTGACTCTTGTGCTTTAGCAAAGAGACTGGCAGCATTTTGCCCCTGCCCTAGAGATCTGTGGAACTTTGAACTTTAAAGAGATGATTTAGGGTATTTTGTGGAAGAAATTTCTAAGTGGGAAAGCATTCAAGAGGAAGCAAAGCATAAAAGTTTAGAAAATTTGTAGCCTAATGATGCAATAGAAAAGAAGAACCAATTTTCTGGGGAGAAATTCAAGCCTGCTGAAGAATTTGCATAAGTAAAAAGGCAGCGAAGGTTATTCGCCAAGACAATGGGGAAGATGTCTCCAGGGCATGTCAGAGACCTTTGTGGAAGCTCCTCCCATCACAGGCCCAGAGGCCTAGGAGTAAAAAATGGCTTCATGGGCTGGGCCCAGGTTTCCTGTGTTGTGTGCAGCCTAGGGACTTGGTGCCCTATGTCCTAGCCACTCCAGCCATGGCTAAAAGGGGCCAAGATACAGCTCAGGTCATGGCTTCAGAAGGTGCAAGCCCCAGGCCTTGGCAGCTTCCACATGGTGTTGAGCCTGCAGGTGTACAGAAGTTAAGAATTGAGGTTTGGGAACCTCTGCCTATATTTCAGAGAATGTAATAAAACACCTGGGTGTCCAGGCAGAAGTTTGCTGCAGAGGTGGAGCCCTCCTGGAGAACCTGTGGAAGGACAGTGTGTAAGGGAAATGTGGGGCCAGAGCCCCCACAAAGAGTCCCCGCTGGGGCACTGTCTAGTGGAGTTGTGAGAAGAGGGCCACTGTCCTCCAGACCCCAGAATCGTAGATCTGCTGACAGCTTGCATCATGCACCTGGAAAAGCCATAGAAACTCAATGCAGCCAGGTCGGGGGCTGTACCCTGCAAAGCCACAGGGTCAGAGCTGCCCAAGACCATGGGAACCCACCTCTTACATCAGCATGACCTGAATGTGAGACATGGAGTCAAAGGCAATCATTTTGGAGCTTTAAGATTTGACTGCCCCACTGGATTTTGGATCTGTATGGGGCCTGTAACCCCTTTGCTTTGACCAATTTCTTCCATTTGGAAAGGCTGTATTTACCCAATGTCTCTACCCCCATTGTACTGTTTTTGCCAATTTCTCCCATTTGGAGAGGCTGCATTTACCAAATGTCTGTACCCCCATTGTATCTAGGAAGTAACTAACTTGCTTTTGGTTTTACAGGCTCATAGGCAGAAGTGACATGCCTTGTCTCAGATGAGACTTTGGATTTGGACTTTTGGGCTAATGCTGGAATGAGCTAAGAATTTGGGGGACTGTTGGAAAAGCATGATTGTGTTTTGGAATGTGAGGACATGATATTTGGGAGGGGCCGGGGTGGAATGATATGGTTTGGCCATGTCCCCACCCAAATCTCATCTTGAATTATATTTCCCATAATCCCTACATGTCATGGGAGGGACCCGGTGGGAGGTAATTGAATCACAGGGGCAGTTACTTCCATGCTGCTCTCATGATAGTGAATGCGTTCTCATGAGATCTGATGGTTTTATAAGGGGGCTCCCCCATTTCACTCTGCACTTCTCCTTGCTGCTGCCATGTAAAGAAGGATGTGTTTGCTTCCCCTCCTGCCATGATTGTATGTTTCCTGAGGCCTACCCAGACCTGAGGAACTATGAGTCAATTAAACCTCTTTCCTTTATAAATTACCCAGTCTTGAGTATTTCTTCATAGCTGTATGAGAATGGACTAACACACACGCCCAGTTGGTGGCTTTACAAATCATATTTTCTAGTCTTAATCAAGATAATGGTCACAAAATAGACAAATGGCTTAATAAATTCTTGCAAAGAAATTGTAGATTATAGATAACACTAATAATGCAGGAATAAGCTAATCAGAAATAGTTAACTTTGAGGTTTCTACTCTTCATAGGAGTGTTTCTTCTTCCAAAACAAAAGTCTAATCTGACAAAAATGTGACCAAAAAATTAAAAATGAGCAGGGTTTGAAATATGTATTCACAACCGTTATCCTTAAGGATGAAGGCTGTTCTGTTCTAAATGTTAGTTATATATATTGTATTTCATGAGTTATCATTTTCAACAATCATGACAAATTCAACAAAATAGAGGCATAAACTGAGTTTTTAACCATTGCTTAAACTATATCATTACAGCTTAAATCAGTGGTTCTTAAACTTTTTGACCCCAGGATATCTTTATACCCTTAATATTTATTGAGAAGCTTAAAGAGCTTTAATTTTTGTGGGATATACCTATTAGTATTTACCACATTAGCAATTAAAACTGAAAACATTTGAAATATTATTTTAGGAATTCATTTAACATATTGCTGTTTAAGTTAACATAAATAACATATTTTTATGAAATAGCTATATTTTCTAAAGCAAAAGAAATATAGAGAGAAGAGTATCATTCTTTACATTTTTTGCAAATCTCCTCAATGTAAGGATTAATACCTATCTGAATTGTTGTATCTGCTTCTGCATTTAGTCTGTTGTGATATGTCGTTTTCATTGAAGTATATGAGGAAAATCTGGCTCATCCAACTACATAGTTGGAAAAGGCAGAAATATCTGAGTAGCCTTTCAGATAATTGTAGACCTTCTTCTTTGATACTACACCAAAACTTGACAAATGGTCGTTCTTACTAGTAACATGGATTCTGAACCTTTGTATCATATCAATGAACCTTCATGTCAATGAACCTTTGTACTCTCTAACATTAAAATCCACTTGTCTATCTTGCACTTTGAATAAATTTTTTATTCATGTATAATTTTGTAACATTTTGCATTGTTTCAAAAATATTTGCCCACTAAACTCTGCAGACCTTCCAAGTGTTGAAACATTTTATTATATACTATCAAAATATCACATTTGTTAGTATCACCCAATCTCATAAGAAAAGTCTTTAAGTTTTGGGAAGCTGTCAAGCTCATGGTGGTAGACAATGTTTTTCAAAATTCTAATTTTCACTCGAAAGATTGAATTTTATCCTTGGCAACAAATGCTGTCAGTTATTTTTCCCTGTAGTTACAGGCTCACTTTGTTCATTTTGAGAAAATGTGTGCCAAATACCCAAATGTGAATAACCATAGTTTTTCTGTCAGTCATTCTTTTGAGCAAAAATGGTGTTCCATGAAAAATGTGGCTGGTTCAGCTCCCAGACCCAACAGTCATGCAAATGCTTTTCCTGGAGACAACATCTTCCTTTGTTGTGAGGCAGAAGTTCCCATTTCATCACTCAGAATATTAAAAAGACATGTATTTGAAGATCAAGATTGAATAATAATTCTTACAGCTTCATCCAGGAAGTGAAATTGGCTGTTTTTTGTAATGTGGATATGACAGTGAAAAATATGACTACTAGTATGATTGTATCTAGATACCCACAGTTTTGTTCACTGTTGATTTCGCACCACCAGAGCAAGGTCCACATAGTGAAAAGAGCAAATAACAACTGGTATTAGGGAAACGATTAGGGAAATCATTTTGACCTCATGGACTGACTGAATGGGTTCTGGGGACTCTAAGTGACAAATCACACTTTGTTAAATGCTGGTTTACAGCAAGATTTTTAAAGGTAATGATGCATATTCAATCATGTTGCCTAATATCAACAAATTAATAAAAATAAATCAGTTTATTAAAAATTTGAGCCATTAGGCCAGGTGCGGTGGCTCACGCCTGTATTCCCAGCACTTTGGGAGGCTGAGGTGGGCGGATCACGAGGTCAGGAGATCAAGACCATCCTGGCTAACATGGTGAAACCCTGTCTCTACTAAAAATACAAAAAATTAGCTGGGTGTGGTGGCAGGTGCCTGTAGTCCCAGCTACTTGGAAGGCTGAGACAGGAGAGTGGTGTGAACCCGGGAGGCAGAGCTTGTAGTGAGCCGAGATTGCACCACTGCACTCCAGCCTGGGGACAGAGTGAGACTCCGTCTAAAAAAAAAAATTGAGCCATTAGTAAGTAAAATAATTTAAAAGATTATTTATTGATATTATTTTGCTCTGTCCCCACCCAAATCTCCTGCCAAATTATAATATGCAATGTTGGGGGAGGGGTCTGGGGAGGTGACTGAATCATGGGGTGGACTTCCTTCTTGCTCTTCTTATGATAGTGAGTGAGTTATTCCAAGATATGGTTGTTTGAAAGTGTGTGGCACCTCCCTCTTTGCTGTCTCTCTCTCCTGCTGCCATGTGAAGACATGCTTCCTTCCCCTTCATCCTTCTGCCACGACTGCAAGTTTCCTTTCTAACGCTGGACCTTCATTTTGCCTTTAGAAGCCTTTGGTGTTCCCGTGACCTTCAGGGAAGAATTCCAGCTCCTTAGTGGAGCACTCATTCCTGGGATCTGGCCACTGCCTCACTGGCCCCTCATGCCCCTGTGTGGAACTCTGCTTTTGCACATGCTGTTTCCTCTTTTAGGAATGCTCTGCCTCACTCTCCACCTGTCCTCTATCCTGGCCTTTTACTCCTCCAAAGCTACTCTCCAATTCCCTACCTGGGTTGACCCCAAACCTTTAAGTATCAGACCAAGTTTCTTCTACTCTTGGAAGATCTGTCTTATGTAATTTTGGGTTCAAACCTTGGTTTTGCCATTTCATATCTTCAGATCTTGGCCATATTACTTACCCTTTTGTAGTTTCAATCTCTTCACCTATGAAAGGGCCTATTTCATTGCTTATTGTGGGGATTAAGTGAGATAAACACTTGTGAAGTGCCTGATACAGCTCCTGGAAAAGACCAGGAGCTCCACTAATAATCATATCTCTCTTGTTGTCCTATCCTCTTAGTTTCTTTAATAATATGCTGCCAATGGGTGCTTACATTCCATTGTGATGATTTTCTTGACACCAGAGCCTTTCCTTTGTTTAATTCTCTAATATCTAGCATGAAAGTAGAATACTGCAAGCCCCCAATAAATGCATGTTAAATGAATAACAAAATGAAATCAGAAGTAAGGAGTGAAACACAGCCTGCACTATTCAACATGGTAGCCAATAGCCACGTGTAGTTTTTAAAATTTAAATTTAAGTACACGTAAATTAAATCAAATTAAAAAGCAGCTTCTTGGTTGCACTAGCTACATTTTAAGCCACATTGGCTTGTGGCTTCCACACTGGGCAGCACAGATGATAGAGCCTTGCCCTCGTTGCAGAAAGTGCTACTGGATGGTGCTGCGACCTTGCATTTTCTAGCTAGTGATGTTGATTTCCTATCTCTCATTCCACAGTAAAAGGCTTGCATGCAAATGCTTTTGCTATGGAAAATAATAACAACACTAATATTAATAGCACATTAAAACTTGGATAGTCAGCAAGCTGCTCCAGAACCCTGTTGGCAGAGCATGTGTAAGATACTATCATGCGTGAGGGAGGGAGGGTCTTGGGACAGCCTACTCAACACTTTTTTTCAACCCAAGCAGGATTATCCTTCTGGACAGGGTGTACGGGGGCAGGAAGAGAGCTCTGTAACTCGGAGACCATCGTGAGCTGATGAGCACTCATTAACTTGACCTGACGTGAGAATGGGAGCAATTTTCATGCCTGTTTTTCTCCGCTCCTGTGTGTAGGCCCAGCGAGAATGGGTATTCAATGGCCTTTGGGGGAGGTATTTGAGCACAGTTTGTGGTGCATGGCACCACTGATGGGTGCCTTTTCCTTAGAAGCAATACAACGTTTCTTTTTCAAGTGAGCCACCCCCATCTCCAAGGGCTGCAGCCCATCTCTACCAGCATGTCTCTGTTGTCATGATGATGCCGAGTTGAAGGACCATTCCAGGAACGCATGATTCATGACCTTCATTTGGTATTAAGCTTCTGCACATACAGTTTTCCAGAAGCGAACTGTGACATCTAGAGTTCATGAGTGGATGGTTGGTGGGAGAGCCACAGTGTCATGGGCTTTTCTCTTGGCTTTGAACTTCCTCTTATGCCTGTGCCAGACTCTGAGTCTGGCCTCATGTCCACTGGCTTTGTTTCCCATTTTCCAGCTCCTTGGATAAGAGGGCACTGTTTGACTCTGTCCTGCCAAGGTAGCAGAAGTCAGGGGCAGCTTTCAAGGTTTCAATGCCAATGAAGACTTCAGTGGCAAGGTGGCCTTCGCTGGATGTGAATCACACAGGACCCAGGCTTTTAGGATGATGAATAGCTACAGCATGGCCCTCATAGGAAATGTGACTCAGTCGCTGGCGGAATTCTTGGGCGAGGGGGAAAGGTGTCTTGGGATCAGGAGCACATTCCAATGCCGGCTCTGGCTCATAGGACGCTAGAGTGGAGAGACATTAGGGGGTATGTAGCTCAAGTGTCTGATTTTATAGATAAAGAGGAAGAGAGCTGGCGAGCTGGAGGGGCTTCCCTGAGGGCACAAAACCAGGGCTGGAACCAAATTTTTTTGACATCCTGTCCTGTGTTCTCAATATGGCATGTGGAAGCTTGCTGCTTCCTCATTAAATCAAATCCTTTGATGTTGATTGTTCTGAGGTTAAGAAGTTTTGTCTCTGCAGCTGAACTATAAGCTTTATGAGGATAGGGACTTTTTTAGTGTTCTTTAGCATCCTGAAGAAATTTACAGTACAGCTAGGGAAGAGAAAACTAACACATACAAAATCAATAAAGAATCATTGTATACTAAACCAAGTGTTGAGTAGAATGGGGATTCAGAGGAAGGAGATATTTGTACGCACTCAAATAATTGGAAAAACTTAGAATCAGATTTGTCTTAAGAAGTGGAAGGGAAGTAAGAAGATGTCCTAGTAAGGGAGTGCACCTCTGAAGGCTTGAAGACTGGGAGGGGAGTGGAAGTGAGACAACACGCTGGAAACAGAGACCTCCCCAAGGAAACTGTGGGAGACAAGGTTGGAAGGTTAGGGTGGCTCAGGCTGTTAGGTGCCATGGAAGCCAGGCTGAGGGGTCTGTGGCAACTGAGGAGCTTCTGGGAGCTTTTGAGCTGGGGAACAGCAGGTGACACGAGCTGGAGGCAGCATCTGGAGGCAGGTGGAGAGGAAGCAGAGGAGGATGTGAAGAGTGCATTGGGAGCTACACAGAGGGGATTTGTCACAGTGAGGAAGGCTGAGAGCTTGGAGGTCCTCCTTAGATAGCTCTGAGTCCAAATCCAAGCTCCACACTTGCTGGCATGACCTTGGGCGGGGAATATTTTTTCACCTGTCCTCAGTTTACTCTTCTGTAAAATGAGGACAATATAATTTACTCCCAAGGGCTACATGTAATAACATCTATGAAATGCTTAGTTTGGTTCCAAATACGTGGAAAAACACCCAGTCTATGGTGGCCGCATTAGTTTCTTGTGGCTGTTGTAACAAATGATCACAAACTTGAAGGTTGAAAACAATTGAAATGTATTCTCTCCTATTTCTAGAAGCCACTAGTCTGAACTCAGCATCAGTGAGTCGAAATCGAGGGCTGACAGGACCGGATTCCCTCTGGGTGGTCCAGGAAGGAATTCGATTCCTTTCCTTTCCAACACCAAGAGCTGCATTCCTTGTGTTCTGTGGGTCACGGTCACTGCCCCCGTTGTCCAAGCCAGCAGCACAGCCTCTCTGTGAGTCGGCTTCTCTCTGCTTCCATTGCTTGGCTCTGTCTCCTGCGGGCAAAGCCCCTTCTGCCTCCTTCTTGTGATGACACATGCAATTGCATCAGGCCCACCAGCATGGTCCAGGACCACCTCCCTGTGCTACGCTGAGTTCTACAGGTGAGGGCTCTGTTCACAAAGCGCCACACACCTGGCGTCGTAGCACAGGAATTCATTGTCTGACAGCTCTGGGGGTCAGATGTCCCAGATCATGGTGTTGGCAGGGTGGGCTCCTTCTGGAGGATTGGAGGGAGAAGCTGCTCAGACCTTTCTGCTGGCTTCAGGCGGTGGCTGGGGTGGAGGAGGTGAGCAGGTGGAGGAGCTGAGAGGTGGGAGAGGTGGGGGACAGAGAGGGAGTCTAGCAGCACCAGCCCAGAACTTGGGTGATGAGGACAATTAGTCTACATTGGAGGGCCCCATCTCCCGGCAGGACTCCTTCTGTTCTCCAAGGTGGGGGTAGCATTAGCTGAGTGATTTCTTGCGTTTGTCTGAGACTAGAGGGTGTCCTGGCCAGGTTCTCGGGTGTCTGGAATGCTGTCTTCCAGGAGATACTGGGCATGGAGACAAACACGTGTCCATGGCCGCAGGACCAGCTGGCCGTGAGGGGACTGCCTGTGTGGTCTTGCCGCAGTGGGTCCCCGTCCAGGTGGTGCAGAGGGAACGTGGGGCTGAGGTGTCTTCATGGGAGGCCATGTCGGGGGGGCATTCCACGGCCACGCTCTGTCTTCATGTCCTCCAGGCATAAGCAGAATAAACAGATGAACACAGAGAGACTGGGACCAAAGCACTGGTGACAACCCTCTTCCTGATGGTGTCCTGAGTGTGGGAGAGCAGTGACCACCAGTAAGCGTGGGTGTGCGTGCACGTGAGTCACTCACTCATAAGGGACTCTCCGAGTGAGTGTGAGGGTGCGTGAGTGGTTGTGTGTGAGGTGATGAGTGTGTGTGAGTGGTTAAGTGTGTGTGAGTTTGTATGATTTTGTGTGTGTGTGAGGACGTGTGTGTTTGTGTGTGTGGTGATGTGTGTGTGTCTATGTCTGCATGAGTGTGTGTGCATATGTGTGAGTGTGTGTGAGAGAGTCACTCAGACTCTCACGAGCGAGTGTGAGGGTTCATGAGTGGCTGAGTGTGAGTGTGTGAATGGCTGAGTGTGAGGGAGTGTGAGTGTGTGTGAATGGCTGAGTGTGGGTGAGTGTGGCTTGAGTGTGAATGTGAGTGTGTGAATTTGCATATGTGAAGTAATGAGTGCGTGTGAGTGGCTGTGTTTGCATGAGTGTGAGTGTATGGTTATATGTGTTTGTGTATGGGCAAGGTGGTGTGTGTATGAGTGGCTAAGTGTGTCTGGTAAGTGAGTGTGAGTGTGCATGTATGTGAGGGTGTGTGTGAGGTGATGAGTGTCTGAGTGTGTCTGGTAAGTGAGTGTGAGTGTGCATGTATGTAAAGGTGTGTGTGTGAGGTGATGAGTGTCTGAGTGTGTCTGCATGTGAGTGTGTGTGTGTGTTGCAGGGAAGTGGGGGGTCAGAAAGCCTCACTCAGGTAGTGACCCCTCCACGAAGTCAGCAAACGCTCACTTCCCCTGCACCCTGCACACGGGTTGGTGGAACCCATGAATACAGAGGAAATGCACACTTGCACCAAAGAGGAAACCGCCCAAGCCCTCCCTCTGCTCTGTGTGTCTGCGTGTGCAGCTCCCATCCCAGAAAACAGAATCCATCAGCCAGGATGAAGTAAGTTCCAGCCACCAGGAACTCTATAGAGTGGTTCAAAATGGGTAAAACAAGAATATCTCGGAATCACAGAACACCAGCTCCTGTAAGGAGCCACACATTCCTAGAAAGGAGAAAAAACAGTCCTTCTGAAAAAACCCACTTCCAACACCCACATCCCACAGACACAACAAAATAGGAACAGGGGAAAATTCAAGATGGGGGAAAGCCCGGAAAAGCAACACCAGAGAGGGAAGACAAAGAGCAGCGTGACAGTCCACTTGCTGCTGCTCCGGAGTGAACCGTGAGGAATAGTCCTGGGAATTCACGAGCCGCTTTGCCACCTGTGAGAACACCGTGGCTTGGGCTGCTGGAGGAGCTGCTGGGTGCCGAGCAGCACGGCAGCTGGGAGCCTCCATGACCGATGCACCACGGGCCACGTGAGGCCCTGCAAACCCCAGCATGTAAATATACCCAGGTTTATTTACAGCCGTAAGTGCTCAGTATGACTGTCCACATAGAAACATATGCTATAAACACAATACCCAAGAGAGGTAGAATGCTTGGGGAAAAAGGAGAGAAGAAATTCCAACAGCTGGACCCCAGGTAACAAAAGTAAGGGATGGTTTACCCTCTATTTAAAAACCAATGGCATCTTTTTACTAAGAACTCTTTAAAAGAAAAGAAAAGCAAAGGAAAGAAATGCTTTGGGGTTTTGAAGTAAAAATTCATGACCAGGATGCCTTTACTTCCTGTCCCTTCAACCAAGACATCCTTTGCCGGAGTCCTTTATCTGGTGCTTTGTATACATATATTTAATCCTATACAAAAGTGATAGGATGTCAAGAAAGATCTATAATAACACCATTTTTTAATTTCACTTCAAAGACTTGGCAATTTCTGATCCATGTGACATTCACACTCCTTCAGGGTCAAACAACATCTTGCAGCCTTCATAAAATGATTAAATATTTTAAACAGCTCCTGCTTATACCTCCATCGCCCCTCGAGACTGATACTGTTATCGTTTTTGTCAAAGCCAGTTTCCATCCGCATTTGTCATTCCTGCTTGCATTTATGAGTTATCAATCGCCACGTCAAAATGCAAAATAACTGATGTTCTTTGGGCGGTATTGGATGGTCTATCTGGGGCTTTTAATCAATGCTGATTTCTATTTTCCATACCCATACATAAATCTTTACCATTCTGGGCCACATATAATGCGTTTGTACAAAACGCAGTGACAGAAGCAGTGGTTATATTATCAAACATTATACCTCGGGGCTAACTGAGTACCAAGGGCTTTCAAAAGGAACGCTGGGAATTACCGTGCGGGAGACATGACCGCAGTGGAGAATATAAGGAATTGGTTGTTGCCGTTTATAAATCAACATCCTGCTAGCTAATCCCTCTCACTTAAATACAGTCCAGATTCTTTCCCTGATCCTCTGTAACTTAGTCATTTTTTTTCTAAAAGGTAAAGTTTGCATAATCTACACAAATAATAATGAGCTGTGTGTTCTGATTTCTTCGACTTTTCCCCAGGGGCATAAATTCAAACGGCAGCATGGAACTTATTCAGGAATAGCTTTTTTTTTTTTTTTATTACCTATACTGGAATTTTCCATGTTATGTCTCACCCCCAGTTGATCTAAGAGAGAATTGGTTTTGCCCTTTCAAAGGGCATTTGCCTAGTTGAACAGCAGTCATTGCAGAAATCATTCAAACAAGACATTAGTGCCCAGCAGATTTCAGTACATGCGGGTGCCCAAGGCTGTGGGAACTCACACAGTACCTTTAAAATGAAGCAAGGGAGTATACGCAAGCTCAGAGTGGAACGCAGCACAGGTGTGGAACTGGCAGAGTCCAGAAATACACAGGTAATTCACCAGCTTCCTCAAAAGATTAAAACACGTGAGGAGCAGCCTCCAAAGTTTTTCCATTATGATTAGCTTGCTTCTTCATGGACCTTGCTGTAAACTAATTGGCCTCCTGCCCCTGCCCCCCTACCCCATTCCAGGCAGTGTAATGGCTGCCAGTTAGCTCCCCTGGCAGCAGACAGTGACAGGGCAAGGTTTTCAGTGGAAAGGGCTCTGGCTTAATTAGTTCTCTGGGATTCGCAGCAGAAATCAAGAACCCAGAAGACTGCTGCTATAACAAACTTGTATGTTCAGGAAACGTTGCAATTGTAAAGATGTCTCCCAGCATTTGAAATAGGAAGTCGAATACCAAAGTAAACAACAGTGTTGTTGAGGGATTAACAACGGTCAAACATGAGGATGAGAAAACTCACGTGGGCTCATACATCAGGGTGTCCTCTGAAAGGCAGTTTCAAAAGGCAACTTTGAGTAGCTGATTCAGAATAGTACCAGTATGATGAAAATGGCTTTCTGTACTGTGTTTCAAGAGGCAATATGTTCTGTATTGAATTCAAGTACTCACAGCTTAACAAAATCAGTGAGTAGCCAGCCTCATTTGGCAACTCGTGTGTTCAGTAAGCAGCATGTGATAACTTCAACATTTATTTATCTGAACACGGGGAGGCTCGCTGAGTGAACGGGAAGTCCCTGCCATCTCTGCAGTTTCAAAGGAGACTGATGTCATACGTCTTTGGAAAGGTCGTGTGACGTAATTAAGCAAGGCTGGGCTGCTGATGCCTGAGAGTGGCCTTGCAGGTGTGGCATTTGTCCTCCTTCTGTCCCTTGGGACCATCTGGACTGAGCCTACCCCCCCGGCATTTGGTAGGTCTTGGAATATTTGAAAATGACGGTCTAGCCCCCCTGAGTCCTCTCCTCTACATATCTCTCAGGTGTTGCTCAATCATTTTGGTCTTGCTTCTTCTCATCATTGTTTTTCCTTCTCTCTCCTCGGTACACTGTCGGCATTGTCCTCACC
This sequence comes from Homo sapiens, assembly GCF_000001405.40. Lineage (NCBI taxonomy): Eukaryota > Metazoa > Chordata > Mammalia > Primates > Hominidae > Homo > Homo sapiens. Next base: position 75,365,112 of record NC_000018.10, read on the forward strand.
CTGGGAGCCACCAGCACTGACCACAGCCACCATGTGCAGTTGGATCAGGTCACAACAGCACGGCATTTTCACACTGACATTCTAAATGCTGCTTTTATTTTCGCATTGCAAGATTAAGTTATCATTTACTCCACAAGTACAGAGAGAGCGCCTACTGTGTGTTAGGTGCAGTGTGCAGTCTGGAGGCCACAGTCGTCTTGGCTGTCACCGTACCCCTAATAGCTGCACCTCTGTTCCATGCATTGTGGTATTTTTCATGTGGTCAGTACTTCTCAGTGGGAGGGCCCGTTTGCCCATTCTTCTTGGAAAACACAGCCAGCACAGAGTCAGGCCCAGGGAAAGTTCTTAACAAAGACTTCTGTGGGGACCTCATCGGGTTGTTTTAGGACTGCAATTGTTTTGCCACCATAGGTTTGGTTATTTTGGAGGTCTCAAGAGCAGTTCAGACAAGACACGATTCCTCAGTCATTCCCCGCAGGTTAGCCTGGGGCCATGGCCTTTGAGGGAGTGGAGGGAAGAGAAGGCCTAACATGGGTTCTGGGGCTGCCTCCTGGGCTTAGAAGCTGGGGGATTTGAAGCCCCCACCTCCGGGGGAGGGCCCCACTCCCTAGAAAAAGGCCCTGAGATGGCTGAATCCTGGGGGGAGAAATGTTGAATTTGCTTGAAAATTTACTACTTGTTTACTCTTTTAATTTCTTTACCAAGTTATTATTTATTTGAATATGGCTTCATTCCAAGCTCAATATTCAGTCTTCCAACTTAACACCAGAAAGAATTTGGAAACATACCTATTTCCACTATAGTAAATGTGCCTATTTCCCAGCCAGGGGCACTTTTGTCCCTTCCTCCCAAAGAGTCCTTGGCAATGTCTGGAGATGTTTTTTGGGGGGCAGGCTGGGGTGGGGCTCACCACTGACATCTGGTGGGTAGAGGGGACTCTGTTAAACATGCTACAATGCACAGGACAGTACTCCACAATACAGAATGATCTGGCCCCAAACGTCAACAGTGCTAAGTCAAGAAACTCTGATTAATACAGCAAATCCCCCCAAAGTGCATATTTGCATGGAAGAAAAGGAAGAAGGAAGCAAGAAAAATGAAGCTGTTGGTAATATGAATTTATATATTCTAGCCAGTGTAAGATAAGAGGAGACAATATGTTTTCCTTTTCTGCTGGATAAGAATTGATAAATGTTTATTAAAATGATATTTTTAAACCTGATTTTTTTATACTGAAGTACATACACTAGAAACACGGTTTCTATAAAGGCTCAAGGTATGAGTATAGATATAGTATGATATATTTAAATATCTAAATTGCATTTATATTGAGATGAATAGCTTCAGAAAAAAGCAATGCTTTTCATATTTATTTTAAATTTTGGATGAATTACAGCAAATGCAGTTAATGTAATTTCTGGATTCATGGAGAACGAAGCATGAGGACTGTTTTGCCTTGCCATAACAGCATGTGTGTCAATATTTCTGGGTGAAATCAAAGACAAATTCCAAATCATAATTTTGCAAATCATTCCAAAATGGGGAGCACTATGAATTTTGGCAAAGAGTCTATGCTATCTCTGTCTATAAATTTGGTATAAATCTTTGTTATTTGCAAAATATATGCATATCTTGTGCTGAGGTAAATGCTCTGGAACACAGCCTGGGCTTTTGGATCCAAAAGGCCTTTAATTGATTCACCGTTCTCTCCCTGTCTACTGGTATGAACTTCACCAAGTCATTTTAACCTGCCTGTCGCTTTGTTTTCCGGTATGTAAAATGGGGTTAATAACGGAGGTACTTCCTTTATGGGGCTGTTCTAAGGGTTGGTGGAAATGCGGGACACAGAGGAAGCCTTACATTGCCATTTTCTCATTATTAATAGTATAACTATTCTTTTTTTTTTTTTTTTTTTTTTTTTAGACAGAGTCTAGCTCTGTCACCTAGGCTGGAGTGCAGTGGCATGCAAGCAATTCTCCTGTCTCAGACTCCCAAGTATCTGGGGTTACAGGTGCCTGCCACCACACCCAGCTAATTCTTTATATTTTTGGTAGAGACAGGGTTTCACTACATTGGCCAGGCTGGTCTTGAACTCCTGACCTCAAGTGATCTACCTGCCTTGGCTTCCCAAAGTGCTGGGATGACAGGCATGAACCACCGTGTCCGGCCTCAACTATTCTTATTATAATAACATCTTGCTATATCCTCATCCTAAATATGTTAGTTTCCCAGGGCTGCTATAACAAAATCCTTCACACTAGATGGCTTAAAACAACAGAAGTCCATTCTCTTACGGTCTGGAGTCTAGAAGTCCAAATGCTAGGTGTCGACAGGGCCCTCCTCTCTCTGAAGGTTCTAGGGAAGCCATCCCAGGCCTCCCTCCCAGCTCTGGGGCTGCTGGCCATCCTTGGTGTTCCTTGGCCTGTGGACGCATCGTTCCAGTCTTTGCCTCTGTCGTCACGTGGCCTTCTCCTGTGTGTTTCTGTGTCTCTCCTCTTCTTAGAAGGACACAAAGTCTTATTGCAATAGGGCCCACCTCAGTCCAGTATGGCCTCATCTAAATTTGATTGCAAAGGCCCCATTTCCAGGTAAGGTCCCATTTTCAGGTATCGGTGCTTATGACGTGGACATATCTTTTCTTTTTGGATCCAGTATGACCCACACCACCAAGTGTCAAAACAAGACCCCGGATAAGCTGGCCTTGTTTAACTTAAATGGAAACTTGCAGAAACGCCTCACTATGTCAAGGAGTCGTCTCATGGTGGCTGTCACATGAAGCATGAAGGAGTGTGATGGAGGACCCAGCGTGGGAGGACAGACAGTGAAGCCGTCATGGGAATGCAGGGTGTGGCTCTGTGGACCACGCACATGGGCAGTGAGCTGCACAGGGAGGTTCTCTGGGGATGGAGGGGAACGTTACCTCCCAGGGGCTCCTGGGGAGTTCGGGAAGCGCTGACAGTGACTGCGTATTTCTCAGCTGCCACACGTGTCATATGCAGTGAGCTGCAGGGGAATCTTTAATTCTTGGAACTCGGATGAGGTGCTTAGAAACGAAGGCCTTTCTCATTTCATGGGTGGCAGCAGTCCTGTGAAAAAGTTTACCTCGTGTTGCTGCCGCCTCAGGTTTTAACAGTTTTGTCTTCCTGGGTTGTTGAAACAGCCACACACCTCAGGTCAACAATATGCGGTGACTTAGCCCTGATCAGAAAGGTTTCTGTCATGAGTTGAATTGCGTCTCCCCCAAGTTTATATATGTTGATGTCCTAACCCCCACTACCTCAGAATGTGCCTTTATTTGGAGACATGATCTTTGTAGAGGTAATCAAGTTAAAATGAGGTCATCAGGGTGGGCCCTAATTTAATGTGACTGGTGTCCTTATAAAAAGGGGAAATTTGCAGACAGACAGAGACAGAGAGAATGCCAGGGGAAAATGAAGGCAGAGATCTGAGTGATGCTTGTATGAGCCAAGGAGTGCCAGCGACTACCAGCAATCACCAGCACCACTGCAGCCACCTTGATCTTAGACTTAGCCCCGTCTCCAGGACTGCGAACCAATCCATTTCTGCTGCTGAAGCCACCCAGTTGGTGGAACACTGTTATGGCAGTTCCAGGAGACTCACAACAGTTCTGTGGGGGCTTCAAAGAGGACATGCCAATGCCCTGTGTGGGAGGGGCTCCAACATCAGCTCAAGCCTGTGTGCCTGAGGCAGATCTTCTGTACAGACGATTCACTGAACCTTTGCTTAAATACCTCTTACAACAGGGAACGCTGCCTCACAAGTCAGCCCATTCCTTTCTCAGGCAGTCTAATGATTGGGAAGTTCTTTCTTCCTTTACCAAAATCTGCTTCCTGATGTCACGGTCCTGTCCCCGAAAAGCCCAGTAGGATCACTTCCTCTTCCCCTTGGCCACCCTTCGGACCTGGGAAATAGCAATCAGTCCCCTCCCATCTTCATCTGACCAAGCACCCAGAGTTCCAGAAATCAATACCATGCAGGGAAATCCACCGAACACTGGTTGTTGGCCATGTGGTGCCGTGCAGGCACCTCCACCGCCCTGCGTTCCCATCGCTGTTGTTGAGACCCGCGGTCATGACATCCAAGGGCGGCTCCCAGAGCCCAGGCACTGGCTGCTCTTCTGAGGCTTGTCAGGCGGGTGGTGCTAGCCTTGGTTGGTGGATCTACAGTGCACACCACGGCCTTGGTCTTCACCGAGGCAGATCTGGAAGAGGTCTTAGAGAGATGTTGGAGTCCCGGAAGGAAGCTTCCTCTCAGATAACAGACTTTCCCTGTGGGGAGCGTGGTTTTAGCTTCACTGGGCTAAACACTGGGAGTGGTAGAGAGCTGTCCTCTCCTGTTCCTAGGGGAACCTGCTTACACAGAGATGGCCATGAGCACTGTTTGTCCTGGACACCTTCAGACCAAAAAGCTGATGCAATGCTGCTCTTCATTCAAGCGTGTAAATACAGTTAGTTGCCACTCAGGATCAGAGCATCTTTCTCTTGCTATTTGCCGATATTGCTAAGGCTTTGTCCCCGTGCTGAATCACACTGAAGGTTAATTTGGCTTCATAGAAAATAAACTACATGGCCTGAGAAGGATTTATTGAGTGTCTGCAGCTGGGGAGCTGTTCTGGAAACTCACATGTCCTGAAAAGCGGGGCATTTGGTCTTGTCACTCCCTTCTCTCCCCCTGCTCTCTGTCCCTATCCCCCTCAAACTTCTCCAGACCCCAATCCTTTGATAGAAAGGTCTTGTTGAAAGACTCAGACAGAACCAGCCCACTTCCATGGGGACCAGCATCTCCGAGTCCCTGCCAATAAGCTAGTGGCACCTAGTTTCACTGAAGTTGTGGATGAGACTGTTTTGTGATGCTTTGCCCTGCGTGTGTGTGGCTGTCTTTCATGAAGTCCTGGTACGTTTTTTGTCCACTCTTGGCTATGGGTTCCAGACATCAGTTTTGTAGATAAGAATTTCTCTGGACAGCCAGTGACATCACATGTCCTGTCTTCCGACCACTCATGAAACAGGACTCTCATTCCTTATGGTCCATCCCATGAGAAGCTCAGACACACACACACCACTGGGGGAAATATCACTGGGAATGGTGCTTGTAGCCATAGGCGAAATAATTGGTAGAATTAGAACTACTACACATTTACAACTGCAAATGTCTGTCTGGGCAGACATAGCCAAAAGCAGTGCTCCCGACCAAACTTTTGTATGACGAAAACAATTCTCCTATATGAGGTCATGGATAGTCTTTTTTTTTTTTTTTTTTTTTTTTTTGAGACAGGGTCTGGCTCTGTTGCTCAGGCTGGAGTGCAGTGGCAAGGTCATGGCTCACTGTAGCCTCGACCTCCCAGGCTCAAGCAATCCTCCCACCTCAGCCTGCTGATAGCTGGGAGCACGGATGCACACCACCACGCCTGGTGACTTTTTGCATTTTTTTTTGTAGAGAGCGATCCACCCACCTGGGCCTCCCAAAGTGCTGGGATTATAGGCGCGAGCCATGGCACCTGGCCATGGGTAGTCTTAAAATTGATAAAATGATGTCTTCGATCAATGTCTTCTTGTGGCATCAGTGGCTTAACTCCTGTGGAGGCCCTGGAACGCGGCATCTGTAAGCCGCAGGGAGCTGGCAGCCGTCCTGAGTGCTCTTCCCGGTTGCCTCCATGGTGCATTTTCTCCTCTGGGCCCCTGCCCCTGCGAGTCTCACTCCCACTCACTGCACCATGCCTGGAGAGCCTCAGCAGCCATCAGGCGAGGCTCTCTGCTGTCCCCACTTCCTGCTCCAGTTCGTCCTATACATAGCTGGCAGGATAATCTTCCAAGAATGCTATTTTCATCAAGCTACTCCCCTGCGTGGAGCCCACAATAGCTCTGCATCATCCTTCTTCAGCCCACTTCCATTCTTCTTTGACCTTGCTTCCCCGACCCAGAAGCCCCCTCCTCTCTGACCTCCTGCAACCCTCTCCTGCCTCCTGCTGGGTCTTACCGGCTCCTGCCATTGCACCTCTGTGGAGGGAATGACCTCAACCCCAATTTTCCATTTGCCTTCTCTTCCTAGTTTGCAGTCTCGCCTCTAGCTAAGATTTCTAATTTCCAACAAGCCCAGCGGAGCCAATCCCATGACACACTGAGCTCCCTTTGACTCTGCGATCTGTGTTGTGATGCAGATGTGGTTTGCTTCCCAAATTCCAACATGAAAAACTCCATACTTTTCCTTTTTTTATTTGACAGAACGGCTGTGATGGGTACTTCAGCATAATGCTTGGGAATCTAGGCTGGAGTCTGACAGACCTGAGTTCAATATTGATTCTGCTATGTACTGCCTATGTGACCTTGAGCAGGTCACCTCATCTGTCTGAGCTTCGGTTTCCTCATCTGTGGGATGGGAATGGTAATAGTAATGAAGCCTGCTTCTTAGGTTGTTCCTGCAAGGGTCAAATGATATGATAGACATACAGCACCCAACAAGTGCTCAATAAAATGAGCTTTTCTGTTCTTGCAGTGTGTGCTCCAGGCACTCAATACATGCTCATTAGAACCTGGCACCTTCACGCATGCACTAGGAGACAGCAGGAAGGATGCCAGCATTTAATTCTCCATAATACTTCAAGTATTGCTTTCTTTAAGCTGGGCTCCCACGTGATGCCTTAGAAACTTCTTGTATATCCTGGTCTCTTGCTAAGGACATTTCCCCCACCTGGGCTCTGCCTCCATACTACTTTTTCCATGTTGAGTGTGGGCTTCCCACCTTGTCCAGGTTCCTCTATATTAAGACTGAGTGTTACAGCAGCTGCACTTTTTAAGGATGGAGAGTGTCTCACTCCTCTTCACAACTTCAGCACGAGCCACAGTGTCTGGTGTGCAATCCATGTTGATGGATAAATTTTGGATAAATTAGCATCACCCATAAATGAACACTGGAGTTGGTGACCTCATAGGTCACTGAGCTCCCGTCCTGGGAAGACTTAAGTAGAAGCTGTGTATCCAATGGCCACCTCTCAGGGAGGTTGTGAGACAGGCTTCCTGCAGAAGTGAGGTCATGGGTACCCATGGGGGAGGCCGCCACGTGTCTCCTGACGGCTGCTTTAAGGTGGGATGACTCTAAGATCCCACGAATAAAGCAGTCCATGTGACATGACTGTGGGGCGTCAGTTGCCTCAGTTTTCTCATTTTGAAAAATGAGGTATTTCCTTGTGGAGCTGCTTTGAGGGTAAATGGAAATGATACAAGTGAAGCAGCAAGCAAGTGTCTGGCAAGTAGAAATGCAAAGAAGGTTCACTGCACAAGAGCATGAATGTATCCCACCAGCTCTCCACTACATCATTTGACTTATGTATCTCATGGGTGCCCACACTCAACAACTTCACCAGGGGTTTATCACTCCCAAGCTCCGTTCTCCTCCCAATTTATTTATTGCAACCATCCCCACTTCATCTCCTTTGCTGTGCATGGGCCTAGATAAGGTCCCTTCTATTTCAATAAATTATTAAGGCTTCCCCACTTCCTATTGCTCCCTCTCACCCAAGTTCTGCCAGAGAGACCCTTCTAAAATGTGGTTAGATCACAAGATCAGTAGACATCCCTATTTTTATTCTGAAGTGGACAACTGCTACCACTTACTAGGGCTTGTTTTAGTTTATTTTTGATTTTTGATGGGTGATTTACATGCGTGCTCATTGGATTTAAAACAGCTCACTTCCCTTATTTTCTCCATAAGGAATATTCTGAACTGAGGGGTTCCATGATTCCATCTCACCAGTGGGCTATATCTATTGGAAATCTGCCTGCTGAAGAGGGTAACTTGGCGGTGTTGCCTGTGTATCAGTTAGCTGTGCTGCATAACAAACTATCCCTAAACTAGTGACTTTAAACAACAATATGTTGTTTAGCTCACGATTCTATGGGTCAGCAATGTGGGCTGTACTCAAGTGGGCAGATCCCCTGGTCTCAACTGTGCTCACTCAGGCATCTCCAGCAGGTGAGCCCAGGCCTGCTCAGGTGGTGGCTAGGCCACAGGTTCCAGAAGCGTGACGGCATTCCAGGCCTCAGGAGCTTGGGCCTTGAGCTGGCCTGCTGCCACCTCTGCTACATTCTATGGGTCAATCCAAGTCACTGGCCAGCCCAGATTCAAGGGGTGGGGAAAGACTTCACCTCATGATATGAAGAGCTTCAAAGTCACACTGCAAAGGAACATAGGAAATGGAAGGAAGACAATTTGCAAAGAATTTCCCATACCCTGATCCACTGCACACTCCCGCCCCCTCACGAGTGAGAAGCTCTTGTGGGAGATGAACGGGGAGGAGAAGACAACTTCTGCCCTTGAAGAAATGACAAACCACAGTTTCCAGCATGAGAAGGGCTATCAGTCTGGTGTGGAAGAGACCACCCTCTCATTGTGAGCTATCAGGGGTACGATTTGTTACCTACATATGTGTTTATCCATGTTCTTCTGTGTTAGGGCTTTTCTAACTTTTTTCAAAGGGTGGCATAGTAAATATTTCAGAGTCTTTGCTGCCTACCCACCTCCAGCATTGTGGCATGAAATGTGTCACCAAATGGACGTGTTCCAATAACACATTTTGCAAAAACAGCCGGTGGGCTGCACTGGCTCTCAGGTCATAGTTTTCTGACTCCCTGATCAATTTCAAATCTATGTCTATCTTTTAGTTTTCTTTCTAGAGGGGCTGTATGCTAGGGCTCTTATGGCAAAAAACTAGGTGTCAGTTGTTATTTTTCTTGTTGTTGAAGAGCCTCTTTCCTGGTGTTTCCAGACTCTGCAGTGATGAGGGAGCCACAGATCCACCTCTCTGAGCTCATGTGCATTTCAAGGCCTGCTTCCATGTCGTGAATGTGCATGACTCTTGAGGCCAACACTGCTGTCTGTCTCCTAAACACTGATGTGGCATCTCCTGAAAATGAGCTTTGGGCCACACTCGATTTCCTGAAATATCATCACAAAGATTATTACAAATAAAATAATTTGGGAGCATCATTATATTATATCATATTCTTGCTAAAATGTGAGATCGCCTTCCTGGGCTCCAGGCTGGAAGGAACAGTAGAGTATTATTAAAGAGTTAGCTATGACAAGTGGATAAAAAGCAAAACCGAATGCAGAAGTCTGCTATTTAATGTAGTGCGCGCCGGCGTTTACCCAGCTCTGTGTCTGTCATGCACGGCTCTTTTCTGAGAATGGCACAGACTGTTCTGCATTTGGTTTCTAGAATCAGCAAATTACATTGGCAGAACAAAGCTGTCATATTTGGTGGTATTTTGTTACATCCATTATTTCACTTAAGTTTAAACATCTCTTTGCAAAATCAGATCCTACTTTAAAAAATTGCCGTGTTTTGCAACATTAAACAAAATGACAAGCTAGAAAAAAAGTTGATTAGTAAGCAATGCATTGAGGAAAACTCTCCTTTAGGTTCAGAAATGCAGACTTAAGTCAACAAATGCAGTCACCTTTCTTATAAACAAGAATGTGGTTTGGAACTTGCAAAAATTTCCAATTAAGTTACGCTCAGTGAAACCACAGAGTCTGGACCACTGGCCCTTGGTAGCTGGGCAGAGGCTAAGTGGGGCTTGTTGCTACTGACACAAAGAAGCCTTGGCTCAGCCAGCACACTTAGCACCTTGTCAGCCCCGTCACCAGCACATGCCGATTGGTCTCGCCCATGGAGACCAAACCACCTGCCAATGGACTGAGTGCTCTCCTGTACCGTCCTCTTGTTTGGCTTCATGTAGACACAACTTATGTCTAAAGCCACCTTCTGATAAAGGAAAGATAATGCAGATATAGTCTATGTCTTAATCAGGGTTCTCCAGAGAAATAGAACCAATAGGATGAGATACACAGATAATGGGAATTTGCTCCAGTTGTTATGGAAGCTGAGAAGTCCCATAACCTGCCATCTGCAAGCTAGAGACCCAGAAAGCCTGGTGGTGTAATTCAGTTCAAGTATGAAGGCCTGAGAACCAGGAGTGCCGATGTCCGAGGGCAGGAAAAGAGGGAGGTCCCAGCTCAAGCAGAGAGAACACATTTTCTCTCCTTCCACCTCTTTGTTCTAAACAGACCCTCAATGCCCACCCACACTGGGGAGAGTGATCTCCACTCAGTCCACTGACACAAATGCCAATTTCTTCCCAAAACACCCTCACAGACACACCCAGAAATCATGTTTTACCAGTTATCTGGGCATATCTTAGCCCAGTCAAGTTGAAACTTAAAATTAACCATCACAGTCCAAATCTTTCTTTTCCCTATTTTTATAAACAAAGCATAGAGAGCAGAAGCACACTTTACAAATACATGTGCGACTGCCATGAAATTGCACAAATAGTCACAGCTCGTGGTTGCACCTGTCTGCATCTTGGGTGTCCTCTGGCTGCGGGGGAGAAAGTTTGTTTCCCACAAATGTCTGCGGTCCAGATCCTGCCTGTGCCATCCTCCAAGTATTCAGTGCTCTATTCTTGGATTCTACTTCTCCCTACATTCCTCCATGGTTCCCAGTCTTGGAGCCTGCTAATGGGGTCTGGCAAGTGTCTGCACACTTCACCTCACCGAGGCACCTGCATCTTCCGTCTCTCTTTACCAAGCCAGATGTCAGGTTGGGTGGATTTCTTTCCCACTTACCTTCTGACCTCTTCCTAAATAAGCACTTCCTGCTAGGCCTCATGCAGCCAGTTGGTACGGTGCTGAGCAAGACCCCAAGGCCCTGGAATGTGAAGCCCCTGTACCAGGGGAAACTCTCCTTTAGGTTCAGAAATAAAGACTTAAGTCCACACCTGGCACAGGCAGGTGTGGAGAAGGCACTGGCTTTACCTGGATGAGCCTGGGAAATCATGGTGGTGATGGAATTTCAAATGTGTTTAAAGAAGGGCAGAGACTGATGAATAATGTTTATTCATTCTCAAGGGAGCAGATGCATTTAGAGCCATCATTTAAAACAGGGATCATCGAGCTTATTCTATAAAGAGGCAGACAGTACATGTTTTAGGATTTTTGGACCACACAGTCTCTGTCACAATGACTCAGCTTTGCCATTGTAGCGTGCAAACAGCCACAAACCATATGCAAACAAAGAGGGTGTGGTTGTATGCCAATAAAACTTTATTTACAAAAGCAGGAGGACAGTGGAGTTGGCTTGCAGACAGTCATTTGCAGAGCCCTGATTTAAAGAGTAAAATGTCAGAAAGAAGGGATCTTTAAGGGATCTTTAAGTTGATGTGTTTGTGATTGGAGCAGAGTAGGCTTGTTGCGGGGGTAGGTGACAGGTAAGAGGCAAATGTGAATGTGAGATTTATGGACTTAATTATATAGAGATGGCAAGGCACTTGGAGTTCCTTGGAGGGGTTGGGATGGACAAATCACAGGCAGAGAAAACAATGTGTTACATTTTCTACTTTTAGGACATTGGTATATTATATTCTAAATTGTTAATTCCTTGGGGAGGAGGAAATAAAAGGAAACCTACAAGTGATTATTGGTTTTAACTGTGCTCCTAGTGAGGTGGACTTTGTCATCTCATTTTATACAAAAGAAAGTTAAGGGTCTGAGAGGTGGAATAAGTTGTCCATGGGGACTTTCCTAAATTCATATTCTCTCCTCTCAAGCACACGTCCCTGGTTGGTTCTTTTTGAATTCTTTGTGGCACCTGGCAGAGCTCTCACTTGTCCTGAGTGACAAATAACTGTTCTGGCCAATCTTCCCTCTCTCTGCTGCTGAATCTCATGGGGAGCCTGCTCACCCTCCCCTGCCCTCTGTGTGTTTGAAGGCTGCATCTCCTGGGCTGAGGGTTCGGTGGCCATTGGCTAGGTCTGGCCCTTTCGGGGCATGGGTGAGAGGCGGGGGAGTCAGAGGGAGAGGCCTGGGTGTGCTTTCCCCTTTGCCTGGGGAGCTGGGTCTTCTCTGGGTCTTCTCTGTGGGTGATCTTGTTCTGGCCTTCCTTTGTCCCTCCAGCCTCCAGCTGTTGTGACTTTCTGCTCTTACAAATGTACAGGCTGCCTTAATGTTCCCTATTTGGCTCTTAAGCAACTCCATTACCTACCTGGCTGCTTCTCTGCATTTAACTCCTGGTTGGACCATGCCTGATGCAGAGTCTGTTATTTTAAAGCTTCACTTATTTGTAAATATATTACTTCTTTCAGGTACTATTTTTTTTTTGTAGGCTAAAACTTTGAACCAAAGGAACAAATGTAACAGACCATGTCTGTTCTGTTTTCAGATAAGCCTATGGAGCAGATGTATTCCAGGAAAAACACCTCTCAGCCCTGGCCCCAGCAGCTTCATCCTGGTCATTTGGGTGCCCAAGTATTCCACTCATAAACCACACTGACCTTTCAAATACCACAGGACCGTGCACTTGGCATCTCACATGACAATTCACATGACCGTGAATTGACTGTGGTCTTCTTAGTGAATTAAAAGTATTTTTTAAAAAAGCCCAATTTCTTGCTAAGGATTAAAAACTCTAAGGCTATTGTTAAAAAAGAGACTACATAAATAATATTGTTTTGAAAAGTAATTATTCTGCTTCTGATTTTAGCTCTCATTTTGCCTATGTGCAGCAGGAGAGAAGTTTCTAGATCATCATTAAAACAACAAAACAGTATCTAGATCTTCTTTCCCTTGTTTTACCTTTTAATTTCCATAAATTGGAAAACAAAATTCCAATTTAAGAAGAAACGTGACTTAAAACGTCCAAAATGTGTAAAATAGTTCATTCTAGCCCTTCTGTAAATTCTTACAACTTGGAGTCCAAAGAGAAGCAGCGATACTATGGCCCTGTAATTATTGAGCCCGGGGGACAGCCTGTCCTTCCTTGCATTCGAGTTCACTTCAGCTGCAATAATACAGACAATGAATGTAGCCCTGGCCAACTCTTTCATTTTAATGAAATCCACACTTCTGGTATAAAAATGAAAAAGCAAGACTCAAAGATACTCAGAATCATCATATTTTTCCTAAAGGCAACTATGTCGCTGTGTCCTGCATGTGGACTTGTGCTGTGTGCACATGCTTATGTGGGCGTGCTAGCGCGTGCGCACTCGTGTGCAGCTGTGTGTGTGCCTGTTTATTCCTAATTGAATGGTGGGATGTTACCATTAGTTTGCTGTTTGCAGACAAAATAAAACCCAGCAGAGACCAGTTAAACTTTGAGATTCTTGCGGCTTACCAAACTCAGACTTGCAGCGAAGAGAATAAGAGACAGAGAGAGAAAAGGATGAAAGTGGGAGAAAGAAAAAAGCCTGGTGGTTGGGGGGAGGGATTGTGTTTTTTTCTTTTCCTGAGAAAGTGAATAATGTCATCGTTGATTTAATTAGCAAATTCTAGATGTGCTGACAAAGGAGATTTTCTTGGGCGATGCACTGGGTTGTGTCAGTGCTGTAAATGAATAGGCAGAGCCGAGTTCCTGGTAATCACAGATGAACAACACAACTCGCCAAACCTCAAACAGTGCATAAATCAATTTGCTGGGAATTAACCACTCGCTTCAAAATTAGGGGTTACTTGACAGGGTTTCAGTGATTAGGTTGTCAGGGACCTGTATTTCTAGCTGGGATTTATCTATCATTGATATGAGCGTATCTCCCCCTGAGCTGCAGACTGACTTGCATCGCCAGCTCGCAGGCCGAGCTCAGAGGGTGGGGGCCCTGCCTTCCGGGGAGCAGACGGCCCTCTGGAGGTCACCCGGGCAGAGAGGAGAGGGAAGATGTGCTGGCTCTTCACACTCCTCCTAATGCCTCTCATATTAGCCGGAGAATTGTGAATGAGGGAATGTGTCTTAGAATCCTTCTGACATCACATGACCCCTTTGATAGCATAAAGAGCTTAACAATTTGTTAAACGAGATGCCTAAAAGTGTACAATTGCCCAGAGAAATTAGTGAAAAGCAATAAGGCACCGCAAGGTCACTGAGCTCAGGGAGCTGGATCCACGGTGTCGTCAGGGTGCAGCGCTCTGGGCCTCTGACTTCAAGCTGGGACCAGCTGCCCCTGCTGAGGGCCTCAGCAAGGGGCCTTCCACTCTGGGGCAGGCGGAAGAGGAAAAGGCTGTGATGATCCACCTCCTCAGGCCAGACTGAACATGAATTGGGGAAGGGGCACGCCTTCGGGCCAGGTTTCTTATCTCACACGTTTCCTTTATTGGCCAGCCCTTCACTGACCATTACTAGGTGCACTCCTGCCCACTTAGAAGTGTACACTCCCGCTTGACAGCTCCTTGCTCCCTAAGAACAATCCAGGCGTTCTATTAAGTTTAACCTGTAAGGACCACAGTTTATTAGGCTGGGCCCAAGGACATTAACCCTGCAACACTGTCAAACAACATGGAAATACAGGTCCCCGGTCCCATCACCATAATTTGATAGCAGCAATGCCCAAATCATTAGCCACATTCCCAGAAATCTCTTACCATCCCTTCTCTTTTCCTCTATTTCTTTTCCCTAATTACCTTTTTCTTTCATTATTTCCCAAGTCGGCAAAGCTTAACTTGGGCTCCCTCTTCTTGTTTGGGATTTCTGGAAGGGGGTTTGCTTGCATCTACCCTTGTGATTCATGCATCCTCTTCTCACACTCACCCCTGGCACTCTTGGAAAGCAATGATGTGCCTTTCTCTTCATTTAGATGACCTTCAGCACCTCAAAATCACAGCATCTCCAAGCATCCCTACCCAATTCTTGGGTGCCCAATCCAAGAGTGTCAAGGTCAACTTAAATAGAATGGGTTTGCTTTACTGGGAGGTAAAATAAAATGTTCCTCTTTCAATTACTAGAAAATGCCATTGGATTCAACTGTAGCAGTTTTGGTGTTTCCTTCCTGTAACAGCTCTCCTGCTAATCATGTTTCTTTCTCATATCGCTTCCTGTTCGCTTACAGCCCATTAATTGATCATTAAAGTCCTCCTCAATTTCATTGAGTACCCAACTTCCCTATTTTGGTGTCCTCACAAGGCAAATGTTTACAAGATTGTTATTTTTCTTCTTCACTTAAAAAATGAAACTGACCCATCAATTTCTGTGAATCTTTCTGCCACCCTCCCTAAAATCCACTTTACTTTAGCCATGTCTATGGTCTACTAGGGCAAATATTCAAAAACCTCTAAGCTACTTAAAAACTAAAACCAACTTTATTGATGTACAATTTACATTCCATCAAATAGTTACCTGTTTTCACTGTACAGCCCAATGAATTATAGGAAATTTACATAATTGTGCGACCATCACCATAATCTAACTTTAGAACATTTCCATCAAACCCCACAAAGAAACTCCATGCTCATTAGTAGTCATTCCCCCCTTTGGCTACCCAGCCCTAGCCAACCACTGCTGTAATTCCTGTCTTAATTGGTTTGCCTATTCTGGACGTTTCAAGTAAACAGAATCAAATAATTTGTGGTTTTATGTGTCTGGCTTGTTTCACCTAACAATGTTTTTTGAGGTATATCTGCGTTGTAGCTTGTATCAGTACTTCATTCTTTTCCATGGCTGAATAGTATTCCATTGTATGGATATAGCACATTTTATTTATCCGTTACCAGTTGATGGCCTTTTAGGTTGTTTCCACTTTCAGCCCTAATTTTACCCAGGTGCCGGACTACTTGAATAAGTCCATTATTATAAATCCTTCTTTCTCTGTTACAGGCCATACAGCTTGTCTATTTCCAGGAAGCCCGGAGGTCCTCAAGCACATATGTATTTAAAACCTCCTCTTTCCGGTCCTCATTTCCTTCAGATCATCCTCCTAATGCCTCTCCAGCTTGTGGTCTGTAATTAATTAAGTCAACCAAATAATGTATTTTGTATAAAAAAGCCAGGAGATAAAACTGATTGCTTGATTTAAAATTGGTCAAAGAGATGAACAAAAATAATTAACGCAACCCATCCCTGGACAGCACAACCCTAAAATCACTTCTGCTCCCTGATTTGTACATCTTTGCTCACTGACCATCTGGACCTTTCTCTTAAATGCTGACTGCAAATGTCTCTCTAATATAGCAAGCTGCTGAAATCTTTAGCCAAGGATCTTCCCGCTAATTCTGAGCATGTGATGTTATTGAAGACTGGCCTCTGCTCTGCCTCTGACACCAAGTCCCCATCTGGGTTCCAAGGAAGGCTGCTCTGTTTGCTTGCATCTAGTTTGAGTTCATTAGGATCTGAATATTTTTGCACTAAAAGAAATAAAACATATTTTGGAGTAGTTAGAGCATCTTGGAGAGTTGAATTTTGGGAACATGTTTGTGCCTTCTCACTTCCCATAATCAGGAAGTTGCTGGAACCAACGATGTTAACGTGTAGCTTTGAGACATGAGTCCTGCCAAAACTCCTCCGTGTGAACTGCTGCCTTCCACGTCCAACCGACATGGCTTTCCTCTCTCCAGGTTTCCTTCTGGATCACCAGGTCACTCCCTGTCAATGTCCTCAAGAGCCAACCTAGAGGATTATCTGTCCTTCAGGAGGAAATCAGGCCAGGAGCAGTAACTGAAGATGGGAGCTTTGTTTGTTGTCTGTTTTCTGTGATTACACCAGGGTCACAAAAGTCACAATGGTGAACTCTGCACAAGAAGGGCTATGGTTTATCCCTGCCTCAGCTCTCGCTGGGCCTCTGCTCGAGAGCTCGCTGCCCCAAAGATCAGCCCCAAGATGGGGTCTGTTTCTTTCCATTGATGAATCTCTTCTCAATGTAGCCATTCATGACAAAAATGGCTACAGGAACAGAAATGGCTCCAAATGAAGCCATTCTCATGACAAAGACGGTAATGAGGACCAAAAAACGGCACAAAATCAATTTATTCTCATGACAACCTTAAGATTGTAATGAGGACAAGAAAAACAGTCTGAAATTTATCAATTCTTGTGACAACCTTGAGACAGTAACGAAAGCGGCAAATGGTATGAAATTGGCCCACTCTCTTGACAAACAGTGAAACAAAACCGGAAAATAGCACCACATTTACCTACCCTATAGACAGCCCAGCGACTGGAACAAGAAGAGAAAAGATTACAAGATTAACCCATTCCTGTCAAAAATAATCTTGAAAGGGTAGCCTCCCACATGTCCTTTAACAATGACCGCATCTAGGTAGAGTTACATGTTAACTCCAGACTTTGCTGTGAGATGGAATTCTTGTTCGCTTGGATTCCCAGTTGACAGTCACGTTTCTTTAGGATCTGTGAAAATTAACTTGTACTGATATTACGGGCTAGGCAATGCGACAGTCACTCTAGATCAGCTTTTATTTGATGGTCTTAAAGTGCTCTCTCAGTCTGGACTTATTAAAAGGATAACGCATAAGGCATATAAGCATTGCAACAGTGATATGGACAATCATTCTAGAAATACCCACGAAAGTGACAAGTGAAAGGGACGGGGAATGGAGGCAACTTTCCGAGTCAGTGGAACAGTTGCTGCTGCATATTCCATAGAAAAATGGAGTTTTGGGGTGTGTGTTACTGAACCAGTATCTGTTCCTCAACCTCAATTTAGCTTTCTCATGCATGTAGGAACTCACAGATATTCTCAAAGAAGACATTGGAGAAGAAGAGCTCCTCAGCAGAGTGAGCATTCACTACAACACAGCTTAATGATTTGGGATCACCTGGTTGCTAGTTAATAATCCAGATACGTGATTTAGTAGGTCTGGAAGTGGAGAATACCAGGAATATACACATTTAAAAAAGAAAATGTCATTTTTGAGCATGCTGAAGTTGGAGAAGCATCAATTTATTGTGTGCAAAGGTACTGGTTTGCAGAAGCTGGATTTATGATTCCTAATCAAAGACTTCACTCACTAATTCCTTCCTGCTAAAACTGCTAAGTTCCATCCTTGACATCACTGATGAGTAAGTAGCAGAGGGCCAAGTTTTAATGTCAATTCAAGTGCCAGTCAGCTTTTCCAGGGCTTATAATAATTATTGATGAGTGATTGAATGACAGAGATTGGAAGTAATGGCTTGCTTTGCTTGGCTGGCAAGTACAGAGATAATAAAGAGACGGAAGTCTCTCCTGTCTGACTGCTGGTTTTCATTACATGAAATGTGAAGTGGTCAAGTCTTTTTCTTTGTCTATCTGCCTATTTACTGTTCCAATTGATTTGGTAGGTGTTGAGTGATAAGGAAGGAGAATATTTTTTGTTCCCTGAGAGTAGATCAATTTCTTCATTATTGCATTCCTTAAACAATTGGATGCTAACTTGAGTTCTAACATTTTTTGTCTACTACAGTTTCTACATTTTCTCCCCTCTCTTTTGTTGGTGGTGGGCTTCTAGTGTTTTTTGCAGAGCTCAAGGGGTTGGATGTGAATTGTAAGGTTTTGGCAAAGGCTCTGTGTCCAGCGTCTCATCTTTCCTCTGTTTTGGAATGAGTCCGGTAATGACTGCACCAACGTGTCACTGTTGTTTCCCCAGGCACTCTCTCTGGAGACCTCTCTCAGTGGGATCAGTGGCCTTGATGATCTGAATATTTTCGGTCAAGTTCAAGGTCAGGACATTGAACGGATAAAGAGGAATATATGAGGATTGCTTGCAGGTTAACGTGAATTTTGTCATATGACAAGTTTGTACAATTCTGTATTTTATTTTAACAATTCTAGGTGGCCCAAGAGCCAGGAAATTGGATACAATGTTGGGGATTTTCAGATCAATGTCAGTAGACGTGCAAGTTGCTAAAGTGTGTTTAAGGTGGTAGAGGAGGCAGCTTTCAAGTAGGTAACCTCAATTTAGGTTCCAACAAAGTCATGAGGCTAATAGTCTGGTTGAGCTGGGAGGGGTTGAGTGATAGGTAAGGACAGAGTTTCTTCTTGTTGGTCAATGCTGGGCAGGGGGGAGAGAGAGAGAGAGAGAGAGAGAGAGAGAGAGAGAGAGAGAGAGAGAGAGAGAGGCAGGGCGTGAAAGAAAAAGAGAGGAAAGAGAGAGCGACACAGAAATATCATAAATTGAAGACGATAATTAAGTCACTTTTTGTTGTTCTCTTTTTTAGTCTAAATTATCTCAAGTGTCTTTTAACCTTTGTTCAAGGAATCTAACTTCTTCTTCATCATTTTTGTCACTCTTTTCTGCATTCTCTCCAGGTTTCCCCATAAGTTCAGAAGTGTTATCTCATTTCTTTCCACAGCATACCCATGAGGTAACTAGGGTCATTGCTAAGCTCAAATTTACAGATTGGATGAAAGTAAGGCTCATGGTGAGTAGATGATTTACTCAAGGTCAAACTGCATGGAGGTGTCAGGGCCAGAATTAGACTGAGTCCCCAGGTTCTGCTCCGTGGACCACGTCTCTCCTGGTCCTTTCTCTTGAGACGCATAACAATTACTCAACTTCAAAACTCCTTCTAAAGGACTTCCCGTTTGTTTCATTCAGAATTTTACTTCTAGAAAATAAATACAAATGTAAAAAGTGCTTTAGTGTGGCTGCATGCTTCTGTTTCTTTTTCACACACTTATTTAGGCTGTACTTACACACAGCCTCACTTTTACACATGCACAAATGCTTTGTAACTCATGTCAGTCAAACAAATGATTAATTATAAAATTAGTAAATACTTCCTGATGAGTTTTGACGGCCATGCAATTTTTTTCACATTGGTTTGTGGGTGTTTAGGAAGTTCTAGAAAAGATACCAAGCCGGAGGTGGTGAGAGATTATGTCCAGTTTTAGACCTGAACCCAGTCCAGGCTAGGAGAAGGTGCTGTTTCATTTCCATATTGGATTGTACCTCCCTCCAAAATTCTTCCTTAAAGACTGCCAATCCAGGAGAAGTGTCAATGCAGACAATAACCAGAAAATTGTCCAGATTTTTTTCCTGTAATGAGATGTTGCTGTCTTGGAAACTGCATGGCAGGTAGCGAATTGTCATGTCTGCCTCCCATGGGATTTACAGCAGTGATATGTTGTCAAAATGGGCTTTGCTAAAGCTAAGTGCCCATGTCCAATATAATCCCTTCTACACAGGTGATACTCAATGAACTGTTAAGAAATCTTTAGTTTACATTCGTCTATTGTATTGGAATGGGCAGAAGCCACACACTTTGTAGGTGTTTGAGTGATTCTTTGCCTGTTCTTTCTTTGACTAGTTAATGAATTCACTCGGAGAAGGGAGTCCTCCTGTTTCACCCATCATCACATCCCTGTGCTCAGTATCATGCACTGAACATAGTAGAGTCTCAATTAATATTTGCTCAATGGGTTAAATGAGTGAAACATTGAATGAGCCTACTCTCATCTTTTCCAGATTTTGAGAGTAAGGAAAACCTGATCTTGTCACATCTCTGCCTAAAATTCTTCAAAGAGGAGAAGAGGAAAAGAGTTGCTACCCTGCATCAGGTCATGCTCTACAAGATGGGCCACCATAACTGAGTGACACCTGGGTAAGGATGTAATGATGCAGTGAGAGGAGAAGAGGAGGGTTCAGTCAAAGGCTCACAACAGTGATGTTGCAGCAGGATATTGCAGTGAACCTTGAAGGCTGATGGGGCAGAGGAGCTCCAAGTATATTTTGAGATGAGACAACCTTGTTGAAACATGCCCATATGCCTACTTGGAAGGAAGCAATGGTCACTTAGTGGTATGGTTCTTGATATCTTTTTGGAAGAATTATGACATATTCAAAACAACTTATGACTTTTTTTAAAGGAATAGAATTGGGGAACATTACCAATTCCAGCTGCATAAATAATAAATAAACAAAGATCCCAATGTCAAATTTCAGAAGCCCACACTTTGTGAATGCAACGATAAATTTTCAGAACCTCCTGCAATAAACAATCGCATTTATTCACCAGGGATTGAATGTTAAGTTGTCCCCTTCACTTGGTGACAAATGAGATTCCTGAGTGTGTGGGGCCACGTTGCATTTACCCAAGTGAAATAAAAGAAGGATGAGCAAGATAAGAAAATCATTTTACAGTCTCCTGTTATTAAAGTCAGCATTTCCCAGCCTGGGTGATCCAGCCTTTGAAAAAGTGTTCATGCTTAACCTCAGTACCACAGGGTCATGTGGAAGACCCCAGCTGGCTCACAAAAACCCCTGGAGGAAGAGAGTGGCTGCAGGTGGAGGGGTGGAGGCATGTGCCCCCATCTCCCAGGATAGGGCTTTTCTCTCCTCTCTCCTGCTCCTCTTTCTAGGAATGAATGATGCCAGAAAACTCCATTATTCCTTAAGCAAAAACTCTCTCCAGCACTAAGAGTAGAGAAACAAAGGTGTAACATTTAGACTTTGCATAGATTCCTGTGTTTGTTTTGAATGGCAGTTCCTGGGTCCATGGGTCAGGGTACGGTATTTATCCCCTTGTCTCAATTTCTGTGATTGAAAATGGGATTGATAAATTTCCTTCTTAGCTCAAAGGGGACATTATACACATTAATGAGTAGAACAGGCTTAAATCTTCTTTATGTTCTATGGACAACTATGCAAATAAACAGAGTTTTTCTTTTTGTTTTTTTTTTCCTTTGGATTTCAGCCATATTTCTTCTTAAGGAAAATAAAAATCCATTGTTAAAATCACCGTTGCTCTAGATGCCTACTGCTAATGTGCTTCTGGAGGAACAGTTTTCAAATGAGAAGTAACAGGAGCCGCTCTGATTGAAACAAACTGGTGTTGATTGCAGATCAGCCATCTGTAAAGGAGGCCACCTCGGGAAGGGTGTGAACTAATGAAAAGATGGGCCTGATTTGGGAGCGTGATGGGCTTTGTGCCACCGGCCTCTGTGAGTGGCATGAGATTATAGCAGTGCGAGGAGAGGTAGATTGAGAATAAGTAACTTGTGTCTTAAAGATTAAATGGCAAATTTGCTATTAAATGTGAAAGACATAAAATGGAATTATTGCTTTGAGGACGTTAGCTGTGGCCATACCCACTCGCAGAGAGCGTGACGACCTGTCCTCCTGTCAACAACGCACCCATCCCAGCATGCCGATTACAGGCCTGGAGAACAGAGTGGTGAACCCTGGGAGTGGCCCACACAGCACCTTCTTCGCAAGGCACTTCCTATGGCCTCCCTTCCTCCAGTGACCTTCCAGACTGGTGAATGTTATTGATGAAGTCATTACGTAGCCCAGAAAGCCAGTCGATAATTCCCAGGGATGTTGGTGATCAGAGGGTGGCCTGGGAGAGGACAATGAGAGGCTTCCACTGACTGCTGACCTGGAGAAGTGGTCCTGGAGTTCCAGGAGCCCAGGCTTGTGTGATTATAACAAAGGCAGAACCAGAGGTGAATTTTAACAATGCACCCAATTGCCAGGGCATTTGGAGTCAGTGAAGCAGGATCCCAGAAACTGACCGGCACAGTGGAAGGCGTTCACGCTGCACCTCAGTGCCTGGGAGTAGGCACCCCACAAATACTCCTTGAAAAAATAAAACTTCGATATGTGGTCAAATGTAGGGTCTGTATTGCCCTGCCTGGCTCTAGATACAACTTCTTCTTCTTACGTAGTCTGTTTGCATGCACCAGCTATAAATAAACATTTTCCTTGGTCCCCATGCCCTGTATTTGAGACTGTGAATGTTTGAACTTTTTGTCTGACTTATGTTTCTGATATCTGGTAATTTTCTCTGAAGTTAGAAAACCTAAAGAACAAAATTCTAAATTCTCTATTTCTCTGGTTCTACTTTCAGCTCGATCCAGATGTAAACTCTAGTTGTTGGCTTGTGCTACATTGCTCATTGCCATAAGTCAAAGGATGGCTTATGCCATGGCCATGGGGTTCCCCACAGATTGTCAAAAAGTCCCAAGGCTTTTTGGGGTGAGACTTGGACAGCCTGGTTTCTCTGTCTACCCTTCCAGCCACGATGGGGTTTGCATCCTTCCCTTCTGGTGTAATTGCTGCCTGCAGCCCACCTTGCTCAGACCTCACTGTCTTTATGGGGCTGTTGGAAGCTTAGCCTATTTGCACTGATTCCAGCCCACAGGAAACTCCTGCTTAGCATATTGGAGTTCTGTTGGTTTACTAGGAAATATTGATGAATGGGTGAATGAATGAATGAATATGAGAACCAGTAGCAGTCCCTTACGACCTGTCCTGGATCAGTCTTAAATCCCTCTTGGCACCAGAATTCTGCACTCAGGAAAGCTGTATGTGACTGCAGGGAATGGGGAAGGAGCTGCTAGATCTTTCAATCATCCCCGTGCTTGCGTGAGCACGTTGACCAGCAGACAGGCGATGGGCTATGCGGTGTGGCACTTTATTGTGTAAAGGCTTATGTTCTGCTATATTGCATCATTTTATATGCTTATGTGACTTAAGATTATAGGGCACAATGAATGAAATGAAACACAAGTAGTGAAATAAAGTAGACAACACTATCTTTTAGATTGGATATGCGCCATTAATTCCATTCCTTTTTTTTTCTTTAAAATTGGCCTGTGTGAATTTACTACACATGAACTCAGAGGGCTAAAGCCACTGGCTTGTGGCACTTGTGTAGTGTGCTGGCTGCTTCCTCGAAATTCCCTTCCCTGCTAAAGCATGGCCTGGATCTGCCACCATGCCCTGCAGCATTGGGTTGGAGAGTCTCTTGACATGGCCTGGTGGCAATGCCAAATAATATGATAGTTTTGTGATGATGATAATGTCAACAGGGATCAGAGTGAGAGAACCAAGCTCATTTTCACTTTTGACCCAAGAAGGACTCATTCCCAGATTTTCAAATGTGAAAAGCTCATGCACTAATTAGCACTGTCTCTTGCCCTCAGCATCAATTTTGAAAGTCACCAGTTCAAACTGAACACCAGAAACTTGGCAATATAATCCAAAGGATATCCAAACAGATTTTAAATTAATCAGCTTATGAATCTAATTTGCTAGCTATAATAAGACTTTATATTTACATGGCACTTTTTTTCTGTTATTATTCTTACAGCTAATAATGCTGGAATAAATATTGATTAAATACAGTTCAGCATACAATGGACTTGCTATCTTACTAATCCTCAAAACGTTTCTTTTAGAAGGCCACTACGTGTGCTTGGGCTCACACCTTCTCTATCCACCAGTGCCCCTTGCACCACGTGAGAAAACTCTTACCTTCCAAAGACTAGATCTGCTGCCATATCCCCAAGTTTCCTCCTTTGGGTGTTGGTCTGGAGCTGCTCTGAAGATCCTCTTTTACATCACTCTTTTTTGGGTTCCACGATGTCTTTGCTGCCCTATCCCATCACAGGCCTTTATGAGTCACCACGTTTATGTGTGTCCCATGCTGTCTTTGCCATACACCCTGACTTCTGTCTTGACTTTGTCCCGGGTCCCGATGGCATCCCACCTTTTTGCTGGGATGCCAGTCCAGTTTGGAGTCTACCTCCAGGATTTCCGTCTGTCCTGTAGTTGCAGGTGCTGAGACCTTGGATAAGGTGCTCATCATCTATGGCCCCTGGAGAGTCTGGTGGCCCCTCTCTCTTAATCCATGGCCCAAAGGGAGCCAAACGCTGGACTAATGATCCTCCTTCTACTCGGAGTGTTTTTTTGCGGTGGCAATTCTTACAGAGTGATTTGTGGTGGTTGGTGAGAGATAAGTCCCCTCTCTACATCTTGCATTATCTGGCACATGGTAGACACTCAATACATATTTGCTAAGTGATGAATTCGCCAGTAACTGAAGGGGAAATGGTGCATATTAAATATTGCATTCATTCATTCATCATTCTTTCAGCATGTTTATTGAGTATCTACTACATCTTAACCACTGTTCTAGGCAATGATCCCTGCTCTGAAGGCGACTACCTTCAAGGGAGGGGAAACAGACACTGTAAACAGAGTAACTCAGTGTATTAAGCACATAGGAGAAGGTGATAAATATAATGAAAAAGCAAAGGTGAACAGGGTCAGGTGAATGGGCTGTGCCAGGAAGAGTAGAGGGCTTGTTGCCATGTTGTAAAGAATGTCTCGGTGGGGAAGTGGCCTTTGACCAACACAGGAAGGAGGAGTGCTGAGGAGACACCTGAGGAAAGGACTGTCCAGGCAGGGCAGGTAGACAAGAGCCCCGGAGGTGGCTTACCTGAGCTCCTGGGCCAGGGTGTGGAAAGGTAATGGAGCTGGAGGGGAGGCTGGGGAGGTGATGAGGCTGCATCATGGGAAATGAAGGACCCCGTGAGCTGCCACAAGGACTCCAGCTCTCCTTCTCAGTGAGGCCCAGAGTCTCTGAAGGTTTGGGCAGAACAGTGATGTGACTTGACTGTAGGGGCCGAGTGGGTGCTGGGAGAGCTGGTGGAGGCCTCTGTGACAATGCAGGGGAGGGAGGAGACAGGCTGCAGCCAGGCTGGCAGTCATGGAGTACAGGTTAAAGGCTCTGAGAAGTTCTGCAATAAAGAGTCCTGCTTAACCTTATCTCAATGCTTTCCACTCATTTGGGCACAAATCCCTGTGTTTTGCATAATGCCCTCTGATGCCCCATGGCTCTTGTGTTCTGCGGAACACAGTTTGGGAAACGCTGCTCTAGAGATATGTGTGTGCCACGTGCTGGGGGTCATCCACAGCCTCCTCTGTCTCTGGAAATAGGTGTCAGGCTCCATGTCTGTTCCTGAGGCCTGCTGTTGGCTTGAGAGATGCTCTCTTGTGGAAAGGCCCTAGGTCTGAGCAGAACTGGGTTTGAACCTTAAGCAAGTAGCTTCTGCTCTCAAGGCTCCTGCTACCCAACTTTCTAACGATTACAAGAACAGCAACAACAATGGTAAAGTCTGCTTAGACCACTGTTGGGAGTGTATTTAAAGCACTTTGCCTTCGTCTGGTGGATAGGAAGACCTCAGATGCTATCATAGTTACTGCCATTGTTTCAGATGCCATTCTGCCTGCTGAAATCTCAGAACCCTGCTCTCTGTGGGATTCCTTATCAACGTGCCCTGCTCACAGTCCAGGGACCCTGTTCTTGGGTGTGGGCCCTTCTGGCCTGCTCCATAGCAGAGAGTGACTGTGTCTTCATTGCCCAGTTATTGGTGGTCCCACCCTCTGCAAGCAGCATGCACCTTCACCCCCACAGCTGGGATGGCACCCTGGGTACCTGCTCCAGACCCACAGGGGAGCCCAGTTCTGAGTGGACCCCATCCCCTGACCTGGCCTGCGCTCAGCTAAGTGCCCAAACATGACAGAAATAATGTTGTATGTCAACTAAATCAAGTATGACTTACAAGTGACCTTTGCATTGAGAACGCCAGACTCCCAGCCACTCCTCCTTCCTCGGGGGCATGGAGTCCAGCTTCCTTCCACAGCACTCACTTTCTTCTCTGGCTAAGTTGGGGGCTTAGAAGCACACAGGGTCTTAGTTTTCACTGGGGTTATTGATGGACCGGAATACTTTCCTGAGCACATAATTTAGTGTGATTTGAGTTTCGTGCTGGATTTCCTGGACGTCACTGCAGCTACCGTGCCAAGAGCCCTCCCTTCCTGTGGCAAAATCACCATAGACAAGGCCCGCAATGTTCCTACCCGGGGCCGCAAAGGGGGCTGTTGCAAGAGGATGAGGAAGAAGGAAAAATGTCTTCTGCAGCTGGGTGGCTCACGGAATTGCCCATCCTCTCTGATTCCAATTGTAGAGCTGTTTGGGGTCGCTTTGAAAGCGAAGCTCTTGAATCACGGCTTGTGTACACCTCTCAGGTAGGGTGTTGCATTTATGCGTTCAGCTGTTTGTCTTCTGGGACTCTGCTTGTTATTCCATAAAACCCATTGTCAGTCAACAGCCATCAATCACACAAACTTCACGCACACCACGGATCTGTCAGGAAATCAAAAGGCTGTTAGGGTTGTTGTGATTACCCATTCATGAGCCATTTTGACTGGAAATTTCACAGACCTTCCCTCTTGCTACAAAGAAGGGGGAAGTTTAAATCAATCATTTAAACAATTTGCCAGTGAGGTCTATTTTTGCCACTGAAAACCCCTTTCCCATCCTGTTGCCTGCCCTTTGGCTTCAGCAGTTTTTTGCCTTTTGTGCAGACAGGCTGCATCCGGTTACCACCGGGTTTGTTTCCAGAGGTGGAGGATCCACAGCGATGCCTTCATGTCATTTAGTGTCGTGAGTGTGAGGACAG
Organism: Homo sapiens; assembly: GCF_000001405.40. Classification (NCBI taxonomy): domain Eukaryota; kingdom Metazoa; phylum Chordata; class Mammalia; order Primates; family Hominidae; genus Homo; species Homo sapiens. The sequence continues at coordinate 75,392,135 of NC_000018.10, forward strand.
GACCTCCTCCCATTCACCCTGGGTCCTCCTGTTCCTGCTCTGGATTCACATCTCAGAGAAAGAGGGAGGAAGGCGTTCGGAGGGGAAGCAGGAGAGCAGGGCAGCCTGGGATGATTCCTGTTCCTGAAAGGGAAAAGTCCCTGGCTTTCCAGGTTGGCATTTGCTGGTGGCTCCAGCTCTTTCATGGCGGTATGCCTTGGAGTTTGCCTCTGAACAGGAGGGTCGCTGTGGGCTGGGCTCCCTCGCAGTGCGGGCAGGCGTCTTTCCTTCATCTGTCTCCCTGCTTGTCCCCACGTGCCTTGCCATCACTGATAAATGAACTGTGGTCCAGCTGATAACCACTTTGTGTGTCGTTCTTTCTTGTCTTTGCAGCAAGCATGCTCACAGAAATCCTGGGACTGCCACATCGAGCCTTCTGCGTTCAGGCTGACAAACGTCCCTGGGTTGGAGGAGCTGACTGGCTGGCGCTGCCTTGTGACCATGTGCCATGCTGCCATACCCAAGGGGGCACAGGCGAGGCAGCCAGGTGCACAAGAGTTGTGATGCCATGTCAGACACTAAAAACGCAACCATTTCCCAACCATGAGACTTCCTGGCAACTTGTCCAGCTCACCTTGGCCTGGATCTTCTCCTCACAGAGGAGATCATGTAGAGAGAAAGAACATCTAAATAAATGCAAGCCCATTAGCCAACCAACTGACCGATGGGCCCGGCTTTCCAAACAACCATGGGCAACAATAAGATTAGAAAACAAAATATTGTTAGATCAAATGAGCTCAGAAAGAACTGAGGGTCTGACTGCATGAGATAGTTAAGAACTTTGGGAGGCCCCTGTGTCAACCACTGGCTTCCAATAACTCCACATGAATGTAAGACTCCCAGCGTCAAGGGAGGGATGCTCCCCCTGTGCAGCTGTATCCTAGCAATGCTCTCCCTCTCATGGCTGCACGGATATTGATGATAATGAAGCATGCTGCACACAGGTGTGCTGTGCTCGTATCTGCTGCCCCTGGACAGCTGCTGTGGTTACGTGATATCTCAACCAGTGTGGCAGGTGAAGGCACGCACCCTTCCCTGGAGTGACAATGGCACCCTCCTTGCCCTTCCCCCAGCGTGGTCCCCCCTAGACCTCCCCTGACTACTGCAGCCGTTCCTGCTGAGCGCCGAGCATGCCTGCAGCTCTGCAGTGGCCATGTGTCCACCGGGGGCTCCGGCCTGCCATCCCATCCAACAATGACTCTCCAGGTGGGGGGAGAGGGCACCAAGGGCACTGCCGCAAATCCTGCGTCCTTGATATCATCTTGACCTACTGAGATGCTACTGCTGTTAGCCAGCTCCAGGATGCAACCCCTAGATACTTGCATGTATTTTAAACCAGAAAAAAAAATCAGTTGGAAGGTGACAGCTTCCAGAATCTGGATCTTATGCAGTCACACCTGGAAGGAAGGAGGTCTGAGGCCCATTGGACTGCATTTGCCTGCAATCTGTGGCTAGTACTTAAAGGAAGGGGCCAGAACTAGGGTTGGAATGTGGAACATTTGAGGTCGCTCTTCACCCTGGTGATCTTTGCCAATCAACAGAGGCTTTGAGTAAGCAATCAGCCCAAAAGCAATTCAGAAGGGAGGCAACTTAAACAAATAAAATAAATAAATTCAAAAGGCAAAGCAGCTAAATATGAGAAGAAAACAGCGTCGGCTAATGGTGGGGATTTATGAGCATGAGCTGTGGTTTGAATCTTATACGGGGTTATAAATAAAGATGCTGATGAAAAGCAGAAGTCCTTCCCTATGTCCACATCCGTGGTGTTCCTAAATACTTATCTCTGGAATCTGCTGGAATGTCTAAAGCTGCTAGTCACATGGACCTGGCTCAAAGTCATGATTAGCAGATGTCCCGTGAGCCACCTTTGCTAGTGTGAGGACAAGTTCAAATAGCACCAGGGCCTTCTCTCTCTCTCTCTCTCTCTCTCTCTCATTCTCTCTCTCTCTCTCTCTCTCTCAGAAATATTTGGACTAGAAATGGTTTGGGTCTTGGTGCTATTAACTGCATAATGCAATGTAACACAGGCTCTAATTGCTCACATCTGATATTCCATTTAGATACAACAATAGAAATGTCAAGTTTACCTGTGATAAAGAAACAGAAATGTCATTAGTAGATTTCCAAATAATTTGTCCCTGTGATTTTTAGCAATAAATAACACAGACCTCTCTGTTGCAAAAACTGGCATCCTGCTTACCTGTTTTCTTCTCTTTTGTCAATTGTTTTATTTGGGCATTCTCGTCCAGTGAATAAATTCATCAGCCACTATTTTTGGGCTTCTGTATTGAAAAGCTCATTATTTCAGAGGAAGTGCATTGTGAATTAAAAAAAAAACTCAGTTATTATAATTAAATAGCTGGTGGTGAGAGGCCCTCTTAATGTGCGTGAGAAATTTGTAGGAAGGAAAGATAAATACTCTCTCCTTCCCTGCATCAAAATAGGAAGATGTTACTTAAAGAATCACGCTGAAGATTAATTTTCAGAGTGGATTGTGGGTAAAGCAGGTAGTGTCACATATAAAGATTGTTGCAGTGTGACCAAGGTGATTGTGTACTAATGGTTTCATGTAGAGATTCTTTGAGGAAGTCAACTACTGAGCAAACCTGAACTGGGGTGTGAGAGTGAGTTGGCACCTGTTGATTGCTTGGGTCAATTTGGCCAACCTGACTGCACGGGGAGCTTCCCTTCCCTGACTTTCCACATGAGTGTTAGCTGGCTCTTCTGAAGAACAGCATCTTCTACAGGAAAGGAGCAGAGGTGCGCTGGGGGCCAAACCCTCTCGAATATTTGAGCAGGTTCTCAAAATCCATTTGTGGAAGCAGTAAGAATGATCAAGGAGTTTAATGAATCTTTAATCGGTCCAAGAGAATTTGTGATGGGGCAAGATGAGATTTCCTGCCCTTCTAAATTGTGTTCAATCATCCTGGGAAGAACCTTCTAAATCATGTATAGATCACAAACTTTTCTTATTTAAAAATGAGTGGAGCAAAACCCCTCTCACTCAGGAGACAGCAATGCCTCTCAAACTTTCACGTGCTCATCAATTACATGACTAGTGGGTCCGGGGTTTCGTGTTTCAACCAACTCCCAGGCGATGCTACTGGTGCTGATCTGCAGACCACCTCTGAGTAGCAAGGTCTTAGAGGAAATGCAGGTTTGTTACCTTGGACAGCACACCTTGAAGGAGGCTGCTGCCACGTGACCTGGGGAGCCTTGCCCTTGCAGAGCTGAGATTTCACAAAGAATTCATTTGCTTGCTTTCCCTAAAGCAAAATTTCAGAATTTGCTGCCTGAAAAGTCAATACTTCTGAATGCTTAAAATAGTCGAAAAAAAAAAATCTTAATTGGCCGGGCACTGAGGCTCATGCCTGTAATCCCAGCACTTTGGGAGGCTGAGGCAGGCAGATCACTTGAGGTCAGGAGTTCTAGACCAGCCTGGGCAACATGGCAACTGTCTCTACTAAAAATGCAAAAATTAGCCAGATGTGGTGGCGTGCGCCTGTAATCTCAGCTACTCAGGAGGCTGAGGCAGGAGTCCCTTGAACCTGGGAGGCGGAGGCTGCAGTGAGTGGAGAGTGCGCCATTGCACTCCAGCCTGGGTGACAGAGCGAGACTCCATCTTGGAAAAAAAAAATCTTAATTAGCGAAACCCCCTTTAAATAAGTCCTACTTACGCTGTTTATTTAGATAGAAAATCCATTTTGCATAGATAATGCCAATGTAAACTCTATCCCAACCCAAAACAAACCTTTTAAAAAATCTGTGTTTTTAAAAGATACCATCTGCCATAGAGTGAAGTTTAAGATCACACTTGAGTATTCTGTGTTCCTGTCACCGATCTTTAGTTCCTGAAAGAGCAAACCCTTTCAGAGAGGACACATCCACCTCAGCAGTAATTGCCCTGGAGGGGCCTGAGGATAAGACATTTCTCAACCAACGCAGAAGGCTCTCCCCTCTACTCATGCAAGTCGTAAAGTGCAGGAGAAGAGGAATGTATTCTACTTGCACAGTAAAAGGAATGTTTTTCTTCTTGGGTGAGTAGGTTCTGTATTTCCAAGGTTGTTTTAACTGAAATGTCTCATGGTACTCTATTGGCATTTTCAAATACTGTATTTATTTTTGAATAAAAAAGGGGGAAAAACTAAAATTATTTCTTTGGATGACTTTATCCCTCCATCAGCTACCAAAATACTTGTAAACACACTTCGAGTCAGTTATTCTTGGACTACTCTGTCTTCATTGTACATTACGTATTGGTGTATTGAACTGAAACCAGTGAAGGTATTCTAGTGAGGAAAGATGTGATCAGTGATTCAGGTTGGACAAAAGGCCAAGTTCACTTCTCTTAACTCCCTCTTCCTTTGTTACTAGTAGGAAGTCTGGAAAGTACACAGAAATAACTACATTAGAGTATATGGGAATGAAAACTTTTCTCAATATTTTGTGCTCCATAAACATTAAAACCAGTGATGGATGCTACTAATCATCTGACCACCTATTTGTCTACTCAAGTGAAAAGTTCATCTAAGTAGTTTGTGCGACCCTCACTCAGCGCATGTGTGTGTGTCAAAAAATCTCCCTCTGTTTCAAAAGTAAACAATTTCTTGAGCATTTGACCAAGGTAGATTTATTTGGAAGCTGTTAGATATGAAAAGATGCCTTCAGCAGTAATTTAAGTATCTACTATATCTTGAGAATGATATTGGGTGTTTCTTAGGATATAGTAGATACTCAATAAATTCCTACTGAATATATCTTTTCATATCTAATAAGAGGACATGGGCCCATGAAATCATTTCCTAAATAACAAATCCTTCAGGGCATGAAATCTAGTGAGTGGGACAGACAAGTAAACAACTAGCTATATGAAAGGAAAGAATCAAGAAGATGCTGTAATAGAAATGGAGGCAATGTGCTGGGGGTGAGAGGAAGAGACGGAATGCCAATAGTAATAATAACAATACTGGAGAAAGCTTTGAAGAAGGAACCAGGGGACAAGAATTTTGTAAAAACATACTGTATATAAATTGTGAGCAGATTGCTAGCAGGAGTTGGACCTATAATGGAAGATCAAGGGCCTCAAATTCTGGGTTAGACAGTCTGGACTTTATTCTATAGGCAAATGGGAGCCATTGATGTTGGTTGAGAAGGAGAGTGCCTTCCTTTGTGTCCCATGACAAATGGGAAGTCAGCAGCAAAGCAAAAATTACATACTTATTGTCAGCCTCAAACTGCTATTTCAGCTACTTTTTGTCAGTAAAAGGAAGAAGTGTTGGCCTAGATATTAGTGCATCAATTCCAAGTACACTTCGTTATATTTTCTTTCACAGCAAAATACTTGTGGGAAATCATTACAGCAGAACGAAGCTCATTGGGAATGGACACAGATATTGGGACAATTCTTGCTGCACTAGTCTCTTCCTAGATTCTTCAGCCAGTGTGGCAGGAATTGTTCATTATTATTTTTTTAAACAATTTAAACTTACAGAAAAGTTGCAGGAATAGTATGAACAACATCCCTGGACCCATTTCTCAGAAACTCCTTCCAAATTTACCAACTGTCTCACTGATGTCCAATGGACCCAGGCCAGGGTCCCAGGCTGCACCCAGCCATCCTGTCTCTCTAGTTTCTTGCAATCTGTAATGGTTTCCTCAACATTCATGACTTTGATACTTTGGAAGGGGATAGGCCAACTATTTTTGTAGATTGTCCGTCAGTTTGGATGTGTCTGATGTTTCCGTAGAAGCAGCCCCAGGCTGTGCACCTTTGGCCGGAATGTCAGGGAAGGGGGTGCTCTGTCCTTCTCAGTGCATCCTCTCAGGTGGACAGGCTGCAGCCTTGTCCCACTGCTGGTGAAGTCACCTTTGCCAAGTTCCTCCACTGAAAAGTCACTTTGTCTTCCTCAAAAAATTGTCAAGTGTTTTGTGGGGAGATGCTTTGAGAGCATGTGAAAGCTTTTCTTTGACCAACTTCCACATTCCGGTTTTAGCATCCATAATGGTTCTCACCTGAATTAATTATCATTGCGATGGCTGCCAAATGGCAATTTAAAAATTACATCATTATTACTACATTTATTAGTTGGTTTTTCATTACTAGGAAGAGATTTACCTTCTCCCCATTTATGCATTCATGTATTTATATCCTTATGAACACCATGATTACTATTTAATCCACTGGGTTACAGTCTGCTTACTACTGTTATTTATTTTGGCTCTCAAATCGTCCCAGACTTGGCCAAGTAGTAACACCTTCAGGCTTACTGCTACGTCTTTTTGACATGTCCTTATCATTCTTTGGGCAATTTATTTCCTTCTTCGACAAAAATCGATTCTAAGCTCATCTTATGTTTTCCTACTCTGGTTTGATATTAGCCATTGCTTCAAGGAATCTTTGTTGTTTTAGTGGAAAGTCAAATTTAGAAACCAAGAACTGGGTGGCAGATGTACTCATTGGTACTTGTAGTATTGCTGCTCAGACCTTTAAGGCTAGAAAATGTCTGTCTATAAGTATGAATAAATATGCATATGTACAATATAGATGTATACATACATTTATATTTCTTCTTATATCTACCTATCCATCCATCCACCTGCCCCCTTCCTTCCTCTCTCTCTCTCTTCATCCACCATTGGTCTGTCTATCTATCTATCTATCTATCTATCTATCTATCTATCTATCTATCTATCATCTTCCTATCTATCATGAATGTACATCAATAACTCTAATTTGAATCTCACAACACAGGTCTCTTACAGCTTTCTCCCTTTTCACGTCTGTACCTTCTTTCTCCAACAGTCAGAACACAGGCTCCTATGATGTTTACACACACATGAAACGTTGACATCTGTACTTATTCTCCTGCATGGGGCCAGACTCCCACCCTGTCTACTGCTTCTTCACCCACCTGCCATTCTCCCAGGGGGCATCCACTGCTGCTGGCCACTGCCTTCCACCTCCTGAGCCAGAAAGGCTCTTGTCTGAAAGTAAAGGAAGAGAGAGGTGAGAGTAGACAGAGAGAGAGAAGAAAAGAAGAAAGTCAAGGAGGTAGGTGTCCTGAGAAGTTTTAATCTCAATAGCCCCCATTTTCCAAATTAGTAATCAAGGTAAGTGAAAATAGCCTCTTTTATGCTACTGTTATTTCTCTCTACTGTGGAAGAATCACCTGTCTTATGACAGGTGCTGAAATATTTAATTTCTAAAAGAAGGTTCTTAATAGAAAGGTAGCCAGTGCTAAGCATAGTTGGTTTATTTGCGTCTGTGCCTGCGAGTGCCTGTGTGTGCCTTGAAAAATGGAAGCAGTAGGTGTTTAGACACCACAGCATCACTCTTCATGGTACATACTTCTTTAAATCCAGATTAAATATACAATTTGAAGCCTGACCTTTCTGAGTAATTAAAGATTTCTACTTTATGGTTTTTATAGACATGGTACAGTAGAGGCAAGATGAAGCCCTTTCATGATTAAGGTAGAGAATGCGTGGAGCTTTCTTGCTGCCTGGATTTTAAAGGGGCAAACCCTGGGTAGAATTCCATTCCATCCCTTTTGCTGCTGCTGCTGCTGCAGTGATGGTTTTGGTGTCCATGGTCAGAGTGGACCCAGTACTCTCTCCTGCTTACAGGAAGGAGACCACAGAAAGGAGCCCTGAGCAGTGGCTGGATTATAGAGTAAGTGGGAAATAAAGATGATTTGAGGCTCATGCATGGCATCTTGTAATGCACATGAGGATGGAGCAAGGTGCCAGGAGGGGTGGGGGTAAGATGGAGTCGTCCTTTCCTGGTGGGCACGCTACTGCCCTGACGTGCTTTCCAAAGCTCACTGCCTCCTTGTCTCAGGATAAGTACGATAGGAGATGGCCTTCTCACTTTACCTTTTGGAAAATGCCTGGGACTCAAGGCATAGCAACCTCACTGGGGAGAGGACACACGTCGAATGCTGCCTACAGAGCTAGACTGGGTAAGTGTGGGTGAACGTGGCCCCAGCCACCTGTATTTCTTGCTCTGTAGCTTAGTTTCTGCATCAGTAAAATCCAAAGGTTGGATGAGACCATTGTGAGGGCCTGCCTAGCTTTGACATTCTAGGATTTTAGGTGCTGATGTGGATTCATGCTAATCAGTAGATTCCATCCAGGAGGAGGACTTTGAAAGGGGAGAGATGCAGGTTTACCTCTAAGGTGGAGAGGGAGACGTTGGGAGTGAGCCAGCAGTGATTGTGTGTGTTGAGGTTGCACAAGCATCGACAGCCCCAATTCCTTCAACCCAGTTCTGTTCATCACAAGCCCACCTGCCCTTGTCAGACACAGGCCACAATGATTTTCCTAGAAATATGGTGCTGTGCCTGTGCTTCCTGCCTGGGAAACCTGCCATGGTTGCTGCTACCCCCCTTTGGCAGCAACTCCTCAATGCAGAGCCACCAGGGTGCCCTCCACCTGCCACAGCTGTCCTGACAGCTGTCACTCTGGAGGAGGGGCAGCGAGGATATCCCAGCTGCACAAAGCAGCATTTGAGCAGGTCAAGGTCTGCTCTTGGTGTACCACTTTGGGCTTCTTTTGCTCTTGCCCTATCGGGGGCTGCTCTTCTCCTCCCCCATGTAGTGTTCAAATGTTTCTTCACCTCTTCCGCACCAAACGAACACAACTCTCTTAGGCCTAGAAATCAGTGGGTTGTCCAATAGTGTGAGGCGGGGGTCGATGTGTTCCCTCCAGTGTATGTATCTCCCTTTCACATCTGGCTGTGGAGTGCAAGGTGAAGCAGTTTTTAAGGAACTAATATCACTGCCTGTACACTTACAAGGAATCCTTATGCTGACAGGAGGCATCTTTTAGGGACAGGGTGGCCCTGGCGGTCTTTGGAGAGACATGGGGACTATGTACCTAACTTTATTCCAGGGTCAGTGGAGGTTTGTAGGGCGCAATGTCCAGGATGCTCTAAAGAAACCACCAAGGCCTCAGTGGTTGAAACTCCCAAGGGCCCCTATGACTCAGGTGGCCACGTGATTCTAGAATTCCTTTAACTGGGGATATCTTCCTCTTGGTGTTCGTGAAAGGAGGACATCATATTCGAGGACCTCAGGTACCAAAGCTGGGGCATAAGGCGGATGATTTAAAGCTGGCATCTGTCAGATCAAAACCTATGATTGCAGTATTTATAATGACAAGGGCCACACTTGGAAAGGAAGCTGTGCACATGCTGGGGGAGACAAGCTCCACCACACTCAGCAACTCACAAAGTGCACCCAAGCCTAATGAACCCATGAGCTCAGACTATGATCTTCATTTTGTATTTCGAATGGCTCTGTTTGAAGGTGAAGCTTAGTAACTCATCTTTCACAAACTACTGTTCTTCATAAGCTCAGCATTTCTTTGATGTGAGGATGAATGTACACTTTATCTTGATATTGCCTCCAAATCTCTTTTCTAGAACAGTCATTTAGGAAACAAGATTTGGTATCTAATAGAAAAATACAGGTTGTAAATGAAGTAAATAAGAGATAGATAATTTAGGACATAGTTGATCTGCATATAAACTGAAAGAAAAATGCTGAATCAAATGGCAGTTTGTCATAGTTTTGTTTTAAATTAAAATCATGTTCTCGAAAAGAGAGATGGTCAAGACTCCTGGGGTCCCATCTTGGGCTAAGTTGAGTTTCTACAGTTTCTCAAACTCCATTGTAGCATCTCAAGAACTTTTCACACTGCAAGGGATTGCCCTCAAGTCTCTCATGCTTGAATACATTGATCCCTTTTCTGTTGGTGACCCTATTTGGTAGCATATTATTTTAAATATCTATTGCTATTAACATCAACTAATAGTTAATTACAAGAGAATTCCTATGGAAGTGCATAAGAGAGTCGTATGAATGCCAAATGAGTACATTAATAATTGGTGTTATCACAATGAATACAAAATGATTTCATAATGACTGGGAAGGTAACATCTAATAAAAAAGGACTGCTTTTACTTTTATTCACTTGTCTCGATTTAAAACTCATTCTTGGCCTCCATTCAGAAACCTGAGAGCTTTTCCCTGAAGGTTTCTCAGGAATCTATATGTCCTCAATCAAAGCCTAAACAGTGTTACTCATCATCAAGTTAAACTTGAGGGTAAATGTCACTTGATTTCTCTTTACAAAGGGCCCTAGAAACACTAGCTTATTGTCTTTGGTGAATTCAGTTTGTTTATTTATTCATCCAATCAGCCTGTAAATATTCATTGAACATCTATGATGCCCCTGGCATTGTGCTAGGTACAAGGACTGCAAAGAGAATAAGAGAGAACTCTTGTCATTGAGAAAAGTCAAATGGAAGGTGATATGCAAAAATATAATTACAATGATATGTTTCATGTGCTATAATAAAGAGAAAGGGTGAAGTGTTGGGAGAGGAGAGAAGTAGCTATTACACTGTCAGGGGTTTTGTGGGAGGTATCACAGAGAAGGAGACCTCTGAACTGGTCTTTAGTGCCCGGGTAGGATATTGGTAAGTTGATAATGGGTTGAGAGACAGGTCATTTCTAGTAGAAATCTCAGCAGAAGCAGAAATAGAGAGGCATGAAATTATACAGCCACGCAACAGCCAAAGTCCTGAAACGTAAAGGTAATGGGGAAATGTGGAAAGCATCCAGAGAAAAATGAGGTGTTACATACTGGGGAACAATGATCCGAATGGCAGCTGACTGTTCATTAGAAGCAAGGAGACTAGAAGACAATAGAATGACTTCTTAACATGTGTAGAAAAAAAATCTGTTAACCAGAATGGTATATCTAGCAAAGGTACCTGTCAAGATGAAGTTGAAATGAAGATATTTCAGATAAACGAAAACTAAGAGAATTTGCTATCAACAGATTTGCATTACAAGGAAGATCATTCTTTATGCTGAAGTAAATGACACCAGATGAGAACTCAGATTTTCAGGAAGGAAGGAAGAGTGTAAGAAATGGTAAGTGTGGGTAAAAATATATGGAATGCATATTTAAGATATGTACATGTACATATATGTAAACATATATGCTATATATACACATTTCTTAATTTCTGTACGGCATATGGTATTTAAAGCAAAAATTCTACCATTATATTGTGGTACTTATAATACGGACAGATGGATATTTGTGGAAACAATAGCACAAAGGATGAATACGGCAATAAATGTAATTATATTGCTGTGAGCTTCCAATGTTTTACTTGCAGCAATACAATATTACCTATAATTAGATGGTGATAAGTTAAAGGTGCACTTGTAATCCCTACAGCAACCTCTAAAAAATAATGCAAGAAGTATAGCTAAAATGCCCATGGAAAGATTAAAGTGCAATACTAAAAATATTTTATTAACCCGACACAAAGCAGAGAAGGAAGAGCAGAGGCACCAAAGAGATGGACAATAGAAATAATAAGACGGGCAAAATGGTGCCTCTATGCTTAACCGTATGAATGGGGTGGTGAGTCTTCTCACTGTTACTATTTCTGAATTGCTTCATTATCCCCTAAATGTCTTCCCAGTCCTTTACTCACCTTTGTAACCAATTCCTTGCATTAAATTTCCTGTGTTTTAAATAGTAGAGAGGTTTAATTTTTTTCTGTTTTGATCCTCACTGATATATATCAAATGCTAAGGGATTGTTTAACTGAATAATGCTGTGATTAGAAAATGGTACCTCATGCAGCCAGTAAAACTGACGTAGGACAATATAAAATGATCTGAAAAAGCATCCTGGGAACACTATAGCTAACAAAACTGTATGCTTGTTTGACAGTAACTTCTAGTATTTACCTACATATTAATATTAGTTAATTCTGAAGATTATGAGAAATTTTTGCTCTCATCTTTGCAATTTCTATGTATTGTTTTTTTTGTTGAAAATGAATTATGTTTGCAGTTAGAAAAATGAAATAAAAAGAAGAAATGGTATGGATTGTCATCTAAGGCAATTGTAGTAGGGGTGAAAGAGAAAAGGTGAGGGTTGTGAGACATTTCCAAAGTAGAATTAAGGTGACTTGTGATCAACTGATCACAAAGACAGAGCACCATGGAATTAAGGGAAATTCAAAGCCTGGAAACAGGATGACACATTCTCAGAGAGGAGGAGGAACAGGTGCCCGAAAAGCAATGTCAAGTTTTGGTTCACGCTAGCTCCAAACTCAGTGCAGGACTCCAGAGGCAGCCAGACCTAAGGTTCTGCCACTTTGAAATGATGTCGGAACCAGAGACACAGATTTCAAAGTTATTAACATCTCAAAATAGTAATTAAAGCCAAAAGAATTAATGTGTTAACACAGGGAAAGGATGTGGCTTCAGAACAAAAGACCAGAAGAACCCCTTTATTTCATGGTAAAACGTCAAGATTTGAGGAGTGGGTGGAGGAGGAGAATCCATCCCCAAGAGATCGAAGTGAAATATTCAGAAAAACTGGAAGAAAGTCAGGAGATACTGATATCCTGGAAGCTAAGGGAAAAATGTTTCAAGAAGTAAGGGATTGTTAGCAATATCAAATGCTATAAAGAGATTGTTTAGTGTGCATATCCTTGGATTTGGCAACTAGGGAATTACTGATTATTTAGTAGAGAGCTATCTCAGCAGTGGTGTGAGCAGAAATTGATTTGTGATAGGGGCAAATGGGTTTCCATTTCTTTGCATACAGTTTTCTCTCTACAAGTGAGAGATAAAGATGGTCCTTATCCTGAGAGAGAGTTGGAGAAGAGAAGTCGTTTTATGATTTGGGGCACTTATGTTTTATTTTTAAGAAGAGTTTTGAGCATGTTTACAGATGGGAGAGAAGAAGACAAATTAAACGGAAAGATTAAAGATATATGTGTGTGTCTATGTATGTGCATGTGTGGGGAAAGGTTGTGGGGAGAGAGACTGAAAGAGTCAAAAGTAGCCTGGTCAGATTTGGAGAAGTACAGGAGTATCTTTTTCTCTAACAGAAGTGCAAAGATAGACTGGGTGGGCATAGATAAATTCTAGAAACTCATTATCTGATAGTCTGTATTACTTTGTGGAAAGTGGGTAGCTTCTACTAAGAATGATAGGTAGTGTGAGGTAGGATTTAGAAAGTGTCTTTGAAGGGCCATCAAATTTGGAGCTTATAAAAGGGAGATGATCCCAATTAGCCAAGTTTTGTGGCTTTTCTCAAATCATCAGGATCATAGCTAGATGCTTCCAGTATTACCTTTTTTTTTTTTTTTTTTTTTTTTTTTAGCGTCATAAACTGTCAGGACCTTAACAGGAAGGCGTGTGCCCTTGTATTCTCTTTAGTTGTCTCAGTTTTGCCTTCCTGGTGGGTGATTCAGAGTCACACACGGTAGGTAAGGTGTAGAGGTGGAGGGTTGGGGGTAAAGGAGGAGTGACAGCTTGTGAGGGGAATGATCTTGGTTGGGCCAGCTATTGGTCATACTAGCCTTGGAAATTCCACCCTTTTTACTCACCCACTTGTTATTTCTTCATCTACTCACCAAATATTTGTTGAGAACCTTGGTTTTAGGCACTAGAAATAAAATTCTGAGCATAAGTGGCAAAGTCGCTATTCTTGTGAAGTTTAAAATCTCATGGGGGAAGACAGACAAGCATCAAATAACCTCCAAGTACAGACCAACAGCGACATCAGCTACCTGCTGTGAAGGGGAAGGCCAGGTGCTATGTGGGTGGCACACGGCCTGTTTTGAGCCTTCAAAAAGAAGTGCTCGGATGTTGCCCAGGGCACAGCATCTTTTGGAGTTGCCCGGCTGTGTGTGGATGAAGGAAGGCCTCTGAGGACCTTAGTGGAGGCCCCCATGGCCCCCGGTGATTTTCAGATGACAAGTCTTTCATGTGTTAGGGCACATCCCCAAATCTGCAGAGCATTGAGCCCTTCTGCTCATTCGGCTGCTGGGAAGGCCAGCCTGAACCCTGCATGGTTGATTTTTTTTTTTTGAACACTGGGCAGCTGATTTATACTTTCACCCTTTGGCTGTTTCTGTGAAGGAGGAGTTTTAAACATATCCCCAGAATGGCCTCGTGGGCACACCATGGTTTCCTCCAAGAACACTCAGAGGGGTAGGAAAGGCAGAGGTGGGAAACGTACGCAGGCCGTGAACAGAAAAGGCAGAATATTCATTCCCAAGTTCGGTCTAAAGCCCATGGTTGACAACTTTCAAGAGATCTCACACTGTATGTTGTGCTGTTTTTGAAATGGGACTGAGAAGACTGAAAAGCAATCCTACAAAATGTTACCCGTGTTTATCTCAAGGGTGGGATCATCAGGTAGTTTCAGTTTCGTTGTTCTTCTTAATTTCTTGCAAATACTCTATTTTCGTGTACTACTGTGGCAAATAGAAGATAAACAGCAAACGTGATCTTTTCCAAGTGGCGTCTGTTTGGGAGCAGACATACCCTGAGGAGATGTTTCCCTGCCGGTAGCTTCTTTGAGGCGAGTTACTGTGAATCTCAACCGCGAAGCCCAGCTCAGGGTGTGGCGACAGCAGCCTCCCTCGGTGAGAGCAGCGGGCGGCAGGGATGGAGAAGGCGCCTGTGTCAAGAGATCCGAGGGGCTTCAGGGAACATTCGAGGGAGAAGGTCGTGAGGCTCAGCCCTGCACACTCTGAAGCCTCCACGTGTGTCAGGTGGGGGCGTGGGGTGGGGCAGGCCTTCCAAAATGACACTTTTGTTTTCAATTAAACATTATCTGCACTGTCCATGGGGCAGAGCTGTGATGTCCAGTGTGTGGATGGGGCTTGACTGTGAGGGCCTCAGACACCAAGCCCGCAGATTCCTGAAAAAGCTCCGGTTCAAAATTACCAAAGCCTTCCGGGTCAGGCTGTGGAAGTCAGTCAGGCTCCGGAAGCCAAGTTCCGGAAGTCAGTAAGGCCTCGGAAGTCAAGTCCTGGAAGTTGGGCTTGCAATCATTAGGTGGAGATATTGTTTGTTCTGTGCTCAGGTTTGTCATCCTCCTTAAATTCAAAGGAGATAGAAGCTGCAAATACTTGTCAGAGTTTAGGTGTGATCGGAAAGGAATTTTAAGAAACGTTTATTATGTTTCAGACAGCAGCAGCCTCCCTCATGATGCGGGAAGGCAATGTGGGAGGGAAACCCTCTGGGGGCCTGATTCAGCTTGGCAAGTGTAAGAGAGCACCCGATGAACTTCCCGTAGGTATCCAGAAAAGAGCAGACCCAAATCCAGACAGAATCTTCTTTTCATGTTGGTGGATGGGGGTGGGGAGGAGTAGGCACATGCGTCCAGTCATAGGCATTCCAGAGATTAAAAATGCAGGAGCAGAGGAGGAAAATTGGAGAGATTTTAAACATCAGGAAATGTCTGCATGGGCTATTATATAGTCTTTGGAGGAGGTGGAGAGAGTCCCCGCGCGACCCCTTCGCTGCTACAAGCCAGCCTCATCGTAAAGGGACTTGAGAGCAGCCAAGGGGAGGAGTATTTACAGGTCCCGCATTGGTTCAGAGGCGGAGGCGAGCAGGATGCGGCTTTCTTTCTGGGCTTTGCGTTTCACAGTGAGGATTTTAACACTAATCCTGGTAAAGCCTGCATATCAGCGGGGAGTCAGGGTAAAACAATCGAAAATGTGGTCCTTCCCATTGAATAACCTGTGACCTTACAGCAATTGAACTATTGGCTGCCATCACTGCAAGTTAATAACCTATTTTATAGAACGGAGCCTACAGACTGTTTGAAATGGCTGTTTTTTTTTTCTTTCTTTCTTTCTTTTTTTTTTTTTTTGAACAACATTCCTGCAGAATTCCCTGGAGTGAGACTCAGGACAATATTAAATCCAATGAATCACGCAGCTTTCAGGAGGGCAGGGCAGCACGCTGCAGAGCAGCACTGAATGATGGCTTGGCCTGGCGTCCCTGGTGGCAGCAGTGGCCGCACCAGGCACCGTGTTCTCATTCAACAAAGACTCAGGTTAGTGAGCGAGATGCCTGTACCAAATCTCCCTTCCCTCTTTTTCAAGTTTCTGGATGTTGTGTAATTCTTTTTTGCAGCATTCAGTTCTGCAAGGAGCCTAGTGAATGCTTCCATCAGTGGACTATGAAAGGCATCTGGACAAGCAGTTGCCTCATGGTCTGTACACAATTCATTAATTTGAAAATTACTCCCGGTGACTGTACCTTGCTCTCAGGTCAGACTCAACTAACTCCAGGGAGTCTCATGGTCGGGGCAGGGTACACAGGCCTGGATGGGTTTACTTTGACTGTGCTGTGCTTGCCTGGGCCTGATCAACACCTACCCTCCAGCCCCTGGGGAATTCTGCTCTGCTCCTTACCACTTATTGGCTTGCTCGTGTGAGGGCCTTAAAGGCCATGCTCCCAAAAGTGGGCCTTGAAGACTGGGCTGGCCAAGGGGCCTGGTGCTCCAGAAATTTACCAGAGCACTCAGTTCCATCTACCTCCTTTGGAGTGGTAAGTTGCTCATAGGACTTATGATTGTGCTCATAGGATGTAGTTAGAATGTCTAGTATGTCTGCCCAACTGGATAAGGACCCTGGGGGAAGGAACAGAAGATTTGAGGCCGTGATGCTCCCAGGATAGTTCAAACACAGGCAAGTCCAGCGGCATTGTCGCGGATTTGTTAGAATTGCACAATCTCTGGCCTCACCCAGACCTATGAATCAGAATCTGCATTTAACTAGGTCTGAGAAGTGCTGCTTTTTAAAACTCATCTAAAGTTGGGCAGAGTTAAGCATCCCTGCCCCTGATTTGTAGTGTGTGGCTGCAGTGGGAGCATCCTTGCCTCGCCCTAGTTTGCCGACTTCCTATGGAGGGGATACGGCCTACACAGCCCATTTCTCAAATGCCCATTTCTCCAAACACTCTCCCAGCTGTGACTCATTTGTGTGTCAGGTCTTCGAGTGATGACTCAATACTGAGAAACCCCTTCATGAAGTGTGTCCTTGTGGTCTGATGATGCCACATGCAGTGCTGATGGGACTGATTCATCAGTGATGTGGGGAGATTAATCCCACTCAACCCTTTGTGGGAAGCACTCAAGCTGGCTTCACAGAGCTTTATGTTGACAGAGCTGAGTCTCTCCTCTCCAAATGCCTGTTGGGAAGTACAGGTAGTGCAGATGCAGCCTGGGCGTGTCCTCTGAGTGGGACTAGATCCTTCATGGGAGGACTGAGGGATGTGAACCTGGGGCCTCGATTGTCATCACTGTCACTGCTTCTGAGTGCTTCCTTTTCAGTGTACCCAGGATTCATCTCCTAGTCTGGCAGTGAAGGAGCCTGCCATGTTTTGGTTTGATGCCTTGCCACCCCTGCATGTGTGAAGAGAAGAACACTATAGTGACAAATGAGATGAAAAATGGCTTCCAAGAACTTAATTCAAAGAATTGTAACAGGTCCCCTTCCATAAGCTGGTTTCTTTGTGAACACCATCCATTCATTGTTGACCTCACTGGGTTCACGTGTGATGCAGCGCAATGGGATCTGGACATGAATGTGGGAGATGAAAGACAAAGACAGACTGTTCCATCGGTGACAAGAACTCTGTGTGTGTGTGTGTGTGTGTATGTGTGTAAGAATAGTCTCCATTATAGTATTTTTCTCTGCGACACACAGATGGAGGCTGTGGTGTAAGAGTTACACCTCTGTCATTCCTCCACTTTGTTCCGGGGAGCCCAGCCATCTGCACTCAGGTCCTCAGGTGGATTTGCCCTTTGGTCGTCAGGCTGCACTGTGAGTTCTGAATCCCTGGCTCCCCAGCCGGACTCTTCAGTGCACAGCTGCCACAGGCAACCTGGACGAATCCAGCCAGGCGGATAGAGCAGGGCTCACCTCGTCAAGGACTTTGCAGCCGCCTTAACTTTGAGTCTCCTTGCTTCTGTCAGGAGGTGCCACAACCTTAGACGTAGCTCTTGTTGGTGTTAATTATTTCCTTTTCATTTCCAGCTGGCACAGAGCTTTAGCACCTTAAGTTGCTCAATTTGATCTCTGCACTCAGGAACAAGGTAATTAAGTCAGCCACAATATAAGAAAACTCATCTGCCTCGACTTGTTGCCCGTCTTCAGACAGTGCTCCATCCTAAATCATTTGATAATGTAAGAGGCTTGGTGCAGTTTTCTACTTGACTGAGGGTTAGTTCATTAGGTCACAATCAGTAATTGATTCTCAGTGTGTCTCTGCTGGTTTTATTACAGTAATGAGGACTGTCGGTTTTTTCATCTCCTCTAATATGTTACCCAAACCATCAGCTTCTCAGTTTGGTGTCAGGATGACTTTGACAGGTTGTTAGCAACTATATGATATACAGAACATCACAGAAATATCTCAAACTGTGTTGCTGTATACCACACAGAGCCTTAGGTGGTCCCGAAATAAGTGAAAGCACTTGCAAGGAAAAAGTTACAGCAGCAATTGAAAATATGACTACAGGCTTGATGTCCTAATGAAGAAGTTCTTTGCACTGCTGGATCTGTTTCGACACGCAGGGCAGATTTCGCAGGGTTGGGTGGCATCTGCAGCTCTCCTCCGGAATATTCCTGAACAGAAAAAGGAAGAGTGCCCCTCAAGAACAAAGCAGACATTATCATTGCAAAAAGTTACACGTTCTTCATTCTCTCTGTGGAGCTCCTTTTAAAAAGTGAGCAATAATCTGCTATCTCTAAGCAATCTGATTTCCTCTTAATTTCTTTTCATCTTGAGCAGGGGAAATCCATGGTATGAAGGCCATGAGAGAGAAACGTAGTGTCATTTATTCTGCTTCTGCTGTGTTCCTGGATGACTTCAAACGTAGAAAGCTGCAAGAGACAAAAGGGGGAAAAAGCATTTTATTTTTTTGATAGATATAATCAAAATATTACAATAAAATTGACCATTTGTTTTTATCTAATGAACACATTTTAAAATTTAATTTTTCCCCCCAAGATTTTGGAGTGTTTTGAGGCTGAGGATTATACTCACCGGAGCAAGTACTGTTTGATGGTAACAGGAATTTTGAGTTCAGAATAGCTAGGAACCCTGGAATAATTCTCTGAGAATGAAACACCAAAGGCCACAAAGACAGTAATGTAGGATGCACTGGCTTCTCAAAGCCCTTACTAGCCTTGTATAAAGGATGATAGATAGAAGTCGAGTATATGCGAACTCTGAAATAAACTCTCTTTCTGAACCTTTTCAAAAAGAAGCAGCACCAAAATAGTAGACCAGTCATAATGTTCCCCTAAAAACCAGAAGCCATGAGACCATTGGGCAAAGAACAAAGAGCTCAGGGGTTTGGCCTGACGGCCTCAAGAATGTGTTTTGTTACATGGTGGACACGGCTAACCGTTTTGCTGTCTAACTCACGAATGATGATCCTTGGAAGATGAGACTGTGAGATGTGTCCAAAGTTAGATTCACATGCATTGAGAAAAACATTTCTCCTACCCTGAGATTGCAGAGGAGGGACAGAGGCCTGGAGACAGCTCAGGGGTGGCTTTGCCTCACTGACATTGTGGGTGACATCGTTAGCCAGCTCCAGCACGCTGGCATGGCATCCAGAACTGCCACTTTAGCCCATGTTTGCAGCCTGATATTATGAAAATCTTTCATCAACACTAAAAATAATATTTAGCAAGCCTCATCGATCCTTCTTTAAATAAAGCACCTATTTTAGGTGGAGGTTAGCAATTTTATTCATAGGATTAATTTCATCCTACAAACTGCTGTGCAATGTCTGACAAAAGATCTTTTTATAAATTCAACGTTGGAAAATAAGTCATAATCCCATCTGCTCCCTTCATTTCTCCCTGCTCTATAGAAGGCATGCAGCAATACAAGGTCTCCTGCAGGCCGAGACAGGTAGAACAGATATTAATAAATCACCAGCAAATATATAGATGAAGGTGACAGTGGCTATAAGAAATCAAATCATTACACTTGTTCTGCTGCTACACACTGAGGGACTAGTTCTTGGCATAGAACATGGACCCCAGAATATCTAAACTTCCAAATGTCCCCCAAGGCTTCCTGAGCTTCCAGGATCAACACTGTTCTGACCTCTGGCCTTCAACAGATGAAGCCCAAATTCTCCAAGAGAGGGCAAGTACATGTGAAAACAAACAAGGTTTAGATTCTCAATCTCTGTATTCTGAGTTTTCACAATAGTTGAGTGTGGGCAACTTTGTTAAAAATAAAGAAAGAAGGAAAGAAAGGAACGAAGAAAATACGGTGAATTTAAAGCAGACGCTTAAATAAAACAATCAATTGCTATATAAAACCTGAGTTGAGCAAGATTTCTATTTGCCAGTCCTTAATTAGGTTTTGAAAGAAAGGGAATCCCTCCACCAAGTACTAAGAATATTTTGCTGCCTGCTGCTTTTTCTGGCAGAATCTTCCTGGTTTGTGGAAAGAGTGCTATTCTGACATTGGATGCTGCTGAGAATCGGGCAACAGTCTTAGTGAGGTGACCATCATCTGAGGAGGTATGAGGTTTGGAAGCATCACGGGGCCCTGGGCACATAGGCTCCCATGTTGCTCTGACATGAAACATTGACCAAATGTCTTGGCCTCCCTGTGCCTTGAGTCACAGTAAAGCTAGTCTCCTGACGATAGTGATGAGTATTGTATGTGGGTACCAGAGGCCAGGCTCTGAGTGCTGAGTCTCAGGAAGACTCCCTATAGGTTTACAGAACCCCCACTCCTAGTAAAATACTTGATCGAACACACTTGCTGGATTTCTGTGATCAGTATCCGTTTTTCTTTCTCCTTCCTCCTCCCCCAGTCTCATTGCTGTTCGTTGTACCTTGAATTTCCCCTTGCCTGTATTTTCATTCAAATCCGAACTCTTATTTGAATCCAATGCAGTCTCACCTTTGGGTCTATATATAGCCTCTTGTCTATGAACTTTTGGTACAAATGCATCGTCTCCTCTTCTTGGACTTCCTGTGTTCTGATTATGAGACACTCAAAAACATGCTGGCAGTCGCTGAGGTCCAGGCTCCAGGCCTCCACGCTGATGCTCCTGGGCCCCCCTACCTGAGTGTTCCTTGGGCATCCTAAGGATGCTTCCTGAAGAAAGTCTAAGGTGGAATCCAACAGTCCCTCTCCCAGAGATTCTTTCTTTACTCCCCATTTGAGCCTCCAGAGCCCTAGCCCATGCCAGATGTTCAGCTGCCAAGCTTTCTGTCTCCGCACTAAACCCAGTCCATCTCCAGGCTTTACTATTGTGAATTCTAAATGTCTTTGATTTTGTCTGCTTTTATTTTCTCCTGATCACCCCCTGTGAAATTACCTACCTGAACCAGTGGTCTCTGGCTTGTATCTGGAGAAGACACGTAACTATCATCCTGCCTCTAATCTTGCCTCCTTCGGTAACCTCCCATTTTGCTGCTGAACTCTTCTTTCCAGAGCAGAGATCCAATGTCTGTACTTAAACCCTTTAATGATTCCCATTGCTCTTAGGATATTAGTATAAAACAGGACACATAAGGCCATTCGTGGTCTGGTATGATCTGCTTCCCTCCAAATCAATTTCTCAGCATCCCCTGCCTCTCTTCTCCACTTCCCCCACCTTGCAATTTTCATTCCAGCCAGACCGAACAGGTTCTATGACCCAGTCTCTAGAATATGACTGGTCCCTCTTGTCTCAGAATCTCTGTATAAGGGCCATCCTTGCTTGACTTAGGATGTCTTCCTTCTTGTAAGTCTCATGAGTGCAAACACCTTGTCTACTTCAACACGTGATCTGCATTGCTTAGAACAGGGATGAATAAATTGTAGACACCTCAAATATGTTTAATAAATTAATCAAATAAATGACATATAGGCATTCAAATGAGTGCTGTGCCCTTCATAGTATTTATCTTAGAAAACAATAGCAAAAACAAAAGAAACAAAGAACAACTATTTATTTTGCAAAGAAACAAACTCCTGATTTGTACTTGCTTAGGATGATGATGCCTAGGAGTCTCTCTCTCTCTGTCTCACACACACACACACACACACATACACACACACACACACACACACATACACACACACACACACACAGTCATTATCTAGCATGGCTATCCATGTTGTTTCCCAAGATGAGTTCCAAGTTACTATTGATTGTAGACATAAAATTTATTATCAAAGGATAAAAATAAATTTTTTTTGTCCCCAAGGAAATGTAAAGAATGTGGCTTGGTTGCAAAAAGTGTTTTCATGTAAATGCAAAGTTACTCCTCTATTTATTGTGCACTTACTACATGCCAAGTACTGTGCTAGGGACTGGAATTGCACTAAAGAATAAAAAATAACTCCTGCTCCATTGACTGCTGAAAAGATGCCTCGACATGCCTGCCGGCTTCCTACTTAAGAGGAACCCACTCCACATATCAGAGGAGGAAGGAAGAGGGAGGAGCACTGGGGGAAGGGAAAGATGGGTCAAGGAGAAGAGAGCCCTGCATTACCTCTGGGGCCCAGGGGCTTTCTGGAGAACTACAGTGGCTAAGGAGAATGTATTCAGTTGCCTTCGCTGTGGTAGGAATGGAAAATCTCCTCCAGCTCATCCGCATCATCCAAACCCTCAGCTGTCACTAAGAATGGAGGATGTTTCTTATTGTTGTTTTGTGTCTGTTTTTGAAGAGAGAATAAGAGGATCCGGGAGAGTGGGCATTTGGCAAACACAAACCTGGTGGTCTGATGCTTCACCCTGGGTGGTTTTGGACCCTTTGAACGTACCACATAATTGGCTTTGGTATTTTGCGTACCCCGCTCAGGGATGAGTGACACCAGCAAAAAAGAGGGGGAAAGTTCATCTTGGTTTTTGAATTCTGAGAGCATAGAATTCAGAGAACACAAAATATTCAGTTTATAAAATGTGTTTGTAAGAATGGCTGACAATTAACAGTCATGCACCCAATCCTGACAAGATCAAGATTCCCTGGGACTTTCAGATAGGGAAAGAGGAGTGCACAAATACTCCCTCTTCTGTTAGTGGGTCCCTAATGGAAGAGACACTGAGCTCTGTCATCCTTCTGCTGCACCATGAACACCTCATACAGAGCTAACAAAAACACCAGAAAGGATTGGAGAATCTGGGCATACTTTCCCAGGTAAGTCTCCATGGAAGCACCAAGCGCCCACAGTGACAGTGGATATAGGGATCTCAAGGCAGAGGGGACTTAACAGCTGCCCAGAGCTTCCCATAGCCAAGCGGTGATCAGCAGTGGCAGAACAATTCTCTGTGTTCTCTGTATGGAGATGGGTGAGAGCTTGCAGAGCAGGAGTGGGGCTGAAGGGTCCCTGCTCCAGCGACTGGCTCCCCAGCCAGAGGGAGAGGTCTCTGCTGCTGGGAGTCTCTGCTGATGTCAGAATGGATGACCCCGACGTGTGACAACATCTGCGGTCCTGGGGAAGATGAGCATTCTGACTTGCCTGGGAGTGTGCTCCCATCACCAGGCGGAACTAGCATGTGAGATGATAGTGAAGCTCTTAGCTGCACACAAAACAAACGTCCTTACTCAGAGATCACCACCACTAACAACTCTGAGGGTCCTTTTCTTCCATGGACACACACAGACTCAACTAAAGTTATATAGGATGTATCTAATCATCCATCAATCATCTGCTTATTCATCTATAGTATCTATCATTTGTCTACAACTTTATTCACTTGAGGTAGCAAAGACATCTTTTCATCTATGTACAGCTCTGTCTCATTCACTTTAGTAGCTACATAATATTCAGCTTAATGGTGGCATTACAATTTATTTAACCATTCCCCTATTGATGGAAATTTGGTTGTTTACAGATTTTAATGAGAGGATGGCATTCCATTTTATGAACTTATCATAATTCATGAAAGCATCTCTTACTGGCAGATATTACGCTGCAGGCAATGTTTACTGTTACAGTACTCAGTCAAAATCCCTGTACATATACCTTTATAATGTTTTTATTTTATTTTTTGTTAGATCCGTAAAAGTGAAATGGCATGGCCAAAGGGTATGCAAATATATTTTATTAGATAATTCCAAATTGCCCCCAAAATGTTTGTAGCAGTTGGTTGTTCCTGCCAACAATTATGAAGCTGCCTAGTTTTTCACAGCCTCGACAGCAATCAATGTTAACAATATATGACATGTTGACAATCAGATTTGGCAAAAACTATTTTGTTGTTATTCACTTCCTTATTCCTTTAATCAATACCGTGGTTGAGCATCTTTTCACAGATTTATTTGCCGTGTGTACTTCTTTTTTGCCTATAAGTATTCTTTATCCCTTTAGGGTATTGTCTGTCATTTTCTTCCAATGAGTTGGATTTCTCTGAATATGGGATATTAATAGTCAGTTGTAAATGTTTTCCCTCCCTTGTTTGTCACTTACGTTTTAATTTTGTTTAGTCTGGTTTTTATTGGGAAAAAGTTTATAAAATTTGGTAAGTCCCTTCTTTCCTTTTGTTTACTCTCACTGCAAGGCTACAGAAATGTTCCTCCATCTTTTCTTCCAGTATTCTTTGGATTTTATTTTTACATTTAGGTCTTTGATTCAACATACATGTATTTTTGTTGATAATATAAGGTAGGGATCTTCATCTTACTTTTTCCAAATGCATAGTCAGTTGTTCTCATTCAACATATTTAAAAAACCATACTTTTTGCTAATTTTAAATGCTGATTTTATCATAGATTAGAGACCCTTGTGTACTTAACTTGGTGTCTGGTGTCTGTGCTGCTTTTTTTGTTCCATTGGTGGATTTGTCTGGTGCCGAACTCTTACTTATATTTTCATCATCCTTGCTGTAAGTTGGGAGGCTTTTCAACCCCTGGAGTTCCTGGGAGGTAGAAACGACATGTTGGTTCTTCTGTTCCACAGAGGACAGAGCACACTGCTGAACACAGAGCTTCCTTTAGGAGAAAATTTGGATTTTCGCACATTCAGGAAGAAATTATTAAACTAAGTAGCTAAAACCCAAGGTAATAAAATCCCTGTTAATGGGCAGGAAGGCCTCCCCAGAACTTAAATTCTTCCTGGTGCTCCTCGTGTGCATTTGCATGCGGACAGCATCCTCCCCGGGCAGGAGAAGCACCTCTGGGAGAGCCTCAGTTTACCTTCCAGCTTCCAGGGTGCATGGCCTTTCCAGTTGCCATCTCAAGCAAGGGAGCACCTGCCTCAGGAAGGGCAGCTCCCGCTAAATCTTCAGATGTTAAAGGGCAGTGGGAGACGTCACATTCTCCCAGCAAGAGAGTAGAGAGAACGGGTAGGTGTAAATCTCAGGCAGCTGACTGTTGGAATCCATAAGGCCTACCTTGTAAATAATTCACTTCGGTGCAGAAAATCTGCATATGAGCATGAAATGTCATTTATAACTCATGGGATATTGGCTTGGCTGGGAACAACTTTCCAGCCAACTCATTAAGTGCTGCTAAGGAAGAGAGAATATAGCTGATGTAGAATAAACTCCCTATAGTAAGCCTGTGACTGTACAGACTAGTTAGCAGTATTCAAACTGAAAATAAAACTCAAGACTATGCCTGCGTAATCACTCAACCCTCCGTAAGCTCAACGGCTCTCTAGGGTTAGCTTGGCTCTACCTCATTTCCCAAGGTGCTTCCAGGCCTGCCCTTCACTGAAACCCAGAGCAGACCAGGAGAAATGTTGGCCGCAGTGCTTTCTCGTGAAGTGATGCGTACTTACTGGCTGCAAAGAGAATATATAATGTTCCAATTAAGAACTTATCGCCCTGAAATTCTGGAATCTCACATAGATGACTTGTGGAGAAACAAGATGGTCTTTGTAATGAGCTCCTTTTCTCTCTTTATTAAATATTGATTGACTATGGAAGAAATTCAATTTCCAAATAGAGTTTAAGTCTTATTCCTAGGGTATTTGGTAGTAAGCTTTTTATTTTTTTGTTTGCTTGTTTCAGTTTTGATGTGAGGACTGTGAACATCTCCAGAACAGGAGACATTTGGAAGAGCTTGTGCCCACTGGTATCTGAAACTTGGCTGCTCATGTGAGTGGGTGCTTTATTTTTATTTTTATTTTTCCGAGTGAGGCTGGGTATGTTGAAAACACAAAAAGCCTACAGTGGGAGAAAGAAGGAGTTTTTTACCTGTTGAAGGAAAAATAAAATTAATATGCCTTCCAGTTTAAATATAAGCCTCTGAAAACGTTTCCAGCCAATTGTACACTTATCTGTTGGTACACAGAGACCTTAACTAAGCACAACTGGAATCACTCTAGAAATAAACTCAAAGAAGGGCTGAGATTTCTTGGCCTTCTTCCCAAGAGAGTTATTTACTAAAAGACCAGGAGGGATTCATTATGAAATGGTTTACCTATTAGAAGGTCCCATGTCACTGGCTCTCAGAGGCGATTAGAGATTTGCAGGCTCTCACTGACGAAATGCTCATCCTGTCTCAAGGAGCGACCTCAGATAGAAGGAGGTCGCTGCAGTATACATGGCTCACTCTGTCTATCTATGTGGCCCCGTGCTCTATCACGGATGGATATTAATTTCATCTGGCCTAATTTCCTTTTTACAAAGTAATTTGATAGCTACCCAGCATGTGCACTCTCCTAGGTGGCTACAGATTGATTGCTTGATGAATGTTCTAGTTTTTTTTTAACTGCTAAGGTTATCGTTTACTCACTTTCAAAATATGTAGTATTTTTTTTTAACTGCTAAGGTTATCGTTTACCTACTTTCGAAATATGCTGTTGGCCCTTTTCCAGTCTTCAGAAACCCCTTGTATCCTGCTATGATTCCTCAGCAACACCATCACATGGAAAAGAACCAACAATGTGAAGAAACGAATATGGTGTTCATTTTCAAACTGAAAAAGGAAATAATTACAGTTACTATTTACAGTGTCTGGCTTTTCAAGCTTCATGCTACAAGCAGCTAACTCTTTGTCAAACAATTAATTTTGTTTAAAATAAATAAGTTTATATATTTAAGGTCGTGTTTCAGAAGTAAAACCAGAACTGTGGTTTTTATTGAGTTATAAAATTAGTTGGGGAAAAGATAATGCATGTAAAACAACTCTTGAGATCTGCCGTGTAGAATTTTAAGTATCAGTGTAAATTAAAAGCAGATTCACAGAGAGTTCTATGAAACCGAGTTCCCTATTAAGTTGAGGGTGCCAGACTGGATCATTTCTCAGGTTTCTCACGGCTTTTAAATACAATAAGTAAAAGCCCAGTGAGTTATCAAACAGATCTGTGACCAGTATGACTTTAGTGTTCCAGTGTGATTTGAGCATATACATCACTGACTGATTTTTTTTTTAGTGGTCAAAAATACAATTGACAATGTGCCAACAAAATTTTTCTCAAATCATGCCATATATCATTGGTTTAGCAGAGGTTACAATTCATAGCAATAAGTTTTGTGCCTTTTATTCTGAATTTCACAGTCTTTTAAGAAAGCATCTTGACTGATAATTGGCTGAAAGACCATAAACAAAATCAATGAAAATTAACATCAATGAAAATAAATCTAGTCAAGGTGGTGGCCATTGGAATAACAGGAGCCCTGAAGTTAAGTTTTATTTAGCATTCTTCTTCTTTCTCAGAAAGAAAAACAATAAACACATAGCAAATTAAATATGTGATCCCAAAACCAACTATATCCAAAAATTCTTGGCTAAAAACTTGTAGATATACTTTCAAGAAGTGGAAAAATGGAAGAAAATGATTTCCTTAAGCTAACAAATGAGAAAATTGTTAATATGGGGCCTTATCCTTTCTGTGGCTGGTGGCTCTCTCTGGTTGCAGATTGTGTGCACAGGGAAGGACAATGCCTCTTTCGTGTTATGAGGGGGCATGAGCCACCGTGGGAAGGAGAGAACTCAGTATTACCTGCTGTTAACTAGATGAAGCAAAAGTTGTTTTAATTAGGTTGGTTCTCCCAGCTCCCTTCCCCCAATCCCAGCATCCATCTACTGGTAAAATAGGGCTAGGCACCATTGAAGAATGTAGGATGGAGCTTCCCATAAGCTGAAAGTAGTTAAGCTTAGGGTCAGGGATCCACTGATGATGGGAGAAACTGGACTCGCCTTGCTGCTGGAGTATTGCAGTGAGAGAGAGCAGGTACTTAGCCACCCTTCTGTTTCAAAGCTGGAGCTACTTGGGTTGTATCATGTTTGAATTTTAATAGTTTACCAGCTAATAGGCCTCTAGCCTTGAAGAATTCAAGAAGGAAAAGGAGAAAGGTGGGACTTCTTAATGCTGCTAAAGTCTCTATTCCAGTTATAAAGAGGTGGAATTGGTGGATTTAATTATTGTTGAAATATATGTCGTTGCATCTTCACTACAAAATCAGGGTCTCTGTCTCTCTTTTTTTAAATTTAAAGTGGTCTTCAACATGCAACAATCATTAGAGAGCTACTCTGTGCATCATTTGGAGACAGTAAGGATTTTTAAATAATTAGGTTTGAATAAAATATACTTAGATCTGTACTGCTTGATTAAATGATGTTTTAATGTTGCAAAAGGGCCATCAGGAGGCATTTGCTTGAGTGGAAACCTGGGTGCTTCCTCACTGGGCTGAGGAGTAAGTGATTAAAGAAAGTCACTGGAGCATTGGGTCTCAATTCTTCCTTTACTGCTATGCTTGTCCTACGTTTGAAGCCAAGGAGTTGCTTGGGTATGTTATCTGGGCATTAACACAATAAAACCAAGTTGGAGATGATGGAGCAGAAAGAAATATTGGGAGCTTTCCTGGGCCCTTTTTCCAGGATCCTCCAGTTTTAGGATCCTCGGGCCCTGTCTGGAGATCCACTGACCTGGGGATCCACAGGTATTTGTGATATTCCACAAATGCCACCACTGCCAGTAGTGAGAGAGTAGTACTTCCACAGGAAAACTAGAAGCCAATGAGCCATTCTTAACGGGAATCCTAAGAGCATGAACAATATTCTTCTCCTAATTAGGATTTCATAACGTGTGAAGTGCATGGAGGCACCTGGACTTCTCTAGAGTCTGAATTTGGACATTATTTTGTTCTATTTGGGTTGATCGCGAAGCAGTTTTCCTGTAAATGTGACTAACTTAAGTAAAACAAATACAAAACAAAAACCAGCTTTAGGTCCCATGAGGAACTTCCAGAAATATCTAAAGTCTGTAGTCACTAAAGAACAAGTATAATTCCTAATGGCAATGCTTCCTACAGCATTCTGTGTAAACGTTGAACCCCAAGATATTAACAGGTTATTTTTAAGAAAGGAGGTTTTATTAATTTGGGAAACACTTGATAAAACAAAGTGCACAGGGACAGTATTTTGGGGGCAGTGAAACAAAATCCATTCCCCTCTATGATTCTGAGCTGCAGGCTCTCCTGTGGCTCCCACCGTGAGATATGGGTCTGGCTGGCAGGACCTCTGCTGTGGCCACAAGTCGGGAGTGGAGGGAGCTGAGGAGGTGGTGTGTGCAAGGTCTCTGTGGTCAGGGAGGGTCAGAAAAAATGGAAGATCTCATCCTAGTGTTTCTCTCACGTGGAGCTCTGTGGGGTCAGGGTGGGGAACATGACAGGAATATCAAAATAGTGTAAGATACCCAAGAACTTTGGGACTAGATGCCCAACTTCCATGTGTAGCTTGGGGAAGGCTGCAGGCCTGTAGGAGAAGCCTTTGTTCAGCTCAGCTCCATGTCCAGAAGAAAGTAAAATTGTGAGAGGAGTGGAACTGTTTCACATTTTTACAAACCTCTGTAATGCCCAGCTTAATAGAAGGCAACTGGGTTTTCTTATCTGCTTCTGCACTGAGTCTTTCGAAATACCTAACCTCATTCAGGCTCTGGAAAACCCCATTGCACATAATACTAATGTCTTAGTATTATCATGCAAGTAATTTTGAGCTTTTGGATCCCTGAAAACACCTCAGGGACTCCCGGACTACACTTTGAGAACCAATATGACGTGATTGGGGTTGAGACAAAGAGACAACATAGCCTTCACAAGTGGACAGCCAGAGTTCGGACTCCTTGGGGAACCGGCTTGACCCCCAGTAGTCCAGCCAAAGCCGCCCACCCAGCAGGGCCACTGGCCCAGAATTCAGCATAAAAACTGTGTAAGAGAGGCCAGTGGGCATTCACAGGATGCTGTGGGAGGCTGCGACCCCTTATTCCTGAGACAGGGGCGCACCATGGAGAGGGATATGGGGAAGCAGGGATATAGGAATTTGACTCAATGGGCACCTCAAAGATTGTGTCATCTGAGTCACTGAACGTCTTTCGCAGGGCTTTGCATCAACTGAACATTTAACCCCCAGTTTTTTTTTTTAATCAAAAGAAACTGAGCTGGCACACTTTAAAAAACAGACTGACTGTTCTTCAAAATATTAAATAGGGTTATCATACAACATAGCAGTTCTGGTCATAGAGATATACCCAAGAGAAGTAAAAACATATGTCCACACAAAAACTTGTATGCAAGTGTTCAGAGCAGCATGACTCATAATAGTCAAAATGTGGAAATGATCCAAATGTTCATCAAGTGATGAATGGATATACTAAATTTGATAAATCCGTAGAGTGGAATATTAGTCAGCCACAAAAAGGAGTGAAGGTAGACACATGCTGCAACAAAGATGAACTGGAAAACATTATACTTAGTGAGAGCCAGTCACAAAAGACCACATGTTGGATGATTCAATTTATCTGAAATGTCCAGAATAGGTAAAGCCATAGAAACAGGATGTGGTTGTCAGGGTCTCTAAGAATGGGGAGGAAGGAGTGACTGCTGATGGTCATGAGATTTCTTTATGGGGTTATAAAAATATTCTAAAATTAGTTATGGTAAAAGTTTCACAATTCTGTGAGTATATTAAAAACCACTGAATTGGACACTTAAGGCTACATTTTATAGTAAGTAAATTATATCTCTACATGTTATTTAGAAACACTTTGTCCTTAATTTATCATAATAGGACTTGAGAATTCAGTAAAAGACTTGAGTTCTCACTAATTGAGCTCAATAAGTTTCACTGTGAGATCAGATCAGTTATGAAAATTAAAATTCTGTATTAAAAATAATTCTACACTTTTCTTGCAAATCCCCTGCCCCAAATTCATCAATCTTTTTTCCTACAGGACTTCCCAGAGGTTTTACACATATGTCATTATGTCTGGTGAGGGTTCAAGGTTGAAGTGTTTCCCAAAACAGCTGCTCCTTGCACCTCTGCAATCTCAGAGCATTTTGTGTGGCTCTCTTAGTGTCCTAGAGAAATCAGTTAGAGAGGTTGTCCTTTTAACTTTAAGAGTAAAAAGAGGCTTTACTGATTTATATGGAAGGAGAAAAACCTTGGAAACAGAGTTAGGAGATAAATGTGTTTCTATAGAACAGAAACATTTAATTTAAAGGGACCTGAAGAGGAAGGCAGCCCCAGTGACCCTTCCTGGGGTGAGAGCTGTGCCAGGTGTGATCACACCACACCCCTCATCTTTCCAGCCAGGCCGTGAGGCCAGCGGGATGTCCCATGTAGCACAAAGAGATTTGGAGAAGTCACTTTGCTTATGGGAAAACAGCGAGAAGGTGATGGGATGGGGCTCTGGCCTCAGGGATGTCTCATGGTTCCCGTGCCCTTTTCTTTAAACTTCACAATCAGAAAATATGGAGCCAATAGCACTGACTCAAGCCCATTTCAGGAAAGAGCAGTGAATTAATAAATTACTTGTGCTGTGTCCACCTCTGTTTTGATTGGCTGGAGTATTTCTACTGTGATAAGTGAAATTTACCCATCACCTGTAAATTTCAAGTGTACAAGAGACATAAAAGTCCAAATTTTTTTTTTACTAATGGCCTTAATGAGCAAAGACACGGTCATTTTAGTGACACGTTTTTGGAATGGAGGCAGAACACAGTCAGTTTGTTAGTTGTTGTCTATAACTGTTTTATCCTTTAGTTTTCAAATCTACCACTCAGATTGAACTGTTCGTTGCAATGCATTGCTTCAAGAATGTTTGACCATTTTGTCTCTTCTTCATTCAACAATACAAAGAAGAAGACCACCCATAGTTGTAATCTGACACTTCTAGCTATTCAGTTATGACTTCTCTGAATGTACAGATATCATTTCTGCTCAACCAAGATAAGCCATGTTACAGTATTGATCCACTGACACTTAAAAATAAGTAGCAAATACAATCAACAAGATTCTTATTTAGTGACTACATTTTATTACGGGTGTCCACGTCAGGACGAAAAATGGAATATTTACTTTTCCTTCCTTGACCTGAAACTTTATGAATCATTTTATGATTGCACATACAAGTAGAAGCAATATTATATAGAAATCTGATGAATAATATATAGTTTATGTAATTAACTCAGAGGAGGGAGGATTTCTTTCCATTATTAAGGGGGTATGTTTAGGATACAGCACTTGGGAGTTTCACACTAATAATGTCCTTGCATGGGGTGGAGGATCACTCTTCCTTCAATTGATAGGACTGTTGAAATCCCTGAAAACTTTGGAAGCATCCCAGTGCACTTGCTATCCTGTCTGCCTGATGCCTGTATCACTCCAAGTCCTGTGCATAGTAATGGATTTTTAAAATCATTGTGACAAGGGATGAAGTGCATGTCCCTTGTCCTAGAGCCCATATCACATTGTAGTAGATGTCTCATAGTGACAACACCCCTGCCTCCCCAATCTCAGCAGTTTGTAACAATGAACACTTCTTTCTTATTTAAAATGTCTCACTAATGTGACACTGTGTGTCTTCTCATTCCCAGACTCAGGCTAAGGAGCAGAGATCTGGGAGAACAGGCCCTTTTCATGGAAGATGAGAAGTACAAGGGGAAGAACCAAAGCACACAATTGCTTTTAAAGCTTCTGCTCAGATGTGCTGCACATCACACTCCTCACGCTGTTGTGGGCAAAGCAAGCCACAGGCCAAGCCTGGTAGTGGATCAGCTCCCTCAAGTCTCATGGCGATGGGCGAGTGTATCTGCTGTTACTGAGAAAAGAGAGGGGTAAATAGTTGTGACAGATGATACAAATGTGCACACCTCAGCTGACACAACTCCAGTGGAACAGGCTGTCTGTTGTACTGGAACCAATGTGAGCTTTTGGATTTTCGTCGTCTGTGCATGAGAGAGATTCCACTGGACACCAAGCTTATCCACAGCCTCCATCCAGAGATATCTGGATTTAATGAACACCCAGTCACTGCCTGCAAACAGGAGATACTGAGTTTCCAGTACATAAGAACTCCTAGATGCATGAATACCTAAGAAGAAATTAAATGTGAAGATCTGATCAGAAACATAGTGGAACCAGTGAACACTGGCCAAAAGAAAAAAAAAGTCCCATTCCACTGCCTGGACAATAGCAGGAAGGAATTCCTTATAGTTTCATGCCCTGTATTGGCTTTAGAGTCATTAATGAACAGTATCTATGTCGTATGATCCATGAAGTAGTGAGAATTGTTCACACCTGAAACCATTTTCCTACTGGCTACAGAAACGTTACCATCATATGATTTATTATTAAGTGTTGTTTTCCTTGTCAACATTTTGTGGTTTAACAGCCCACCTAAGTGTGAATCAGTTATCAACTGGCTTTCTTATTGAAAAGACAGACGAGGCTGCATGAAAATGCTTAGCACATGGGTAGGAAGCAGTGGATGAAAATAGCAGAAGTGGGACCCAGAAGATGAACTCTTTTACATTTGATTATTCAGATTATATGTAAGTTCCCATCCTGCTGAAATCTCTTCAGCAGCAAGTTAACCTCCAACCTAAGAAAGATGGAAGAAATCAAGAGTTGAAGATGGAGGGGACAGGGACAGTCTCTGTATCTGTGTGCTCCCTGAGGTGGGGGCCCCTGCCTCTCCCATCTTTGCACTCCTCATGCCTACTGTGTACCTGGTGCAGACCAGCTGCCCTGAAATGTTTGAGGTGCTGTGTTACCATTGCCTCTTTTGATTGCCCACCGAGTGCCTCCTGAGTCATGCACCCCATCACAGCCCTCACGCAAGGCCTGGAGACAAACCCAGCACACACCGGCCTAGTATTAATTCATAACCATCATCATGTACCTAAGATTCTACCTACCTGGATGTTGATTGATGAAATTTATAAAGTATTAGAAGGACTTCAAATCGACTTACAACTATCACATATGAAATGCACAAAACCAGCTTTTAAAGCCTTCTATAATTTGTTTAAGACTGAAGAACTTTAAGACCATTACTTTTATTTATTTATTTGTTTGTTTGTTTGTTTGTTTGTTTGTTTTTTGAGGGACAGAGTCTCGCTCTGTCACCCAGCCTGGAGTGCAGTGGCACAATCTCGGCTCACTGCAAGCTCTGCCTCCCGGGTTCACACCATTCTCCTGCCTCAGCCTCCCAAGTAGCTGGGACTACAAGTGCCCGCCACCACGACTGGCTAATTTTTTGTATTTCTAGTAGAGATGGGGTTTCACTGTGTTAGCCAGGATAGTATCAATCTCCTGACCTTGTGATCTCCTCGCCTCGGCCTCCCAAAGTGCTGAGATTACAGGCATGAGCCACTGCACCCGGCCCTAGACCATTACTTTTAAAATGTAAAAAAAAAAAAAAAAAAAAAAAAAAAAAAAAAAAAAAAATGGAAAAAGGAAAAGGAAATAAAGAAGCAGCAGTGGGGATCAAGACAGAGGAAGGAGATGCTACCTGCCTGCTCCCATCCATCTCCTCTTCACAGTCAGAAACACTAAGAGGAACCCTGTGCTACAGGAGAAGACATTCCAGAAATTTTGTCTTAGGACTTTAACCTTTCCGATATATGACTGGGTCATAAACTTCCTTTTCAGAAGCTATTGATCACCCCATCACCTCTGCAAATGGGGTGTCTATAAATGCCATCTGTTGCCTGCACATTGGCTACTGGTTCATGAATGGTTAAATTTGTTGCAACTTTTGCTTCTGTCCTGTAATGAAGGAAAAGAAACTTTCTTCTAGGAGTGCAGTATCAAATTTGTCTGGGTAGGTTGAGTTTGTAGGTGTTGCAGGTGCACCTAGGCTTAAAGCATTTGGAGGTATCCTTGCATCTGTGTTAAGAGGCTCTCTCTGTAGGGGAGAGATCATTGACTCATTGGCCTGTATACTGATGTAATGTCAAGGGGAGGGCCCAGTACCTTTTCTGAAAGGGGCAGCTCTTCCTCAGATTGGGAATTGGAATTGGGAGGTTGTCTTGGCCAGAACTGAGAAAGAAAGAGCTCTGGATTGACGTCTCATCTTAAACTTCGTAGAATCTGGATTTGAGAGACAGAGCACTCACAGGAGATTGGGGCAAAAGAGTGCTTTGTAGGACCATACCTGTGCAGTGATACGTCTCTCTCATAACCCAAAGTTAAAGACCCATAAACTCACTGTGGTAAGTGCTTTCTTCTGCAGCAAATTCCCCTTGAATATCCGTCCCATTCCTGCAGAGTCTTGTTTAAATGTTCCCAGCTGTGCTATAGGGAATCGGGGAGGAGCTGTGGACACATACTGGTCCATGTGGGGGCTGCGGCGGTGACCAGTGAGAGGTCTCCTTGATGACAGCGACTCTGAGGACACAGAGCTGGTGCTATAAGACCTGGTAACTAAGTTCCCAAGGAGCTTTTCTCTTCTTTGCCAACCTTGAAGATCTGGGTATTATTTTATGAAGCTGGATGGAATCTTCCCACATGTAGAGTTCTCAGGTCCAGGTATTATTTTATGAAGTCGGATGGAATCTTCCCGCACATGGAGTTCTGAGGTTTCTCAGGTTGCTCTCTGGCTCAGTGATGCTGTGTGAGAATGTTCAACCATATCTCCACAGCACAAGCTTTGGATCTGATGTCAAGAAGCTTTTGTGAATATTAAAAATGAACCGCATCTCCCTGAATCAAAATAAATACTACTATATGCACTTCAATGGAAATAAAATCTGGGATTCTTTTTGGGCCCTAAGCAAAATGTAGAAATTCATTTTCCCATCAGACTTTTCAGTAACTTTCTTTTAACCTAATGAGACACTCCACAGGAGACTAACATTTCTTTCGCTGAATTCCAAGTGTAGGTTTCCTGGGTTGTCCATTTAATTGTTAAAGTGAGAGAGATTCTGCTGGAAGACAAGCACCATGGAACAGCAGGAGGAAAGCTGAATGGAGGTTACTTGGGAGCTACCCCAGGAAGAAGCGCTGTGCAGACCATCATCGCAGGGTGGAGAGTAGCCATGAGACGTGTGTGGTGGCCTCTGGATGCTGCTGTGCTGCCTCATGGGAATTTTCACAGATCTTCCACTGTTTGTAAATGGTGCCCAATGAGCGGAAAATTAAGTGGTACTTAACACACACACGTTCACCAAATACTTGCAGCGTTATCCCCATAGTGTGGATGGCTTTTGACAAGGTGCCTGATGAAGAGAGATGCACATAGTTGTGAGTCCCAGCCTACAGAAGCTCATGATGGGTGCTCCACAGTGTTGGTGTTGAGTAAAAATGCCCAGGACAGTATGCACTGTGCTTGACGCACAGTATGACTAAGAAAATACCTGTTATTATGTGAACAGTGACCATATGCACAGCATACAAATCAGTAGCCCAGTGCTGTTCTGATGGTCTTGTCCTGAGTGGTTTTTCCCATCTAGTTGGAGACAAGACTCATTCTCTAGAAAGAAGAGCAAAAAATGGTGGGTCCCACCAAGGCCATGGACAAGGGAAAGGCAGAAACGTGCAGAGGGAGCAGAGACAGAGGAGGCTTGAGACCTGTGTGGAGGGACAGGAAGGGAGCTCGGAAGCCCGTTTTGTAGCAGATCCCAAATTGTGAAAGTTGATAGTTGTGGAGCACACATATGCAGAGTAACATCTAGAATTCTCAGAGTTGGTGATTTAAAGAAAAGAGAAAAAAAAAACACTGACTAAAAATTAATCTTCAATTTCCCACAGGCCTTAAACTTCCAGCTGCTAAAAGACAGTGGGGTGTAGGGGGTGGAAAGAGACCTCATCTAGGAGGGACAGCTTGGTCTATGACAGTTGAGACAGGTGCCAAGGAGGGACGAAGTTGCTCTCTGCCAACTAGACTTAGGGGAAAAAACAACCATAATCATGTTTATTTTCATGATAAGCATATGCAAATCAGGCCACTACAATCTGTAAACATGGTAATTCCTCTTTATGGATAAGTTCAACTTAAAAGTTGTGAACAAGAGCAAAAGGATATAGTTTTCTAGTTTTCTAATGAGCTCAGAGTTTATGCCCAGTTATAGTTGAGCTCTGGAATGGTTTTTCTAGCTCTTCCTGTCCTTCTGTAGTTCTGGTAGAGAACCTATGAGGACCAGAAACAGAGCAAAGGCGGTTTAAATCCTGGCTGAACCGATTGCCCTCCACATGACCTAGGACAATTGACCCAACCTTTGTAGGCCTCAGTTTCCTTTCCTACAAAATAGGCAGGATAACCAGGAGGTCAAAGTGAAGTGACAAGATGTGAACCTGCTCTGTAAGATAATAAGCACTATTTGCTGGGAAGGGATTGCGGCTTCTTAGCTGTCCTTTAAGTGTGGTTGTCTGTGGATTAAGGAAGGAAAACTGGGTGTTAATTCTAAACAGCCCTCTGAATCAACTGGGGCTGAAGACCTGGGTGAGGGTAATCTATAGTCTGTGGATGTTAGGTGGTTAACTTCAAATAATTAGGAACAACACTGAAATATTTGACCATATCTAGTGCATCTGCTGAAAATTCTTTTTGAAAACTTAAACCCTGTAGTAGATTAAACCAGCCTTGGGCTACAGCCTGAAGCATGTGCCAATGAACCGTAGGCCTGCTAAGACCAGGAGAAGTACCAGGTGATAGAAAACAAAATGAATTTGGTGAATCTTACCTTCCCCACCCCTCCCTCCTTTTCCTCCCTTCCCTCATTTGAGGTTTAGATGTCCTGTTTCCTATAAACTCTCACATGCCCTGGTTTTTGACTAACGCATTTGTGATTAGACGAGGACATGGATAACTAATGAGAAGCCTCGTCACCCACGCAGCAGAGGAGCAGTGGAGAGATCACTCCTGAGTGTGCGTGCTGTGCTTAGCATAGCAGTGCGGCTCATAACCGTATGGGGGTGTTTAACAATGCCACTTGGTGATTTTTATGATGTCATGCCACAGTCTTCTTATGTCAGTTGGGCTCCTCCCACACCTATTATGAGGCATGAGAATGAAAGATCCCGCAGTTTATGGGCTGAGTCACAGTAGATGATTTGTAGGATTAAGATTAATCAGTGGCCTCTGATTAGAGTCTTAGTTAAATGAATCTGCTCCCTCCATGGGTCTTCGGTATTTAGAGACTTGGTCCAGGTTATCCTGTTAACCCGCTTTATTAGAGAATCTTATTGCTTTTTTTATGGGATTGTGAGAGCCCAAAGGTTTTTACTTTCAGCTGCTGCTGCTATTTTGCCCCTAAAAATAGAGAGTAAGCCATATTTTTTTTCTTTGGAAGAAAATGTTTTCTTTAAACTGTCATAGAAAAGGAGACTTTTCAAGCACATAGAAGTTATCTCAACTTTGGACTTGTGAAGAGAGCTGTCTGCATACACCGCATCTGGAATGAATAGGCACGATTCCTTCCCTCTGAGGGGTCTGCGGTGTCCCAGTCAGTGCAGAGGAGTTCAGGACACCGGTTCGATGCCTCTGAAGGAACAGCCATCATCATCCCTGGAAACATAGATTGTTGGTTGGTAGAGCTTATTGCTAAATTTGAAGAGTGTGCATCAGACACTAAAGCTGGTCCTTTCGTGAAGTGGGGTTTGGAGGCTGCACATTGCCAGAAAGAACCTGGCTTGCATCCCTTCCCTCTTCGTCACTCCCTGGCTTTTGGAGCCTCTTCATTAGGCTTGCTTGTGAAGTGTGTCCCTGTGCTCGGGTTCTCTTTCTGGATCTCAGTCCCCCTCAGATTGTCTGGTCCTTACTGTGATCTTCACACCTGACTCCGTTTTCTGAGTCCTGCTACCTAGTTCCAGCTCCAAGTCTCAAGTTCCCATGCAGGCCTCAGGCACACACAGACACATGTTCACTTTTGGGAAGATTCCACCCTGCCTCTGTGGCAGCTGTGCTGTGAGGCCGTTGAGAAGCCATGCACTATGTCAGCAGCGTTCTTTTCCCCCAGACTCTCAGACCCTGTGTGCCCCTCTCTGCACCGTGACCCTGTTTGTGGGACCCCGCTTTGGCTGTTTTGTCTCTTTGTTCTCTTCTCTTCCTCTTGAAAAGTGGACTCCCCTGGAGCTGTTCTTGACTGTTGTGTGATGTTGTCTACATTCCCTTTTGTGTTTTATTCACTAACTTCAAATTCCTGATCATCTGCCTGCAGACCACGCATAGAGCTTCTCCTAGTCAGCCTCACTGGCATCCCCAAACACTCCATTTGCCTGGCCAACCTCCAGCTCCACCTTTCTGTGATTTCCCTGCTCCTGTGAATGGTATCACCAGCCATCTAGTTAGCCGCTGCCATTGTCAGCCATCCCCTTCCTCCCACCCCTGGTGGTTCTGGCTTCACGTACCCTTCCCACCCCTCTTTAATATCTCAGAGTTCTGCGCTAATCTGGACCCTCATGCTGCTGGAGGGTACGCATGGCTGCACTGGTCACTCAGCGGCCCAGCTATCTCCATAGAATGGCCTAATGCCCATGTCTAAATCATGTTACTCTCATGCTCAGCCAATCCTCAGACCTTCAAGGGGTGCTCACAGGTTGCAAAAGGAAGCCCAAACATTTCAAAGTATTGGCCATGCCCCATATTCCCCGTCCTAATCTACTTGTAGCTGCACCAAACCCTTCACCTTATACAGCCTCCCTCTGGTCCTGGGGACTGTCTCTTAATGTTGCCCCTTTTGTGTCCTTTGCTTGTGTGAGTTCTTCTCTCTGGGACACTCAACTCTTCTGACCAAATCCCAGTTCAAACACAGTCTCCTTCAGGAAGCCTTTCTTGGTCTCTGAAGAGATCCTTCTTTCCCTGGGCTTCCCCAGCCCACCCGCTAAGTTGAGTATCCTAGAGGCACTTGCCCCGGCCTCTAGCTGCCCAGGAGTGATTTGTGTTCTTAGAAGCCTCATCTTCCTTTCAACTCTAAGTCCATTGAGTCAAGAACCTTGTCTTCTTAATGTATGTATCTTTCATTTACTGTATGAACTTGCTTTACTATGGTAAGCCCTGACAAATGATTGATTTCATCTTGTTGGAAGAAAGACGGCCTGGCTTCCATGAGGGGAGTTTTATATGTCTTACGTACTCTGCAAAAATCCTTATTGAGAGTTTTCTCCTATTTTAAATCAGACTCCAATTTGTGGATTAAAATTAGGTGACATGAAAGAATTTACAAAACATGATTCTTCTTTGGTCGTAATTTTTTGAGTGATATTTTTTCTTAATTCCATGTATATCTATCTCTTTTGTTGTTTTAAGACCTTGAACTGGGGCAAGCCCTTGATAGTTTCTTTAAGGAAGAAAAGAGAAACACATAAATTTGAAAATTCTAGTAGCTAAAATACTTCAAAAGTTAAGCTAATAGAATTAGCTCAAGAGAAATTATAATAACCTATATAATAACCTATATAGTCTCCAGTTAAGCATAATTTGCATAATCCCAGAATGGAATATGTCTGAACTTTCAGGAAAAAACTAATAAGATCAGCATTTATTGTTTTATTTTTTATTGCTTCTGAAAAATTGTATTGGTATTGCTTTGTGTGAATAGGTCTCCAGGAGTAAATTATGATCAAAATTCAAAGCCATCATAAATTAAATGTGTTTTTTTTCCTGCTTTGGTATACAAGACTTTCCATTAAGCTAGACTCATATAATATACCTTGGATATGTTCAAGAAAGCCCTGTAAATTATGGTAAGTATTTAAAATGGTAAGTAGACATTGGAAAAGGCCACATTAGGATTAATGAATGAAGGGGTTGATACTGAAAATGCACTTGTAAATAAATAACATAAAAAGTAAAGATGACACATTGTTAGGTGAGAGTTACAAGTAGAGTATGACACTAAATTGCAGGGTGGCAACAGCATGTTCATGGAACTTCAGTTTCTTTGTAGGAGCGTTTCTAATTTCTGTCTAGCAAAATCTTCCCAGTTTCATCCAGTCTGAGTTCCATCCTGCGGCTCTTCCTGTGCCTTCCTTTCAGATATGAGAAGTGCCTGAGATTTCCTTCCTTAGCAGTCAATCCCCTTCCTGCCAGCATTTGGAGGACTATTCACCCAACAGTAGGGGACCGATAGAAGGTGGAGCTGGCTTTGTCATAGAGATTGCATTTTCTCTCAGCAGCCCAGGACTAAATGATCTGGGGAAGGAGGAGGACACGGGAATCATGTTACTTGTGACAAAATGGAAGCACTAAGCAAGAAATGCACACACAGGCCGGGGTGCACTTTAAATACATGCGCTCATCTGCCTCCAGGAAGGTGTGGGGCAGTGAACCGCGCTTTGAGGAAAACATAAAAAGAGGACAGTGCATATTTGGACTGTTATTTAAAAATTTGTGTGGCTTTGACAGAATAGAGTGGAGACACTTGGAAAAGTATCTCGGGTATATTTAAAGTTTTGGCACAAAGTTCAGTTAACACTCTCCTTAGGCATATAGACTTGCAGCTATATAAACTCAGCTTTCCTAAATTATCTATACATATATATGAATATGCATATGTTATATGATGAGAGAGATTTCCTTCTGAGATGTTCATTTTTTCTAACACCCAAGTTTGCATAGCCCCAATTATGTGATTTGCAATACCTGTTAGATTTCCCATTTGCTAAAGAAGATGACTTCAGCTTGAACCACTAGAAATATGCTTTTAGAATTTATGCAGAGATGCTTCACTCAGGTAAGTGGTAAGAAGAAATTCAAGAATAAAGGCTGGATTCTATATCATAGAAAGAATAATAATGTGGATGGAAAGTTTACAGTGTCATGTAAAATACTGACAGGAAGCCTGAAGCCCTAAGAAACCATGAGAATTTCTAGATTTAAAAAGATGATTAGAGAGGCTCTGCTTCTGATAATAGTGGAGAAGCTTGCCCCAGAATAACCTTCCCGCAGATAACAATTACAAAGTCTGGACAAGATGTAAAAAACAACTGTTCAAAAGCATTGGAGAATGGTGAAAGGCAGGCAGCAACCGGGGAGGCAACCCTCAAAAGATGGGGATTCACTGGGTACCATTTGCATTTCTTCTCCTTTTTTTTTTGCTTGCCTTAAGGTACTCCCAAAACTTCTTGGGTTCTGCCCCTGCACAGCAGGGGCAGAACCCAAGAAGAACTTTGTACCCTTATCTGCTTGAGAAGTCACCAGGCATAGTCTGAAGCTCATGGCAGCTAGAAAGTGGAGGGGGAATTCCAGAAATCAGGGGTACACAAAGGATAGCAACAAAATCTGTGCATGCGCTTTTTCCTGCCCCTGGGTAACCACTGGACTGCATGTGCATGGGGAAGCCCCCACATTTCCCTGCGAAAAGCAACAGCTGCAAGGCTAAAGACTCAGCAGTGTCCCCTCCTGCCGACTGCAAGGAGGACAGTTTGGAGTTTTGCCGTAAAGTTAAGTGGCTGCTAGAGCAAAAACTAATGTGCATTAGAAGAACATAGCAGAATCCAAAGTCTCTAGACTATGCATCCACAGTGTGTAGTCTAATAAGAAATGATTACCCATGCACAGGAACCAGAAGATTTTACCCACAGCCAAGAGAAATGGACATTGATTTGATCTAGATGTTGGATTTAGCAGTCAAGGACTTTTAAAACAACATTTATAAGTATGTTCAAGGACTTAAGGGAAAATGTGGTTATTATAAGTGGACAGACTAGGAATCTCAGCAGAGAAATAGAAGTTATAAAAATAGAAGGAAATTCTAAAATGGAAAAGTGCAGTGTTGAAATACAAATGATTTCTGGATGGATCAAAGCAGTGATGGAATGAGAAAGTCAGCAATAGATCCTAAAAGCAGTGGGTGAAAGTTAAACGAGGAATAGGTCTCAGGTTATGTCCCTGTAAATTACTTGTTAATTACAAATGGAAAAGTAGAACCTCACAGTTCAGAAACCTGGTGAATTTCATTTTAAATAAGTGATCGAAGCTAACATCACTAATATTGGGACAGTGACATCCTGGGCTTCTCATTTGCTGCAATGAGAAAGATGCATTTCTGCGTAATTCCTGCCATAGTGCAGAACCGGAATCTAGTCACAGGGAAACCTCAGCAACCCCCAGTGAGGAGACATCTACAGAGTAAGTGGCCTGTACTTTTCACAATGTTAAGATGAAGAAAGACAGAGGCTGAGCAACAGTTCCAGATGCAAAGAGACGAAGTAGACATGATAAGCAGATGCATGTGGGATCTGGCCCGTTGCTGGGCTGGAGGGGGCAGTTTTAAGGACACCATTGGGGCAGTTGACACAATTTGCATCTAGGCTGTGGATTAGATAATCGTATTGTTTCTATGTGAAAATGTTCTGCTTTGGATAATTGTAACTGGGCCATATAAGAGAAAGCCCTTGTTCTTATTGAATGCACACTCAGGTATTTAGGGGTAAAGGAACCCAAGGTTGCCAAATTACTTTCATTTCCATTTCTTTCCCTTTCTGTCTCTGTCTCTGTCTCTCTCTCCCTGTCTCTTTCTTTCAACTGATAAAGCAAATGTATAGCAAAATATAAACTGGTGAATCTGGGTAAATAACAATGAATGGGCCCGGGGTGGTTCACGCCTATAATCCCAGCACTTTGGGAGGCCAGCGCAGATGGATCACGAGGTCAGGAGTTCAAGACCAGCCGGCCAATATGGTGAAACCCCGTCTCTACTAAAAATACAAAAATTAGCTGGGTGTGGTGGTATGTGCCTGTAGTCCCAGCTACTCAGGAGGCTGAGGCAGGAGAATCACTTGAACGTGGGAGGTGGAGTTTGCAGTGA
Source organism: Homo sapiens (assembly GCF_000001405.40). Taxonomy (NCBI): domain Eukaryota; kingdom Metazoa; phylum Chordata; class Mammalia; order Primates; family Hominidae; genus Homo; species Homo sapiens. Next base: position 75,435,974 of record NC_000018.10, read on the forward strand.
GCTGAGATTGTGCCACTGCACTCCAGCCTGGGTGACGGAGAAAGACTCCGTCTAAAATAAATAAATAAAAAAAACATTGAATGTTTCTTGTGTTGCTGCAAATTTTCTATAAAAATGTTTCTTGTGTTGTTGCAAATTTTCTATAAATTTGCATTCATATTAAAATTCAAATGTTATAAATAGGCATAAATCAATAATTGATAGTTTTGAGCTCCTTCATTCCTAAAACCAATGACTTCCAAGTTTGTCTTCTTCTCACCCGCTATTTTGACACAATGAAGTCCTTTCTTGACAATTTATCTGACTTCGGCTTAGGAATCACCTTGTCTTTCAAAATTGTTCTCACATTATTTGAAAAAATATTTTTTATTCTTTTGTCTTGTGGATCCTCTCTTAGTCCCCTCCCATCTACTTAATTTAGGAAATTAACTAGAATTACCTTAAAAAATTGTGAATGAATGAATTTTGAAGTACTTGAAAATCACAGTTTGCTCTGAACCATTCAAAATAAAAATATTTACATACTAAATTTTTAAAAAGTGAGATATAGGTCTCCATACTATGAATGCTAAATTCTTTCTCTTTGCACTTCATCTTCCTCCATTTCTCCCCTTCTATACTCAATTGGCATGTGACTATCTCACTTCTACCAACTGCATCAGGTATTAAGGGGCATTAATTTATTTGAAGCGTGTAAAGTCATTCTGCTAATAAGTAACAAGTACCTCTAGTAGTTGGCACAAAAGGCACCAGTAATGAAAATTAACAGTTTGCATCAAAGCTATTCGCAGACCTTCCTTGACACCGGTGAGCACCTGAGGCTCTGCTGTCCTTTTCTGGATGCTCCTCTGGCCCTGGATCATCGATGCCACAAGATAAAATGTACTCACACAGTGAATATGCATTCTGTGTCTTCTTACACATGCTAGGCTTCAGGGATTCAGCAGACAACGGAAAAATATCTTCATCCTTATGGAATTTCTATTTAATGAGAGAGCGAAACAATAAAAAAATAAAGAATAGGTTAGGTGGTCCACCATGGGGAACAGTTTGGAGATTCTTTGAAAAACTAAAAATAGAGCTACCATATGATCCAGCGATCCCGCTGCTAGGGATCCACCCAAAAGAAAGGAAATCAGTATATTGAAGAGATATCTGCACTCCCATGTTTATTGCAGCACTATTCACAAAAGCCAAGATTTGGAAGTAACCTAAGTGTCCATCAACAGATGAATAAATAAAAAAAAAGGGGTACATATACACAATGGAGTACTATTCAGCCATGACAAAGAATGAGATTCAGTCATTTGCAACAGCTTGGATAGAACTGGATGTCATTATGTTAAGTGAAATCAGCCAGGCACAGAAAGACATGCATCACATGTTCTCACTTATTTGTGGGAGCTAAAAATCAGAACAATTGAATTCAAGGAGATAGAGACTAGAAGGATGGTTACCAGAGGCTGGAAAGGGTAATGGGGGAGGGGAAGGGGAGAGGTGGGGATGGTTAATGGGCACAAAAAAAATTAGAAAGAATGAGTAAGACATGCTATTCAATAGCACAACAGGGTGACTATAGTCAACAATAATGTAATAGTACACTTAAAAATAATTTAAAAACTATAATTGGATTGTCTGTAACACAAAGGATAAATGCATTGCATGCCAGTATCAGAACATCTCATGTGCTCCATAAATATATACACCTAGTATGTACCCACAAAAATTAAACGTTGACTAGGTTAGAGAGTGATAGGTACTCAGGAGAAAAACAAGACAGGAAAGGAGCATAAAAAACACTGGTAAGGAAGTGGGTACATTTGAGAGTGGTCAGGGAGTGTGACCTTGAAGTTAAAGTATGAAGGCGAAGAGAAAGGAGCCACATGGAAGGCCAGGTAAGAAACAGCAAGAGCAGAGGTTCCTGAGTAGGAGGCTGCCTGACTTGGTCAAAACCAGCCAGGAGGTGAGTGTGGGGAGGGGTGGAGATGTGAGTGGAGCAGTGAGACCTTGGGGATCATAGAGGTACTCAATATTTTCTTTGGATGAGATGGGAAGCCAGCGGAGGTTCTGCAGCAGAGGAATGGCATGATCTGACACAGGAGAGTAAACGAGGGAGATTTGTGGGAGGAAGCAGGGAGAATGTCACAAAGCCACTGCCAGGATCTGGACCACAATGTTGGTGGCTTGGACCAGGGTAGGAGAGATGCAAGTGGTGAGAAGTGGTTGGGCTCTGTGTGTATTTTTAAGGAAGGGTAAACAAGATCTGTGGATTGACTCAATGCACATTGGGAGTGAAAGAGAGGAGCCAAGGAGGATAGTAAGGTGCTTGGCCTGAGTAACTGCAAGAATGAAGTTGCCATTTGCTGCGATAGGGAAGGCTGTGAGGGAGGATACCAGGAGCTCAGCTGGGGAAATGTGAAGCTTGAGAGCCTATTAAATATCCCCATGAGATGTCAAGGTCATAGTTTGATTTTTAAGTCTGGAGTTTAGAGTAGGGAATCAGGCTGAAGATACACGTTTGGGAGACATCAGCATATAAACACTATTTAAAGATATGAGACTGTAGGAGATGGTTGAGTGGGCAGGTCTCACTAGAAAGGAGAAGACTCAGAGATTGAGGTCTGAGCATGACCACCATTGGGTGGTCATGCTGCCCACTTACCAGCAGTGTTCATGGGGACATCTAGGCCAAGAAGTGGGGAGAGCCACTGGGAAAAGGGAGCAAACTTGAATCACTGCCTCTGGCTGAGACAGACTCCATCCTAATTGCAGGCACCTGGAGTTGACTTTTCAAGACTGCTCCTATCACAAGGACTGGAGTCAAAAAACACTGGAGTCAAAAATATTAAGCTGATCCCTGGGCACCACTCTTGTATTTCTAGATAGAGGTGCCCCCCGAGCAGGTGAAAGCATTAGAGAGAGATGGGAGGGCATTTGAGTTGTCAACAGGGAAATCCCCTAATCGTCTGCAGTTCCCAAATAGAGCCTCTCTGGGGGTCGCCCAGGCAAACACCAGCTGCCAGAGGTGATCCCCTTAGTCATTGAGCAACCCAGTTCAGGGTCCTGCTAAGGGCTCACCCACATTGAGAATAATTCTAGAGTCTGCCAGTTTTCCCACATTCTTTTCTTGGGAGTCTGGATGTTGGCTCACAATTTTGGCATGTGAATGTCTGCCTGCAGATGTTCATCTGTCTCCCTTAACCTTCACAGTGAAGCAAATATACACAGATGAAAGATGCAATGTGAAGTACTGAACAGGTTAAGTTAAAAATGTTCCCTGACACTCTGGAGGCACAGACACTAACCGTGTTTTTTCATCTAAGCAGATATCTGTGCTGAATTGCTGGGACAAATGCACCGAACATTGCCTTCACCTTCAGCGTCGCCTTCATTCTGCCCCTGTTGAACTAGGCTAGCATTAGTCTCACCAGGGAACTGGGAAAATAAGTAACTGGGCAAGAAGGGAAAGTGAAATTCAGGGTTGAACATCCTTGTTTTATTGATGGCATGCATCCCCAAGTGTCCTATTATCCCCTGAGCAGCCTTGCGTACATGCTAAACAGAAGTGGCTGTCCTGGGGGTAATGGATGGTCCCCTGGGACTTTCTCCAGAAGAAAACTGCCCTTATATGGGCATCAACTGCTCTCAAGAGGGATGGAACTTTATTCATGTTCTTCCATCATAAACCTGGGCTCAAATGAGAACCCAGCTACCCATCCCGGAAAAAAAAATCACTGTTTTTTTTTGCTTTGCATTTTAGGAATCTCTCCTTGAGCAAAGACCTTGATCAATTCAGAGGCTGGTGAGTTTCCTTGGTTCTTGCTGATGAGGCTAACTGCATTCAATTCCAAGGCCAGTTAGCTTGGGTCTGTTCTAAGGATGCTGTCAACATTCTTATCCTGTGCGAACACTTTGAACCTTGTGGGTTGTTGGTCACGAATGGTGACAACCATTCTTTATACCGCTTCATGTCGCAGGGGAAAATGTGTGTGTCTTGGACTCCAAGGGCGGCAGCATCCCCCCCACCCAAAGAAAGCAGCCCATTTGTTTTGATGAATGCTCTTCAGGACTTCCAGGAAAGTGTTCTGCTGGAGGAGTAATGGGAATGGTGGCACTGCGAACATTGACACAGGTCTCATGCCAGGGTGGTTTTTAAGGAGCTTACTCACTCTTTCAGATAGGTTATTGCAGATTTGTCTGTTGTGAAACCTTTCTACATATTCCTTCTATTTATCCTGAAGATTTATCCACCCAAGAGGCACGCCCCTCCACAATTCTGTGCCTTTTTAGTGATTCAAATATCAGCCTTGGTAAGCGATTTAGTTTGAAATCACCATTCCCCAGAACCTTTAGGGGATCTCAAGGTAGGATGAGCCAATGAGTGATAGAACTGATTAGGTAAAAACTGGACTGCCATGGCTCATTACACGCAAGGAAATGATTCGATATAGGGTGGGAGGCTGGCAGGGTGGGGTCCTGCTGAATCCTAGAAGGCTCCTATCGCTTTCAGCAATCAACTTTTCTCATTTGTTTGTGTCTAATCTCAGGATGTGTTCTGGTCTCTGGCTTCTTCATAACCATTGGTCTAAATTCCTTAAAATACAATCTTTTCTCTTCCTTTGGTGTTCAAAAGTGTGAAGCAGATAACTCTAAAGGAATTCAAGTCGCCACCATAAATCTTGAGTGATTTTAGAAAGATATATAATACTCCTAAATGATGACATATTTCCAGAAGATCAGTAAAACGTTTCTGAGTGATAAATGGTTGGACAGTTGTGTCTCTGCAGCGAACCTAAGGGGCAACATCAAGCAAACACAGTATTTTATGAGTAATATTGGTCATATCTTTTGTTTTTAATCTGCCAAAAATGCAACTAAAGAGGCTGGCCACACAGAAAATTGGTCTACTTTATACCACGTCTGGCTGGGAAAAGCTCTGGGATTTTTGATTTGCCATCAGAACAAAAGGTTGGTGTGGGACCAGGGTGGGAGGTGTGGTGAGGGAGGGATGGAGGGTTGCAGCGGGGAGTTCAGTGTCTGGAGAGTAGATGACAGCCTTGGTTCCAGCATTTAAAAGCAATTACAGAGCTGTGTGTGTGTGTGTGTGTGTGTGTGTGTGTGTGTGTGTGTGTGTGTAGATTTATTCACAAAGTCTGTGCTGTACATTAACTAAATTTGTAGTTTTAATCACTGATAGGAAAAACAAAACGTACACACACAGAGCCATGAAATACCCAAAGCGGCAGGTCATTTTCTGTCAATCCCCAGAGACCTTCGTCTGTGAGTGCTGGTGTGGGGAGGAGGCGGCAGGAGACTGCTGCAGCTGTTAACAAAAGTCAGCAACGATGGAAACACCATTCTGATAGGTGAGCTGGGAAATGCAATTATAGCTAGTTAGAATTATGCATTTATTTGGCTTCCTGGGCAAAGTATCGCAATGCTAGGATAGGAGGATGGAACTGAGAAGGAAGGAAGGTTTTCTCCCTCCACTGGGATCAAATGGGACGCGCGTGGCTCACTCTCAGCCGGAGGGGAGGCTGCACCAGTGCATAGCGCATCTGGCAGAGCTACTGTGAGGCATGTGATGCTACTTTCAGCCTTATGTGGACCTTTGGTAACAG